>NC_000002.12:9100909-9403939 GCF_000001405.40 Homo sapiens | reverse complement strand
TTCACAACAGGTTATACATACATGCAGAATATAATGATAGCTGCAACCTCACAAATTAGGGCTAGAAAGTACAATGCTAATGTGTAAATTTCCAAGTTGCTTTTTAAACACTGGGTGGATTTCAAAGGAATGTGTGTCTTTAAAGGTGAACTGATGGCATTTTATCGAGAAAGTTCAGAGCTGGGCTATGGACTTCTGAAGCAGCAGTTCACTGGCCGCCTAAAATAATAATTGTGATAAAGGTCACCAACTCCAGAACTGGGCCAAGGAATGCAGGAAGAATTTATTCATTAATGCAAACATTTTTAGGTTTAGCTAATTCCGTAGAGGCAGGATCTTGATTATGTATAATAGTTAAAATAACTTTTCAGTTCACCTGTTGGGAAATTCAGTTTTTCCTAATAAATGCATAGCAATGTTTCATGAAAACCACAAATTATAAAAACAATTACTGATATGTAAAAATTGCCTCTGAGTTTTTAAAACAGAGCAGTGGCATTAGAGAACATGGGCTGCCATACAAACAGTTCATGAAACTGGTTATCTGGCAAGAGTTTTGGTACCAATAACGAAACAGGAACATAACTGTTAATGCTTTTGTTCAGTAGCAATTCAGTCAGCGATAAAGTGCACAAATGACACCGGGAATGCGCCTTTGCGACCAGGATCTCCATCAATGTGGCCAATCTGAAATGGAGAAAAGTGTAGGTTGTTATTAAAATTCCAAATGTTGGTGGAAACTTTGAAGAGCATTACATAGAGCGTTTGGTGAAGAAAAGCAAGATTGGTTCAGAAGACTCTTCCGACAAGGAATTACTTAGGTAAAACATCCAAATGATTTTTGTCCGTTTTTCCTCACCACATTTCAAATAGTGCAGGCCTCTCCCGTGTAAGGAGCTCTTCCCAGCCATGTCCCAGATGTTCGCTCGTGGGGATGGCCACCCCCACCTGTTCTTGGGAGGCACACAGGTCAGCTGTCTGACCACTACTTCCCACTTGCCATTTTTCAATGAATGAATGAATGAATGAACTGAGTGTCACAAGTTTGTGAGCTGCAACGTCACCTAAAGTGGCAAAGGTATAAGTTGGCCCCATTTCAATGAGTTAAGTACTTGTGGAAGGCTTCACTCTATCCACTTATGTTCCCTCTTGGGTAGATACATAAATTATATCCAAATATGATCTCAAGAGTGTAAATGATGTAGGCAAATAAAAGGCTAAAAACAGCCAAAATATGAATGGTGGGCTTTTTGTGGAGTGGGTGGGGGGTGCTGTGGTTATGGGCAACTTCTGTTTTCTTCTTTATGCCTCTATTTTCCAGTTTTGGAAATGAGCAGGTATTTTCCACATGGCTAAGCCTGTGGTCAGGTTGGCGCCCCTTCCGGATGGTGGGTTGTGGGCAACTGTGGGAGCTGGCTGGTTCCCGAGTAGCTGGGATTACAGGTGCCTGCCACCACACCTAGCTAATTTTTTGTATTTTTAGTAGAGAACCATGTTGGCCAGGCTGGTCTCGAACTCCTGACCTCAAGTGTTCCGCCTGCCTCGGCCTCCCAAAGTGCTGGGATTATGGGCGTGAGCCACCGCGCCCAGGCCACAGACACTTTCAATCCATTAAGGGCAAACGAGGCCACAGGAAAGACCGGTGAACCCAGCTCTGCCAAATGAAGGCAGTGCTGCCTGGCCCTGAGAGCTCACAGCGCCTCTGGAGGCTGAAGACATGCAGTTTAAACACTAGTGGGAGTTCTGGGAGGGACAGTGACTAAAGACAGTGTCCAAACTCCTCGCACTCGACAAAGAAGTTCCCCTAAATCCTGTGAGTTCCCAGCTGAACTGTCTGCTCTGAGCTCAGTTGCGGAGCTGTGCCACTTGCGTCTACTGTGTGGTGGGCTCAGCCTGGGGCTTTCTGTCCACGCCCCATTCAAGCCGGTTCATCCACCGCCCTCACTGTCTGCAGCTGCCGCTTAGTGGGTGCTCACAAGATCACCTGCACCAGACTGTGTGTGTGTGACCTCCCTGTCACAGATGATCCCACTAATGCTTAAAGATAAAAGCAACCTGCCCCAAGCCACCAGCCCCTGAGTGGCCAAGTCTGAATTCTTAGGTGGCCGGCACTCATCTTGCTCCCACACCCTGCTGGACGCCTGGGCGGCCACAGCTTGTTTCAGGACCAGACTCAGGCCTGGGGCTCTGCGCTCTAGGTCAGCTCTCTCCAGACACCCGATTCCACTAATCCAGCAATGGGGGGTGATGACCTAGAAACTCAAGACCTCAAAATGAAGGAGTGTCATTTCAGGCCCTCATGAGTGCTGTGGAAACTGCACCCTAACAGGGGAGGAAGCCACCCTGGGGAATAATCAGGCCTGCTCAGAAGGGGGTGTCCATGGAGGAAGCAGCTCCTGAGGATGCTAAGGGGCGGAGGCACCAGGAACTACATCTGGACTGCTCAGGCTGAGAAAACCTCACCTGCAAGCCCGTCTCTCCAGCCAGGTGGGCAGGGACGTGGCTCAGCCCCCAGGAACCTCCCAGGCCCACCCTTGACTCACCCACCACTCCTGGTCCTCCTCCCCGTCCACGATGATCACATCCCCCTCGGAGAAGGTGAGCTCATCGGGGTTGTCAGCCACACAGTTATAGAGCGCTTTCACCCGCTTAGGCTTCAACTTGGTCTGGGTCAGGAGAGGGAACAACGGTTAGTGTGGCTGCAGGCCTCAGCTCTCAGGGCAGAGAGCTCAAGCACCCTGCCTTCCCCGGTCTCAGGAGTCCCGTACCTAGGCCTGAGAAGCCTGCAGATGCCAAGGTGGGGCAGGTCAGTGCAGCTCAGGAGCCAGGGAGAGAAAAGGGAAGAGCTCCCCACCAAGCAGAGAGAAGGGGCCAAGGGCTGGGAAACGAAGCGGCCGGGGCAGGGTACTCTGAGTGGGCCCATTGTGGAGCTGCGGCAGGAGGGCCAAACCCACCAGCTGCCCAGATCCAAGCAGTCAGGTACCAAGAAGAGCCCCGCCCTGCCCCAGCCAGGGGAAGAGGGGAAGACTTGCTTCCCCTGAGCCCTTGTGAAACCACCTGCACCCCCCTGGCTAGAGCAGAGAGGCAGGAAAGGGGGCTCGTCACTTACTGCCTGCGACTTCCTAGGCATGGGTGCAGGGGGCTGCAGGACCATAGCATTGGACAGAGGACCCAGAGCTTCCGTTGCAGAGAGATCCACTGTAGGGCAAAAATGAAGCAGCTTAAGACATCCCATCAATCACAGCCATGAGATGTAAACAATGTACAAGCCACAGGGTGTGTCTGAAAGCAGGTTTCCCCAGGTGTTCCGATCTGTTGAGGGGAAAGGGAACCTTCTGACTTGGATGCAGACCTTGGAGAGCTTGTGTGGCAGCGAGTGTCCCCCAGTGAGCCTGCCATGTCAGCAGGAGGGGACAGGTGAGGGGCCCCAGGACTGAGCTGCTCAGGAGCAGGGGTCTCAGAGGCCGAGGGAGGAGGGAGGATGGCAGGAGGGAGGAGGGAGGAGGAAGGCAGGGAGGAGGGTGAGAGGAGGGGAGGGGAAGGGAGGGGTGGAGGAAGGCAGGTGGCGGGGGAGGAAGGCATGAGATGGGGGAGGGAGGGGGAGAGGAGGAGAAGGGAGCAGAGGAAGGCAGGAGTGGGGGAGGAAGGAAGGAAGGAGGGAAGGAAGGAGAGGAAGAGGGCAGGAGGGGAAGGGGGCAGGAGGGGAGGGGGCAGGAGGGGAGGGGGCAGGAGGGGAGGGGGCAGGAGGGCTGTGGAATGGCAGACAGCTGGGCCCTCCCTCAGTCCTGACCACCTGGCAGGAAACATCCCCCACATTGCCCCCATGGACCAAGCAGAAACAAACTCAGTCCCAAATTAAATAATTACCAGGTCCTCTCGGTTGGCCTTTGTTGGTCAGTGGGGTGGACTTGTCAGCCCTACAAAGACAGGGAAAAAGTAGATTTACTGCTACCGGAGGGCACCTGCCCCTTTCTCATCCCCTTTTATCAGAGAACCTTCTGAGTTCAAGCTCAGAGTGTGTGAGGTGGTTTCCTCCACTGTCACTTAGCTGTCTCTTTTTTATGGGAAAAGGAAGAATGAGAGGCCCTGAGGAAAGTGCTAAATTCAACGTTTCTGATCCTAAAACCAGGGCTTTTCCAGAGCACTCTGTCCACGTGAGCCTGCCACCGATGGCCAGGGTCTGGAGTGATGCTGGGCACTGGCCACTGGCCCCGCCCCGAGTCTGCTCAGCCCCTTCCCTGCCTTGGTCCCATCACATGAAAGGGCAGGGCTGAACCTTAACCTCAGGCCCAGATGGCTTTGCCAGGACGGGTCCGAGCACTCTGGGTCAGCGCTGTCCATGCCTCTGCCGTCCCTGCTTCTGGGAACCAATGTGGCTGACCACGGGCTCAAGCCCCATCCATGAACCTCTGGGCCAGCACACCCCAAAGCCACAAGGTAGAAACACATGAGTGAGGAAGTAGTTCTCAGGGCTGGCAGAGAGGGGTCCCTCATCTCGAACCTGCCACCTGGCAGCCCTGGATAAATGGGTTCTGGAGAGTCAGCATTTTCATCTGCAAAAGGTGTGACACAAGATCCGTCAACTCCAGAGCTAAGGACCAGTGCCAGTGGCTTCAGCTCCCCGGTGGATCTCCTGGACCTAGCATAAAGCCAGGCACAGGACGGGGGCTGGAGAAGCAGAAGAGGAAGACCAGGGAGGAAGGGAAGGGGAAGGCAAGGATGGGATTCTTTCCACTGTACGCTCCCGTCTGTCGACACTCCCTTCGCTGCTCGGAATGAACCCTGTCTGGCCTCAATGCTTGCAGTCCCAGAATGAAGGGAGAGAAAACATCACATGGGTTTTGCTCATACGCTGAAGGAACTGAAAAGGAACTTTGTTTTATTCCATAAAACAAAGACCCCTCCCATTTGACCAGTCTAGCCATTTGTTTTCCATCTGTGTCTCTGGGTGTAAATGTCTCTGCAGACATCACTACACTGACCTGGCTGACCCCCTGGCCGGCAGTCATCCCTAACTACAGAACACTCGCAGGGAAGGCCTGATCCTCTGAGACAGCAGTGAGCAGACTTTTTCTTTAAAGAGGCAGATAGTAAACTTTTTAGGCTTTGTGAATTTTTTTTTTTTTTTTTTGAGATGGAGTCTTGCACTGTCACCCGGGTTAGAGTGCAGTGGCACAATCTCGGCTCACTGCAACCTCTGCCACCCGGGTTCAAGCAATTCTCCTGCCTCAGCCTCCCGAGTAGCTGGAATTACAGGTGTGCACCACCACGCACAGCAAATTTTTTGTATTTTCAGTAGAGACGGGGTTTCACCATGTGGGCCAGGCTGGTCTCAAACTCCTGACCTCAGGTGATCTGCCCACCTCGGCCTCCCAAAGTGCTAGGATTACGGGTGTGAGCCACTGTGCCTGGCCTTTGTGTTTGTTTTTTGAGTCAGGGTCCTGCCCTATTACCCAAGCTCGAGTGCAGTGCGGCAATCAGTTCACCGCAGCCTCGGAACTCCTGGGGTCAAGTGATCCTCCCGCTTCAGCCTCCTGAGTAGTTGGGACTACAGGTGCACGCCACCATGCTTGGCTAACTTTCAAAATTTTTTGTAAAGACATGGTCTCACTATGTTTTCCAGCCTGGTCTCGAACTCCTAGTCTCAAGCAATCCTCCTGCCTCGGCCTCCCAAAGCTCTGGGATTATAGGTGTGAGCCACTGCACCCAGCTGGTTTTGTGGATTCTAGCATCTCTGTTTCAAGTATTCAACTCTGCCACTGTGGTGTGAAAGCAGCCCCAGACTACATAAAAAAACAGGTGTGGCTAATGTTCCAATAATATTTTCTGAGTGCTGAAGTGAATCTCACACAATTTTCATGTGCCACAAAATATCCTTTTGAGGCCGGGCGCAGTGGCTCACGCCTGTAATCCCAGCACTTTGGGAGGCCGAGGCGGGCGGATCATGAGGTCAGGAGATCGAGACCATCTTGGCTAACATGCTGAAACCTCATCTCTACTAAAAATACAAAAAATTAGCCGGGCGTGGTGGCGGGCGCCTGTAGTCCCAGCTACTCAGGAGGCTGAGGCAGGAGAATGGCGTGAACCCGGGAGGCGGAGCTTGCAATGAGCAGAGATCGAGCCACTGCACTCCAGCCTGGGCGACAGAGCGAGACTCCGTCTCAAAAAAAAAAAAAAAAAAAAAAAAAATATATATATATATATATATATATCCTTTTGATTTTTTTTTCCCAACCAATTACAAATATAAAAGCCATTCTTAGTTCTTAGCTCATGGCCCTAAAAAACAGGCAGCAGGCTGGATGTGGCCTGTGAGCCATAGTTTGCTGACTCCTACCCTAAGAGAACAGGTGTGAAAATTCACATTTATCCCAGAGACAAAATCACCGGTGGTGGGGAAGGGATAGCATCCTTCACAAGGAGGGCGTACCGGTGTGTTCCTTTACAGTCAGAACTCCACTGGGCGCTGACGACATGGCTCCGTCCATCCCCGTCTGTCCCGGGTAGCCCTAACCTCACTTGCCCTGCTTCCCTTTTTCCTGCCAGTCAGATGTGAAACCAGGTAAAATTGTGTTCCAGAGGAAACCTGTCCAGCTCCCGCCAGCTAGAACGCTTCTGAGAACAAGGAACCTGCACCTCACAGCTGACAACCACGGTTCTCAGAGTCCCAATAACTGCTGGGAGCTGACGGCTCCTTAGCCAGGACTTCAACACGTGATTTGTTTCTCTCGAAAAACAGCAGCATGGAAAGCGTAAATCCCAGGGAGTCATAAGGGAAGGCAGAAGAGAGCCCAGAAGCCAAGAGAAGCATGGCCTGTGGCCACTTTGGTATAGAGGCAGAAATAATTAGCACTGGAAAGCCCATTTATTACAGCATAATTCAGTAGCTGTTTAAGACTAGGAGGGCACAGATATGCATATTTTATTTTTATTTTTTTGAGACGGAGTCTGGCTCTGTTGCCCAGGCTGGAGTGCAGTGGTGTGATCTTGGCTCACTGCAACCTCCACCTCCTGGGTTCAAGTGATTCTCCTGCCTCTGCCTCCCGAGTAGCTGGGATTACAGGTGTGTGCCATCATGCCCGGCTAATTTTTGTAATTTTAGTAGAGATAGGGTTTTGCCATGTTGGCCATGCAGGTCTTGAACTCTTGGCTTCAAGTGATCCACCCACCTTGGCCTCCCAAAGTGCTGGGATTGTAGGTGTGAGCCACTGTGCCCAGCCCTGCATGTTATATTTTAGAAAGTTATCTTGCAAAGTAGCATTTAAAAAGTTTTGGGAGTCTTCTGGTTAAAATGGCAGATTTAAGTACATTTACTTCCATTTCTTTCCAAGGAAAAGGATTTTTAAAAATTAAACCTAAAAGAGGTGAGGCGCAGTGCCTCATGCCTGTAATCCCAGTACTCTGAAAGGCCAAGGTGGGAGGACTGCTTGAGCCCAGGAGTTCGAGACCAGCCTGGGCAACATAAGGAGACCCCCACCTCTACAAAATATAAAAATAAATTAACCGGGCATGGTGGTGCGTGCCTGTGGTCCCAGCTATGCGGAGGCTGAGGTGGGAGGATCACCTGGGCCCAGGAGGTCGAGGCTGCGGTGAACCGTGATCACACCACTGTACTCCAGCCTGGGCAACAGAGTGAAAGATAAATCACAGTCAACCTAGTTGATCTCAGGAATGGAATCCCACTCCAGCAGTGAGGAAGGCCCTGAAATGCTCCTATCTGTAGTCCTGAAGTGTCCTCAGAAGGCTCAGGACCCTCTGGAAGGGGAGAAAGGCAAGGTAGTATGCAGAAGAATTAGCCAAAAATCTGTCTGAGGAGCTCCTGAACCCCTGGAATCTCGCCCCAGCTCTGAGTAGCCTTAGCCGCTGCCCTGCCCAACCTACTAAGGACAGGAAGCTTCTATTCTTGGAGAGGGCAAAACGGACGGTGTCTGGATGGGGGATACCAGGTGCGGCTATTGGGAATATCTTGAAAAACAGAGGGACTAAGTAAAAGTTTAACTTTATTTCTCTACTCCTAAAAAACTTCAGGGATGGGCTGGGCACAGTGGCTCAAGCCTGTAATCCCAGCACTTTGGGAGGCCGAGGAGGGCAGATCACGAGGTCAGGAGATTGAGACCATCCTGGCTAACCCGGTGAAACCCCATCTCTACTAAAAATATAAAAAATTGGCCAGGCGTGGTGGTGGGCACCTGTAGTCCCAGCTACTTGGGAGGCTGAGGCAGGAGAATGGTGTGAACCTGGGAAGCGGAACTTGCAGTGAGCCAAGATCGCGCCACCGCACTCCAGCCTGGGCGACAGAGCAAGACTCCATCTCAAAAAAAAAAAAAAAAAAAAAAAAAAAAAAAGAAAAAAAACACAAGAAAAACAAAACAAAACAAAACAAAAAAACAAAAACACAGTAGTGCAGGGATTACAGATGTGGGCCATGGTGCCTAGTCTCCAAATTCTTTATTTTTTTATTTTTGAGATGGAGTTTCATTCTTGTTGCCCAGGCTGGAGTACAATGACGTGATCTCAGCTCCCTGCAACCTCCGCCTCCTGGGTTCAAGGGATTCTCCTGCCTCAGCCTCCTGAGTAGCTGGGATTACAGGTGCATGCCACCATGCCCAGCTAATTTTTTTGTATTTTTAGTAGAGGTGGGGTTTTGCCATGTTGGCCAGGCTGGTCTCAAACTCTGGACCTCAGGTGATCCGCCCACCTTGGTCTCCCAAAGTACTGGGATTACAGGCGTGAGCCATGGCGCCTGGCCCCAAATTCTTTATTGAGAGGTGGAACTGATGACTTCCTTGTGCCACTCCACAGTCCTCTCTGCCCCGACTGTGTCTGAGCTTGTAACTGAGCAGTGACGTATGGCGGAAGTCATTCCGTGCCAGCTTCCAGGGCCAGGCCTCTCTCTGGGGACCTGTCCGTGGACCCAGCCACCGTGATATGAGGAAGCCCATGCCAGGGACATGTAGGTGTTCTGGTCACAGCCCAGCTGAGGCTCTGGCTGACAGGCAGCGTCAGCTACCACGGGGGGCGTGAAGAGACTCTGACCGTAACCCCCAGCCAACGAGTCACCTCCTGTGTCCAACCACCCCCAGGCTTCGAGTCCTTTCAGCGAAGGCTCCAGACACTGTGGAGAAAAGACGAAGACCCCACAGTACCATCCAAATTCCTGACAATCTGTCAGCAGAATAAACTGGCTGTGCCTCATGTCTGTCAGTCTGGTGTGGTTTGTTACTAGAACAACTGAAATCAGAGATGTCAATGTGAACTCATGGATTTCAATACAGAAATATACGGAATAGAGAGATAAGTGGTGTATGTATGTATCCATGTACATGTGCGTATATTTCCAAGTTCTAACAGCTCAGAGGGCCTGTGTGGGAGCAGTGACTCTCCACCTAGCCCCCAGAACTTGGCCTCTAAATATCATTTCCACTAAAAGGAACCATTTCCCACCATAAAGATCCAGATTAAGAGCCACGAACTGGGGCCTGGTGCAGTGGCTCACGCCTGTAATCCCAGCACTTTGGGAGGCCGAGGCAGGTGGATCACGAGGTCAGGAGATCGAGACCATCCTGGCTAACACGGCGAAACCTCGTCTCTACTAGAAATACAAAAAATTAGCCAGGCGTGGTGGGAGGCACCTGTAGTCCCAGCTACTCGGGAGGCTCAGGCAGGAGAATGGCAAGAACCCTGGAGGCAGAGCTTGCAGTGAGCCGAGATCACGCCACTGCACTCCAGCCTGGGTGACAGAGCTAGACTCAGTCTCAAAAAAAAAAAAAAAAAAAAAAAGCCACAAACTAGACCCATCTGCAACAAGGGGCATTATTTGGACAAACAGCTAAGCTTGACCTGGGTCTAAGGATTGGGTGGTGTTTCTACATCCGTGTTAATTTCCTGATTTTGCAGGTGGTATTGTGTGAGGTAGGACAATGTCCTTGTTTGTGGGAAATCCACGCCTCACACCACAGAGGGTCTATGTGTTCAAAACAACCTTGGGAAAATAGAAAACAGAAACAGAGACCACCTGGGGGGTGAGCAGCAAATAGAACCCAGAAGCCTTGTGTGTTGAGGACACTTTGTCTGAATTCATTCTGTGGACTTAAAATGTACATTTGTAAGACATTTTTACAGTCTAAAAATCCTCCAGTTATTTTTAAGACCCTTCAGCCCCGATGAATTAGTTATGTGGCGCCCACGCTGGAGTAGGAGCCCTGGGGATTGCAAACATTCCTGCAGAGCCCTGGGCAGGTGAGGTCAGAGGGCAGGAGCACGGATGGCCGAGCTGGCTGGGGGTGGCTTACCCCGGCGCAGGCTTCTTCTGCGGGAGGCGGCTGGGCGGCTGTGGGGGCAGAGGTGGGGGCCTGATCTGTGAGATCCCAGGCGGGGCAGGCTTGCTCGGCTGGCTCAAGGCTTCCATTACGCTGGGCGTCTTGGCAACGGGTGGGGGCGGCGTGGGGGTCAGGGGATCTGCGGAGGACAGGGAGAGACGTGCAGAGGGTCAGCCGCCAGGCTTCCCACTCAGGCCTCCTCACTGGAGGCTTTTCTGAGAAGGGCTTCAGTTTTTTATTGCTATTTCCTAAGGAAAAACCTGCTGCTATTTCCTTGCCAGTTTTCAGAAAACCATTCACAGGGAGGAAGCAGGGAGTCCTTTCCAAACTAATAAGGAAGCTGGGAGCCTAAAGTTAGGATGACAATTTTTCTATCAGCCTGTGAGTGAGTATTTTCTCAGCTAGAACTCCCTGGGGGAAAGCCAGCAGTTTCCTGCTCTCCACTCAAAGACCCAACAGCAGGAGGCCGGGGCCCTCAGCTCTGCCCGGGGAAGCAGGGCCTGCTTTGCACATCGACTGACCTGTGGCCAAAGGGATGAGGCCCTACCCACTTCATCGGGCTGCTGGGCAGGGTGGATCTGAGGAGAGATGGGAGCTACTAACTTAGTAACGGCTCCTCAGTCTCCGGAGTGGGTGGGTGAAGAGCTTTCTTAGTGTCTACGTTTTACAGACAAGGAGGCTGAGGCCCACGGAGGGGAAGAGCTCTCGTCAAGGGTGGCAGAGCTGGTAAGACCTGGAGGGAGGCTGTGAGTCCAAGTCTCCTTCCTCCGTCTCTCCTCCCTTGATAGGCATTAAGCCCTCTCTAAATGTCGGGCTTATCATACTGGGCCTCAGGATGGGTAACACATAAGGCGCTGGGTTTCCCTCTGCCAGGAAAAGCCAGGAAGAATGAGGCCTTCAGCTACACAGAGAGGAAACTGGCGTGGGGAAACATGAAGGGATCCAGCTTATGATCTTTCTTTTTATCATTATTGTTTCCTTTTTCCAATTTAAAGGAAAACTCAAAAGTCTGACTCTAGCACACAAATGCAGCCCCTGGACCACCAGACGGAGAGGCAGGAAAGTGGTTCCTTCTGGCCTTTGGTGTGTTCGCCTTGGAAACCTCTGAAGACCCTCCCAGACCCACTGCTCCCGGCTCTGCTGCCGGCATGTGCACACATGGCACTGACTCTAGCTGGGGCTGGGCTGCTTTTAATTTTAACTTACTCTAAGGAAGTCACGAGCACCTCGGCTCTAGAATTCTCATGCTCTGGAAGCAATGAAGCCCAGAGATGCTGGACTCCCCACTCCAGGGCTGCTGCAGCAGGAGACAGGGCAGCATCCAGGGCTCGCTTCTCTGATCCAGTGAAAAAAGACTTTAGTTCTGTACACTGGAGAAAAACTTCTTCCTAAAAACCTCCTCCCGCTTCTTTACCCAAGGTTTTCAGGACTTTCAACCACATGTTGATATTAAAGAAAACATGCCAGGCTGGGCGTGGTGGCCCACACCTGTAATCCCAGCACTTTGGGAGGACAAGGCGGGTGGATCACTTGAGCCCAGGAATTCGAGCCTGGGCAACATAGCAAAACCCTGTCTCTACAAAAAATACGCTTGCACCAATAATCCCAGCTACTCAGGAGGCTAAGGCAGGAGGATCCCTTGAACCCAGGAGTTGGAGGCTGCAGTGAGCCATGATTGTGCCACTGCACTCCAGCCTGGGGGACAAAGAGAGACCCTGTCTTAAAAAGAAAAACAAGGCTGGGCACCATGGATCATGCCTGTAATCCCAGAACTCTGGGAGGCTGAGGCAGGTGGATCACCTGAGGTCAGGAGTTCGAGACCAGGCTGGCCAACATGGTGAAACCCCATCTCTACTAAAAATACAAAAAAAAAAAAAAAATAGCTGAGCATGGTGGCAGGCTCCTGTAATCCCAGCTACCTGGGAGGCTGAGGCAGGACGATCTCTTGAACCCGGGAGGCAGAGGTTGCAGCAAGCCAAGATTGTGCCATTGCATCCAGCCTGGGCGATGGAGTGAGACTCTGTCTCAAAAAAAAAAAAAAAAAGAAAAAGAAAAGAAAAACAAAAAGCCAGATTCTAATCCAAGTGACTGTCCCCAAAATATTGAAAATCACCAAATGGCCAAAGGAAAAAGAAACCCTGGGGTACTGTGTAAAGGAGGAAATGTTGCTGAAATGCTTTGGAAGACAGAGGAAGGGAGTGAGGAAGCTACTTGGTGGTGCAGTGTGGGGACAGGCAGGGGTTTGCAGCTGTGACGAAGGAGGCTGGGGGAGCTGAGAGCCCTGCACAAGAGCCACAGGGAGCCATACAACACGGGGCACTTGGCACGTGTCTGTGCTGGCAGCTGTGTGGCTCCAGAGAGCACCCCCCGCCATCCAGATCTACAAAGCCCACGGGCAAGAAAGGAAAAAGGAAAAAAACGTACTGGTAGATGTCACGCGAAGAGGGGGCAGCGGTGGATGGACAGCTGGCGGATCTGACGAAGATCGCTGCCGGCTTCCACCGTCCACACTTACAGAGTTTGTCTTCCACAGGGTGTTAGCAGAGGAGGCTGTCTGAACTGAACCCACACGCATGCACACAGACGCATGCACGCACACATACACGTGCACACACGAACAAAAACAGAAACAGAACACTGCGTTATTGATCCTCCCCCTTATGAAACGGTCAGTATGACCCTTCTACCTAGAACCCTCAATGCTTTTACTCCTGTCTCCGGCATGTGGAAGATAGACACTGATACTCGCGAAACCGAAGAGGCTCCAAGGACTATTCTCAGCAGGTTTTCTCAATCCATGAAATTTAAAATTCCTGAGTTTATTTATCAAATATCAGTATCATTTGAAGAAGGAAATAAACAGTCACAATGTTCTCTTGCGAACACTGCACTTGGAGCTTCTGGAACTTCTGCTCCTCTCCACCCTCCCACCGACTCCTTCCCATGGGCTGTGGGAGTCACCACCATGTGAAGAGGAACACCGTGTGCCCAGCTGGCACAGGTTGGGGGCAGAGTGCAAATCAGACACTAGAGGAGGGGCTCTCTCTCCCTCCCTCCCGCAAACATATTTCTGGCTGGAAGCAGACACAGATGACACCAATCAGGTTCAGGTGACCCACAAGAGATGGCATTTTCCAGGTCACAAGCCCTTCTTCTGCCTCACAAACCTCCAAGCTCAGGTGCACAGGGCCCAGGTGCTAGGTGTGACCCCATGTTGGAGGCTGTGCACGGCCTGTAGGGCAAAGGCTAGGCCTAGAAATGGGCCAGGCCACTGGGTCCAGAGGAAGCCTTCGAGCTCCTCCCCTGGGGAGCCAGGTCCGCCCCAAATGCAAGGCTGACACTGTCAACTCCATTTGCTATTTATCTGCATGTGAGAATTCCATCCAAGACCACATGTGGGCTACACAGAGAATGGTGGAGATGGCAGGTAAGGGGTATGACCTACATTACTGGAAGAAGAAATGATGCTAGGGACAGGAACGGCAAAAAGAAAAAGGAAAAAAAATCAAAACCCTTGAATTCCAAGACTTCGGGAAACCAGGAGATTAAGAGTTTACCCCTCCATGACCCAGTGGAACAAAATAAAATCTTTCCTCCCGTGACACACACAGTCAGCAAAAGCCACTGCTGGGAAGGAGGATGATCAAAATCATCTTGATTGTGGGCCGTAGAAAATTGATGCCTGCCTGCAGGATCTGGGAGAGGCGGGGAGAAAGCCGCACCCACCCTGGGCCCCGACCAGCCAGCCTGGGGGTTTGACAGGGAGGAGATGCGACTGTGTGGCTTCATCTTGTAGCTGCCTTCTGTGCTCAGGGACGTCCTCATCAAGCCAGGGATGGACGCGGTCTGGGATGTGGGCTGTGTGGGGACAGCAAGCAGCTGGCTTCTGGGCCTGCCTGGGGGAAGGTCTGCTCTCAGCAGGTTTGTTCTTCGGGGTATGACTCAGTGACTCACATGACAGGTTCACTGTCACTTCTCTGGGCCTCCCTGAATGACAGGGGCAGAGCCGTGTGAGGGTCTGTGAGACACCCAGGACGGCAGGGAAGATGGGCCCAGCAGCACAGCCGAGTGTACGTGCAGCACAAAGCTGCAGCCGTCTGCTCAGCCCTGGGCCAGGTCTCCCGGCCTCAGCCACCCTCACGCACCGACCCAGCCTGCCCAGCTAGCAGCTACCACATAAGGACAGTTTGGGATGTATTTGGGGACGTGGGCTCCACTCCATCAGCGGCTCACAGCGGCCACAATGCCTGGATACATGCTCTGTGCAGACTCTTGTCCTTCCTGGGCCCCCCGCCCCGCATCAAAGTCTCAGCAGCCTCCTTCATGTGGGAAACCCTCTGAAGGCCATGGCCACGACTGGAGCTCAGCCCAGAGCTGAGTGGGTCACTCGCCGGACCTGCCTTCAAGAAGCACCGTAGCCAGCTGCTCTTCAGGAATGAACAAATTACTTAACTTCTGAGAGCTTTGGTTTGCGTATTTCTAAAAACAGAAAGTGTCACCTGTTGAGTCAAAACCTCCAGGTTACAGCTGAGGTAAGAAAAGCATGCTTTTTGCCCTAAGACACTGGTAGGCCCACAGGGCTGGTTTTGTATTTTACAATTAGGCCGAGCATCGTTCCCCAATATCTTTTATGGGGATCATGGGTAAGAAGTAATCGCAGGGGCCATGAGCTGGACCAGATGAAGGCAGAAGAGAAATAAAAAGGAAGAATGAAGGCCTGGGAAGGAGTGGAGAAAGGTAAACAGAAGGGTGCAGAGGGGAGACCTGAAGGAGTGTGTCTTTTGGCCCAGCCCCGGGAGCCCAGTTGGCCACCTCAGGCTGCCCTGGGGGAGTTCCCATGTTACCCAAGCCAGGCAGATGCCACAACTCTGCCCAGAATAAGAGTCAAATCAAGAGACTCTACCACCATCTGGCCTGATAAGAATGATGGAATCCCTTTAGGAAGCAAACAGAAAATAACTACAAAACAAAAGAGCCCAAAGGTCACTGAGTTGGAGGCAGGGCAGCTGCAAACTTCCCAAACCACAAAACAAGACCCTCTATATATTCACAGGGATGACGGACAGCTTCATACCTTTGCCAACATTCCGTGGAGGAAGCGGGGGGGCGCTGGTGGTGCTGGGGGCTGCAGGCTGGGCGGGAGGTGGGCTGCCACTCAGGAGGGCTCCGTAAGTCTCATTCTGCAAGATGCTGGGCATGAAAGCCCTCTGCTTCTCCTTGGCAAGGTTTGCAGCATCTCTGGCCAAAGATACAGCGTTAGACTGAAGCTGGTTGGAGCCCAGCTGGTAGAAGCTGATGGGCCGGTCTTCCCGCCGGTTGGGACTGGGCTGCAGGAGAACATTGGGGCAGAGGCGTGTGAGACAAATATGAACTGCTCCTGGTGATAACATTCAACACAGGGGTGAAAACCTCACTGACACCAACTCTGCTGGGCCTGGTACCATTTGAGCTCTCAACTGTTGCCTGAGAGCTACAAGTTGCGTGAGAGCTGCAAGAGTGAAAATTCACTCCTCCTTGTGTCTCGTGAAGGAAACACACACTGATATGGTTTGGCTTTGTGTCCCCACCCAAATCTCACCTCGAATTGTAATCTTCACTTGTCGAGGGAAGGAGGTGACTGGATCATGGCAGCGGTTCCCCTCTGCTGTTCTTGGGATAGTGAGTTCTCACAAGACCTAATGGTTTTATAAGGCAGTTTTCCCTGCTCTCGCTTGCTCTCTCTCCTGCCACCCTGTGAAGAGGTGCCTGCTTCCCCTTCTGCCATGATTGTATGTTTCCCAGCCATGTGGAGGTGTGAGTGAATTAGACCTCTTTCTTTTATAAACTACCCAGTCTCAGGTATTTCTTTACAGCAGTGTAAGAACTGACTAGTAAACACACACATACCAAAAAATCTGTTAATTACAGGTTAAAATTCTCCATTCTGTGATGGATTTAAAATATAAGCTATTTATCTTATGAGTCGAAGTTATCTCAACCTAAGTCAGCATTTTCCCTGAAGTTCCCCTTCCCAAACATGCCTTCTTATGCTACCCCACAGGGTGGCCAGCTCTGGCCAGCCCGCTGCACTCAATCTCCAACAGCTATATGGCTCATTCAGCAGAGATCGATGTTTTCCTCCCATATGAACAGGAGCTCCTGAGATTCCTCCAAATTAGGGTTAGCAAACAGTGGCCTATGGACTACCACCTGTTTTTTGTCAGTAAAGTTTTATTGGAACATAGCCATGTCCTGTCATTTAGATACTGTCTAAGGCTGCTTTTGAGCCATCCTGGCAGAGCTGAGTAATTGTTAACATGGACTGTGACGCTTTAGGCCCGTAGAGCTTAAAATATTTACTATCTGGCCCTTTAAGAGTTTGGCCACCCCTGCTCCCCCCTGAAGGTTATATGGTTTTTTTTTTTTTTGAGACAGAGTCTCTCTCTGTTGCCCAGGCTGGAATGCAGTGGCGCAATCCCAGCTCACTGCAAGCTCCGCCTCCCGGGTTTACGCCATTCTCCTGCCTCAGCCTCCTGAGTAGCTGGGACTACAGGCGCCCCCCCACCCACCACCAAGCCCGGCTAATTTTTTTGTATTTTTTAGTAGAGACGGGGTTTCACCGTGTTAGCCAAGATGGTCTCAATCTCCTGACCTCGTGATCCGCCCGCCTCAGCCTCCCAAAGTGCTGGGATTACAGGCGTGAGCCCCCGCGCTCGGCCGGTCATGTGCTTTCTTGGAAGTGAATGCATGGAATGATGACTCAGGTAACTTAGACCTAACTTCTATTTCAAATGCCAGCTTCATTAAACTAGGTATGATTGTGAGCAAATGACTCAACCTTGCTGACCACATTCTTGTCTGTTCACTGGATATGACGAGTGCTTTTCTAGCACAATGCCAGGTGCTTAGCAGGTGCTCAGTATGAACTGTGGCAGCCCTGCCTCTCCCTCACAGGACCACCAACCCTTTCTAGGTTCTGGACAAACCAATGGTTCAAACCCAGCTCAGGTGTGCAGAACTAAGCACCCAGTGGTTCTTCACACATATTTCTAAATTGCAAAGCCCACGGCTGCTGTCTGCTGAGAATCAGGTGAGCAGCGTGGATGAGTCTTAGGACTCCACACCAGCCCCTGCTCTTGTGCTTTTCCTTGGACTATGCAACCTGCTTCATCACTGCTCATCAAATGGGAATGTGGCATCTGACCGCTTGATGAAGAGGCAGGCTGGGGCAGACTGCTTCCAGCTTTTTTTTTTTAAGGCAGGTTAAGTATGAAATCAGTCAACTCTTCTCACTTTGACAGTGTTTTGTAGCTAACTCAGTGAAGTAATTTCTTATTCTGTATTCTAAGAAGCAGTTAAGTATGGATGTTAACTCCATGAGCAGACAGTCCAACAGGTTTCAGAAATGCCATCTGGTTACCTACTGACCTATCCATCCATCTAATTAGATATCCTCAATACACATCAGAACATTAATGCATTACAGAAAAAAAAAAAAGCCAAACCATGAAAATGTGTTTAATGTGGCATTTGCCACTAATTCAGCACAGAGCACATTCCAGACATGCCTCGAAGCACCATGCTGAAGGACAGATGGAAGTGGGTCGCGGCTAGGAGCCAGGGCTTTGGGTCACAAGGCCTAAGTCTGACTCTCAGCTCCAAGTCCTGCGTGAAGGCAGCAACCTTCCTGGGGCTCACCCCTGCGTATGAAGCAGTGAGGATGGTAAGAAGGGAGCTGGAGGAGGAGGCAAGAGCCTTCGTGCAGTCCCAAGCCTGCCTCTAAATAGCTGCTTCACTTTGGCCAAGTCAACTTTTCTCTTGAGGCTTCAATATCCCAAACTGATAAAGGAAGGGGTTGGACCCAGTGAGCTCTAAAGGTCGTCTGATGATTTCAGTTGATGTTTTTATAAGATCAACCAGGAGAATGTGATCACCTAGACTGGGGGAAATCTGGCTCTTTATGACATGACTCCATAGCAAGAGACCTTCCTCTAAATCCACTGGAATCAACCCCCCCGCCACACACACCTTTCCTTTGTAGCAAAAGGCTGCCTATAAGTACATAATTAGCCATTCCTTTAAATTAATGGGTGCAGGAGCTGGGAGACAGGAGATGGTAGTGGGAAGGGTAAAACCAAGAGCCTACTGAGATCAATGAAAGCATAAAGTAAGCTACATTTTCATTTCTATAAAACAGCTTTCTGCCTTAATTACAGATTAGGACCCACACTGTTCTGGATGAAGCTGATCAAAACTCTTAATGGTTAGCAACCTGGCACAGACCTGCAATTTCTCATCCATGTCGTCATCACTTTCATCCAGGTCTTCGTGGAGTAGTCGCCATTCATATTCAACGTGAACGTGAGAATTAAATCTTCCAGATAAGGCTTGGGTCAGCTGAGAGAACAGAGGGATGGTCAGTGCTGTTGCTCATACACTCGGCCATGCATCTGGACCCACTGAAGTGTGCAGGCAGGAGGCCTGCCTTCTAGTCCAAGGCAAATGCATGGAAATCTCTGGGTCTCAGGTGAAGCCCCCGCCCCTCTGCCTACTTCACAGCGTAACCTTGAAACTCAAAGCTGGTATGTCCCAGCAAAGGCTTTGTAAACTGTATTAGTTTTCATCCACAGTTCCCGGCTCGTAACTCTCAAATCCCTTGTTACAGTCTTCGGTTATAACATGGAGTGTTAAGGCCTCAGGAGACAGAATCTCTCTGAACTTCTCCTGCCCCAAGGCAGGACTCTTATCGTCCCCCACTTTTCTGACTGTGGGTCTTAAGGCCCTCCCCAGAGAGGGTCTCACCCTGTACCCTGGGGGAAGAGATGCTGACACCAAGAAGCTTCCATAAAAATCAAAGAGGACTGGTTCTCGAGCTTCAGGATGGCAAACCACACAGAGGGTCCTGGAGGGTGGCACCCAGGGAGGGCATGGAACCCCCATGTCCCCTCCCCCACACCTTGCCCTACGCACCTCTCTATCTGTATGCTTTGCAATATCCTTTATAATAAACCAGTAAACACAAGTGTCTCCCTGAGTTCTATGAGCCACTCCAGCAAATTATTCAAACCCAAAGAGGGGGCTGTGGGAACCCCAACTTGAAGCCGGTTGGTCAGAAGTTCTGGAGGTTGATTTGTGACTGGTGTCTGGGGTGGAAGACAGTCTTGGGGACTGAGCCCCCAGCCTGTGGGATCTAACACTACCTCCAAGTAGATAGTGTCTAATTGAACTGGAGGACAGCCAGCTGGTGTCTGCTGCTTGTGAAACCGCCTTTACAAGAACATGGTAGTGAAAAAAGTCTAGCATGGCTGACTCCATCTTGCTTCTGGCCTCACAGGCTGGCTGTCCTCCCTTATTCCTGGGCACAGGCCAAGCTAACCATGGGAAGAATTTAGTTTGTGGTGTAAGTTTGAATCAAGGATGGTAATAGTCCCTCCCTAAAACTGACTCTGTTCTTTTCTTTTTAATTAATTTATTTTTTTATTATACTTTAAGTTCTAGGGTACATGTGCACAACGTGCAGATTTGTTACATACGTACAAATGTGCCATGTTGGTGTGCTGCACCCATTAACTCATCATTTACATTAAGTATATCTCCTGATGCTATCCCTCCCCCGTCTCCCCACCCCATGACAGGCCCCGGTTTGTGATGTTCCCCGCCCTGTGTCCAAGTGTTCTCACTGTTCAGTTCCCACCTATGAGTGAGAACGTGCGGTGTTTGGTTTTCTGTCCTTGCAATAATTTGCTCAGAATGATGGTTTCCAGTTTCATTCATGTCCCTACAAAGGACATGAACTCATCCTTTTTTATGGCTGCACAGTATTGCACGGTGTATATGTGCCACATTTTCTTAATCCAGTCTATCACTGACAGACATTTGGGTTGGTTCCAAGTCTCTCTGCTATTGTGAATAGTGCCGCAATAAACATACGTGTGCATGTGAAAACTGACTCTGTTCTTGTTAGGGAACTTGAAAGTGCCTTTGGAAGACTAATGAAAGGCCTCAAGATTAGGATTATGGGAAGGGTCTGAATTCTGCTAAAATGTAGGTGCAGCTTGCCTCTCTATTAATGTAATTGTTTACCATCCAGTGGAGTGGCTCACACCTGTAATCCCAGCATTTTGGGAAGCTGAGGCAGGAGGACTGCTTGAGCCAGGAGTTTGAGACCAGCCCAGGCAACATAGCGAGACCCCATCACTACAAAAAATTTAAAAACTTTTTTAGCCAGGCGTGGTGGCATGCATCTGTAGTCTCAGCTACTCGGGAGGCTGAGGTGAGAGGATCGCTTGAGCTCAGGAGTTTGAGGCTGTCCACAAGCACGCCATTGCACTCCAACCTGGGCAACAGAGAGACACTGTCTTTTTTTAAAAAAATTGTTTACTGCACCAGAGGCCACGATACTTGTGACTTCCCCAATTGATCCTATAGATAACATATCCTAAGACTGATCTTTTGAGATATTTTTTCAGACTTTTGCATCCTGGTGACCAACTGACTCCACTGAACCTGACTCATGACTCAAACAGTCCCGTGGCCCCCCCGAGATGATATGCAGTGGACAAGGGCTGTTTCTCATACTCTTATGATTTCACTCCCAACCAATCAGCAGCACCCATTTCCTAGCCCTCTTGCCCATCCAACCATCCTTGAAAAACCCTAACCTCTGAGCCTTTGTGGGGACACAGTTGAGTAATAATTCCTGTCCTCCCACCGCTCAGCCAGCTTGCCATAATTAAACTCTTTCTCTGCTGCAATCACACTGTCTCATGAATTGGGTTTAATCTATGCAGCAGGCAAGAAGAACCTGTCAGGCGACTACAATTGGTGTATGGGGTCGGGGGAGAACCCCACACCTTTGGTCACAGCAGTCTGCTTCTGTATTGCTTGTTGTGACAACAGTGTAACCGTACAGAAAAAACAGGGCTAGAGTTTTCCCCAAAACAACAGGCAAAGGATATTTGAGATCTAAAGGATGCTGATCAGCCTGCAAGTATCCATACTCCATATGGGAGAAAGCTCAACCCCAGGAGAATGAATGTGCTCATTCACTGTAAACCCAGCCTTTTCAACCAGGATGAGAGAATTAAACGCTGTAGAAAATGATCTGTGTGGCTATTTTCTCAGTTCTCTCAAGGAAGGTAGATAGCTAGTTCCGTTCTACATGTGCAGAAGAGAAGTTAATTCGTTACACACTATGGGTGTCTCAGGACCTCAGGGCTTAATTTCCCCCATAACCAGATAGTAGCTACATGACCCTGGCCAAGTCACTTAACTTTCCTGTGCCTGTGTCCTCATCTGTAAAATGAGGACAACAGCAGAAACTATGTCATAAGGTAGCTATGAAGATTAAATGAGACAGGTCAGGTGTGGTGGCTCACGCCTATAATCCCAGCACTTTGGGAGGCCAAGGCGGGTGGATTGCTTGAGGTCAGGAGTTCAAGACCAGCCTGACCAATATGGTGAAACCCCGTCTCTATTAAAAATATAAAAATTAGCTGGGCGTGGTGGCAGGTGCCTGTAATCCGAGTTACTCAGGAGGCTGAGGCAGAAGAATTGCTTAAACCTGGGAGGCGGAGGTTGCAGTGAACAGAGATCATGTCACTGCACTCCAGCCTGGGTGACAGAGTAAGACTCCATCTCAAAAAAAAAAAAAAAAAAAAAGATTAAATGAGCTCGTGGATGTACAGTGCTTAGAAAGAGGACCTGTTACTTATCTTACACTTGTATAGCATTTATTATTAATAGTTCTTTTTTTTCTCCCCCAGGCTGGTGCGCATTGGCATAATCATGGCTCACTGTAGTCTTGAACTCCTAAGCTCAAGTCCATTCTCCCACCTCAACTTCCCCAGTAGCTGGGACTGCAGGTGCGTGCCACCACACCCAGCTAATTCGAAACGTTTTTGTGGAGATGGCGTGTTGCTCTGTTGCCCAGGCTGGAGTGCAGTGACACCATTATGGCTCACTGTAGCTTTGAACTCCTGGTCTCAAAGTGATCCTCCTACCTTAGCCTCCTGGGTAACTGGGGCTACAGGCATGCTCCACCATGCGTTGCTAGTTTTTAAATCATTTGCAGAGACAGAGTCTCACTATGTTGCCAGGCTGATCTCGAATTCCTGGCCTCAAGCCATCATCCCCTGCCTTAGCCTCCCAAAGCTTTGGGATTACAAGGCGTGAGTCACTGTGCCTGGCCTTAATCTATTTACTGAGCGCTGTGTGTCAACTGCTTTACAGCATTTGATAATAATTCTCACAACAACCTTATATACTGGTATAACTGACTGCACTGTAGAAATAAGGAAACAGCCTAAGAGAGTTTCCTTCCCAAGCCAAGCTGGGGAGCCCCCGGCAAGGCCAGGGCTGCCTGGCCTGGTGGGCTCTTTCTACTGTCTACATTGTCTTTTCTTCCAGAACAGGAAAAGATGGTATTGAGCAACCCACATGATCTGGGGCTGAGGAACAAAGAAAGGAGGTTGGCCTTGATGTCCTGCAAAGTAGCAAGTAAACAGCTTACGGAGGCCAGAGAGCAGGCCCTTGTGGTGGCCTCGGGCCTCTGTTCCAGTTGTCCCACCACAGCAGTGATGTTACCAACACGGCCAACCAGCAAACACTGACTCACACCCCAAGTCTCACTGCGAGGGGTGGGTCCCCCTAGGTTTCCCTGTAGACTCCCTAGCATACCTTCTCCAAGGCAGGCTGATTCTCGGCTCATCCCATCAGAAACACTGAGCTCTGCTCAGGACACTGGTTCACAGCAAACCCTGCCCAAGGAGGACAGGCTTGGCTCCCTGTCCCGTGACAGGTGCCCCACCCCGTCCTTGTGGTGGGAGACTCACCAGCTCCTCACAGTGCTCGTGCTTGAGGCGCTTGGCAATGTCCAGCGGAGTCTCTCCTGACTCGTTTGCTAAAATTCAAGGGCGAGCAAAGGAGGCGTTAAGGCAAAACCCAGCAAAGGCCTGACATCCAGGACAATTTTTAAAAGGAACAGAAAGGCAGCACTAAATTAAATTGGGCCTGGTTAATGAAATCCACAGTGAGTTTGACCTAGTCGAGGCTGAATGTATCTTGTAATTGTATAGAACTACAGCTAAATACAGAAGGTAAAACTTTAAAAGATGAAGTTTGAACTAATCAAGAAACTAAAACTGGCCAGGCGCAGTGGCTCACGCCTGTAATCCCAGCACTTTGGGAGGCAGAGGTGGGTGGATCATTTGAGGTCAGGAGTTCGAGACCAGCCTGGCCAACATGGTGAAACCCCGTCTCTACTAAAAATATAAAGATTAGCCAGGCGTGGTGGCACATGCCTGTGGTCCCAGCTACTCAGGAGGCTGAGGCAGAAGAATCGCTTGAACCTGGGAGGCAGAGGTTGCAGTGAGCCGAGATTGTGCCACTGCACTCTAGCCTTGGTGACAGAGCGAGACTCTGCCTCAAAAAAAACAAAAAACAAAAACAAAAACAAAAACTGTTGAAGCAGCCACCTAATTAAAATCCACATCCAAACTGTAACTCATTGAATAAAGCGATTCATCATAAACCTCTAACGAAAAGCACTGCTCACCTATTTCCATGCACTGCAATATAACAAACTTTTAAACCTTCTCTCAAGCAGTCTATAAACCCTGAAAGTATATACTTTATTTATTTTTTTTTTTTTGAGATGGAGTCTTGCTCTGTTGCCAGGCTGGAGTGCAATGGTGCAATCTCAGCTCACTGCAACCTCCGCCTCCCGGGTTCAAGTGATTCTCCTGCCTCAGCCTCCCAAGTAGCTGGGCCTACAGGTGCGCGCCACCATACCCGGCTAATTTTTGTATTTTTAGTGGAGACAGGGTTTCACCATGTTGGCCAGATGGTCTCGATCTCTTGACCTCGTGAGCCACTGCACCCGGCCTATAATTTCTTCTAAATAAGCCTCAGTCAATGAGGTCTGATTATTAGTTTTTTAATGATAAGCACGGCTCTCAGGCAGATGTGTGTCTTTTTTCTATTCTTTCCTCTTTATTTAACAGTCCTTCAAAAATACTTCCTCCTGAGGGGACAACAGCTGGATGCTCTCAAGGCACAACTGTGCCTTGGCTGTTGGCATGTCGGGGTCCTCGAGAGAGGGAGGGACCGGGGCCAAGTAACAACCAGGGCCCTTCATGGAGGAAGCAGTGGTGCAAATGAAAGGAGAGGGCAGTAAACAGCATCTCCCCCTGTAATCCGTCTAAACCCAGAGCCAAGAAAGGGGCCAAGTGTGGCCTCAGGTGGGGGTGAGTAGACTCAGGGTATGTGAACAGGTCAAAATTCCCCAACCTTGTCCAAATTCACCTGGCATCCGTGAGAGCTGCAAGACCCACCCTTTGCTTGTCTTATGATCTGTAAAATGCCTGTAAACGCGCCCAAAGTCTAAGTAACAGATGGTGAATGCGGCCTCGTGGAACAGGCAGGGAGAGGCTCTTTCTCATTAGCGGTAGGTTCTCCTTCTCTTTGGCACTAACAAGAGCCCACAGGGTTGGCCCTGTTTCCAAGAGCAGCGCTTGGATGGCAGACAGGAGGCAGAGGCCAGGGTGCAGCTGAGCCCACCCCCGGGGCCCGGGCCCACTCACCTATCTCGATGGAGGCCTTCCCCCGCAGGAGCAACTTGAGGCACTCGGCATTGTCGGTCAGGCAGCAGTAGTGCAGGGCTGTGCTGCCTTTCCCTGTCTGTTTATCCAGGTTCCCACTGCCCGAGAACAGGAACAGAGAGAGAGCATAGTGTGTCACAGGCTGGACGACCAGGGACTGCCCGGCAGGGAGCCTGGGCTACGGGCACAGGAAAGGCAGACAGTCCCCGAGTGAACGGTTTCTGTAAATCATCGCCAAGGTGGTGGGACCTGGCACCGTCCCTGCCTACATGGCTGGGGAAGCCTTAGCAGAAGGTCATCAGGGAAATAACACGATGATGGCAGAAGAGGTCAAAAGGGGAGGGGGGCATCCCTGTTGTTGCTGAGCATGTGGGGCCAAGGTGGGGCAGTGCACTACCGGGGTGAACCTAGAGCCCAGCGTCCTTCTCACGTCCCACTGGCTGCGCCGAGGCTGCTGTGCTAGGCCGGCCAGCTGTGCTGGATGCAGGGCCTCTGGATGCCTGTGTGACTCATCCATCCTGTCCCACGGGAGGACGGAGGCTGAGCTTTTCTCTATCATTATTTGATATTCCCTCCAGGAAAGGGAAAAGTCACTTTCCCAAAGCCCAGAGTCCCCAGGCTCCTCGGCCTGTTTGCCCTGGGAATACCCTCTGAAAACAGGCTAAAGGGGAATCTTGAGATTTTCAAAAGTTCTTCCAACATATCACAAGACCAGGTCACCCACAAAAGGTGCTCAGGCTTGGCAGACATGGGACAGGCCCTCAATCCTAGCAAACATGGCCACTGTCACATTCTGAGGAGGGGCAGTGAGCTTTGTGCCCCTGCACAAAGTGGAGACAGAAAGGCGATCTCAGGAAGTGGCACCTGCTGCTTCCATGAGAAGGAAACCAATTACATTTTCAATATCAAAAAAGGAGTTTCTTTTTCACCAAATTGTGGGCATGGGGAGCGGGGGGTGTGTTTCATTTTCAGAATTCTCCCCCACTTTTGTCCTCCTTCCACTCTGGAAAAAAAGAAACTGGGACCTTCCCTCTCCTGCCCCCTGAAAATGTGCATGGAGGGAGAGGCATCACGCAGCTATCAACCAAATGTTTACGAAACCCCTGCTGCGTTCTAGGAGCCGGGCTGGCACTCAGAGATGGGGCATCAGGGCAGCTTCCACCACGAGTCCAGTGAACTCAGCCTCCTCAGGAAGAAGCTGCAGGTCTTGGGGTTGACCACCCCACACTCCCCTACTTTCTGGCCATTTCTTCACTCCTCTGCTCAGAAATGGGAGGAAAAAGCAGAGGACACAAAATGCAAACTATCCCATGGCTTTTGCATTTTGGAATTTTCCATTTCCTTTGGAGCAATTTCTGTGGCTTTTAACAGCACCTCCTCCTCCTCCAGTACACACATGGCTCAAACCACGATCAGGGAGTCAAAATACACGTTGAGGGGTCTTGAAGTCCAGCCTTCAGCTGCCAGGCAGGTAACACATGACTGAAGCAATATGCCCCAAACCACGGGGACTCCCAGATCTGTGGTAAACTGCCTGTGCACATCTCTAAAGGCCATTTCTAATCAAAGCATAAAAACAACTTCTCGACCCAAACAAAACACCCATAATCCAGTGCTCTGGTTTCTAATCTCTGGCTCAGACCATGGCTAATGTGTGGATCCCTCCTTGCCTGCTACCTCCCTACTGCTCAGGACACTGCTTGCGCAGTACGATGACCTGGCTCACAGGATGAGGCGAGGACGGCCCCTGTGCACAGAGGGTGGTCATGGGGTCCCCAAGTTCAGTAGCCATATCTACTTGGTGTCTCCCTGAGTACCAGACACTAGAAGTTGGACCCTGCAATTACCACAAAAGAGTTTCTAGTGCTTTTTTAAAGGATTGCCATGGAGTACCTCACACCTGGCAGTCCTTTTTCTGTCTTTAATTCATGTTTAGAACTGGGAAGGTTCTCCTGACAACACATCAGAAGCGATGAGGCAGCGTCCGATTCCTTCCCCAGAAATACCAAGGAGAAAACGAGTGCCTCCCTTAATTTCAGAACACCTACCTGTTCTGAACTAAAAAGTCTACAATGTGAAGAGAGGTTCGATCCACGGATCTGACTGCAAGGTGGAGGGCCGTTTCATCCGGCTCCTGAAAAACCAAACAAAGGCATTCCAGAATTCTAATGGGAGCATTCAATTCTGTGTCCAACACCGGTGAAATCGTGTACAACTCTTCCAAAAGTCTTTTATCTTTCCCTTCGAGAAACTTATCTCTTACATAGAGTCTCTTTAATCTCTACACAAGCTCTTTGCCCTTGGGAACGTGCAATTTGGAGATTCGTCCTGTTTCTCCTGACTCCATGGGAAATAAATGAGAAGTTCAGGAGTTTCATTTCTAAGTCCTCTCAATCGACCTGTCCCCATCCCTGCATCAGCACCACAAGGCAGATCCCTGCCTGCAAGCAAGAATCTTGTTCAAAGGATCCAGGAAGGTCCCCCAGGCCACCTACAATCCAATCTCTTTACCTGCTCCTTGAGTAGAAACATATGTTTCTTAAGCAGGCTTAAAGTTTTGCGTTCTACACTTACAGACAAGGCTACGAATGCTAATAACTGCACTGTCTCCAACTCATACTGGGGATTCCCCAACTCCACTGCCTTTTCTGAAAGTACACCTGGCAGGTGGGGGAGAAGAGATGAACAAGGATTGTTTCAGCAGGTGGGTGGGTGAGAGAACCAGAGGAGAAGGACAGATACAGAAGACAGGAGGTGAGGGCAAAGGAAGGTGCTTCCCAGGCCGCCTGCCCTGCCTGCTGGGCCCTCTGGCGGCAGCACAGCTCAGTGCTGGGCACCCTCCACACTGCATTGGTGGGCATGAGTTCTTTCTGGGGATGGGGAGAGAGTGGGACCAGCTCAGAGCCTGCACGGACATGCCTGTTACCAAGAGAAAGATGCTGCAGCCGTGAGGCATCCTTGCTGATAGGCAGCCAGCCCAGTCCTGAGGTCAGGAGGTTCCAGGGGACCAAATGTGCATCTACAGGGTATTTGTGGACCAGAATCTGGACACATGCCACCCCACTTGGGTGCTGGTATGTTACTGCAAACCCACTCCAGCTGGATGCCCACCCTCTCAAGACAGCTCCCCCAGGAAAGGAGGGGTCTTGCTCCTACTCTATTCCCTCTGAGGGGGAGCACAGTGGGGTGTGGGTTCCAGGGAACCGCCCCTCTCAGAGAGCTTCTCTCGTTAGCATGAAGCTCAGGTTAAACCTGCTTGCAGATGAGGGGTCCCTCTCAGGCTGCCTAGCTTCTGAGATGTCTTCTCCTCCACCTGGAGATGGGTTTTCTTTCCAGAGCTGGCATTACATTTTTGGTGTAAGAATAAACCACTAGGTGGGTACAAAGTTTTAGACAAGGAGAATAAATCCTGCAGATCTACTACAAAGCCTGGTGACTCCAGGTAAGACTACATAGCGTCTATTTCAAAACTGAGTCGATTTTAAATGTGCTCTCCATTAAAAATGGATGAGCCTGTGAGGTAATGGATATGTTAGCTAGCTTGATGTAATCATTCCATGATGTAAACATAGATCAAAAACATCACAGCATACCCCATGAACATAGATACAATTATTTTCCTACTGAAAAGAAAAAACCCTAGTTTATTCTACCCCAGTACCCCTCTCCGTGCCGTCTTCCTCTGGAGAATTACCCAGCTTTGGTCAGTACTGCTGATTCCACAGACCTGCCACAGTGCCCCAGTTTTCCTTTTTTTTTGAGACAAGGTCTCACTCTGTCGGCCAGGCTGGAGTCCAGTGGCACAATCACGGCTCACTGGAGTTTCAAATTTCTGGGCTCAACCGATTCCTCTCACCCCAGCCTCCTGAGTAGCTGGGACTACAAATGTACACCACCATGCCTGGCCAATTTTACTTTTTTTTTTTTTTTTTTTTGTAGAGATGGGGCCTCCCTATGGTGCCCAGGCTGATCTCAAACTCCTGAGCTCAAAGGATCCTCCGCCTTGGCCTCCTGAAGTAAAGTACTGGATCCCAGGCATGAGCCACCGTGGCCGGCCTTTTTTTTTTTTTTAAAGTAGCAACAACCCACACTCTTACATGTCCGTTGGCCAGTGGGATTTTTTCCGTAAGATCCACACCATCAGCATAAGCTTGGAGCAATCCAAAAATATCTCTCGTTTTGACGGCCTCGCAAAGACTGTGAAGCTTCGCCGCGTTATCCGCGTGCTTCTTCCTTGCGTATCTCCTCTCGATGTACTTGGCTGTGATGTAGTCCTTTCTTGCATTCCTGAAACCAAACGTAATTGCCTTGCAAATCATGAAGGGCTTCTACCCGCCGTCCGGCCTCCCTTTGTCTAAGGCCATGTTAACGGTTCCTGCGCCATGTCCCTGGTAAGCACCGCTGGCCCCGAAACACAAAGCGGGAGTGGCCGCCATGTGGTTCTACGGCTGCACTGGTCTTCACTGCGACCTCCTGGGAACTGGCCAGGGGGACAACTCCCCATGTTCTCTCAGCCCACCCGCCTCTCTGCCTTGTCTCCCTCCCCTCACTCCTAAGTTCTGTGATCTGACCTCACTGTCGCCCTCGTCACCTCCACACCCTTCTTATTCAGGTCCTTCCAATCCGCATGCCCTGCGCCTCCTCCCCCAGGAAGGCCCTGCCCCTGCCCTCCATGCAGCCCTGGCCAACCTCTGTTCCAACATTCTCTACATGAAGGCCTGCCTGCCTCACTGCCCGACAGGCCCATGAGCTCCTTGGGGCATGGACTATGACCTCTTTTTTGTAGGCACCATGCCTGGTATGAAAGGCACTATCAGATGAACTGAAATGAAATGGCAGTCCTCTTTGTGTTCTACTTTCTGGCCTTTATGTGGCAACATGCTCAGACTCCGCCCCATCCAAAGAGCCTACAGAAGCAGGAACAAAAGGGGGCCAAAGAAGCCTGAGTTCAAATCCCACTCCCACCACACACTGCTGCTTTGAACTTGAATAAGTATTTCATCTCTCTAGACTTGTAAGTCTGACTTGCGAAAATGCACACAATACATCCTCACAGTAGCACCATGAGACGTATGTGCGTCAACACACCTGCAGCACACACAGTGGGTCCCGGGCCTTGGAAAGACCCAGTGAACTTACAAGAGGGAGAGCGAAACAGCAGCTCACTGGTCACAGAGTACATGCATTTTACAATCCCAATTCTGAAGGTTGAGGGTCACTGCCCAGGGACTCTTTGAATCTTGAGAATCAGGCAAGAGCCAGGCAGGGGCAGATCAGTTGCATCCATTTGTAACACAGCACTGCCTACAATCTGAGGACAAATGCGGCTGCTCCCCTTCGAGCTGGAGTCCCCGCACGGTTCCCTCCTGACCTCCGCTCTCTCACTCAGCTGACTATGGCAAGGGGCCATGGCTGCTGGAGCAGTTGTTGACTTTTCTGTACCTGCCCTAAATCCCCGTGGAACAACTGGCCCCCCAGAAGGGGAGCCTGAGCTCCCTGGACATGCCACTGGAGGCAGGGAGTAGAGATCCTGTCTACCCTGGGGTCCCTTGAAGATGGGCCAGCCTAAGATGAGAAGCCATTACTCCCACAGCACCCAGACGGAACTGAGTGGGCAGAGGTCTCTTGCCAGCGTCTGCCAGGCCTCAAATCTGCTTGTCCTTGGGTGCATGTGGCTCCTGGACACGCCGCAGCGTGAGGCTGGCTGGTGCAGCTGGAGAGGAAATCACGCCCCAGGGTGCCCGTTCCACCTGAGCAGGCAGCATGCTTCACAGCCCAGGAAGGACTTCCAGGGGCACCTGGTGAACTTGTGCTCTGGCACTTTTATCACACTGCCTCCCTCCTGCTCCGGCTCCAGTTCTGCCCGCTCTACAGGGCCTAGGTTAAGGCGGGTGCCTCAACGTCCCCCGGCACATGCTCCCCGTCCACACAGCGCTAACCCGTGCACTGAGCTCACTGCGGTGCTGGCTGACTTGTGTGTGAGATACGTGGTCTCAGTGGGTTCCCTCAACAGTGCCATGAGTTTTCATCTCCACCTGTAGGCACAACAGGCCCTCGAATAACAGCATTTTGTTATAATGTTAAGAAAAAAATCAATTCCCAGGCAGGGTCCCTGTCTGTGTGGAGTCCACCTGGGTTTTCTCTGGGCACTCCGGTTTCCCCCACATCCCAAAGCTGTGCACGTTCGGCTAACTGCTGTGTCTCAAAGGCCCCACTGCGACTGAGTGTGGACGTGGGTGTGACTGCGTCCCACAGTGGGACGGGGTCCTGTTCAGGGCTTGTTCCCACCCTGGACTTCAGCTGCCAGGACATGCTCCAGCCACCTCTGACCCTGAACTGGAATAAGTGGGTGAATCATTATCTTACTGGTTTTTATGATCTTTCTTTATCCCACTTAGTAGCCAGAATCTTTCTTAAATGTATGCATCGCTCATATTTCAATGTTTAATATTAGAAGTGTTCTGGGCCTTTATTCAAAAGTTTGGTGATGTTCTCATGATCAGAAATACATGGTAGGAACTGAACTCTGGTTTACATCAATTGGCATAGGGTAAAACTGGTTTCTTATACATCATTTTGCTTAAAGTCACAGGTTTCCAGAAACCTTTGAGTTTCTGGAACATTCAGGATTTACTGTACACTGAAGTCCATAAAGGGAAACTGGATTCTGTTTCCTCAGGCAGCTGGTGGGCCTACAAGGGAAGACCCATTTTATTCCTGCAGGTTCTCCTCTTAGGGCCTCCAGCACAGTGTGACACCCAGGGAGATGCTCCATTCCTGGCCTGGCGAGTGTCATGGTGGGCAGCCCATTTAATGATGTAAATGCCTCTTCTGACAGGCAGTTAGACTGGACAGTTGTCCAGTTTCATGCACTTTCAATCATCACTGTGGGACAATCATTACTGCGACCTCCACAGGAAAGGGATAGAGAGAAAGTGGACTTCCTTTACTTGTTTTTTAATGTATTTACTCATCTGCCCAGGGCTTGGAGGCCCCGAAGGCAGCTCCTACACAAACATGGGCACAGGTCTGTTTAACTCCACACATGCCCCCTGGTTTTGTGAAGGAGGTTTGCTTTGCTAATGTGATCCCTCAGATGGGGTTTCACCGTGTTAGCCAGGATGGTCTCGATCTCCTGACCTCGTGATCCGCCCACCTCGGCCTCCCAAAGTGCTGGGATTACAGGCGTGAGCCACCGCGCCCGGCCCTCCCTCTTTTTTTTAATGACAGGCTTTTGCAGAAAAACAATTAACATAATGATACATTTGGTGTTCAGAGGAGGGGCTCTCCTTACACTTCTCAAGGACAGGGTGTGTATAATGGTCCCAAGTCACAGGGAGAAACAGTTCTGGCTCCTGTGAGCAAATACAAGCCTAGCTTCCCTGCTCCACCTCCCCCAGTTACACGTCCCTGACACCCCCAAGATCCGTCTTGGGATTCACAGGCCACTAGAGGGTGTCCTTGGTTTCCCCTTCAACAGATTTATCTGCAGATGGTGTGCTGTTCTGAAATAAAGCTAGAAGCAGTGTATTCCTTTTCATCTGGAAGTAAAATACTAGCTTATTTAAGCAGGCACAGAGCTGGGAGTACTTGTTTGACTCGCTGATTCATTAAATAGTCACTGGTTCACCAGAAGCAACATATTACGGTGGGAAAAACCAAAATGAGTAAGAAGTAATTCATCAGAAAAATATATGTAAATGCCTGAGTATACTATGAAGTGGGATGAAATGTTTTAAAATAGAGCCAAATGCTATAGGAGCACAGAGCCAAGAAAGTAATTTCAGTTGAGAAGGAATGGAAGTAGCTGATGTTTCGCCATCACACGGGTCATCCGCCCTCATTTTGAAAAAAGCCCGGGGTTGGGGGATGTAAATTTCTTTTTCAACAGTGCCAAGGCTGGAGGAGGGCTACAGTGCAGACAGAACGTTCATACTGAAGGGTTCCACATTGACAGTGTTCATTTTTTAGAATCGCCTAGCCCCAGAACAACCAAATGCCCTGCTTTCGTTAGGTACCCCTGGTGCTTGGAAGAAACGACACACACTTTGTTCAGAACTGACCGATATGACAGCATTACAGGGTGCTGGTACCGTCAGTGTGAGATGAAGCAGCTGAAAGAGCAGGTGTCAACTGCACAGCAGGAGATGACCTCGCCATGCTGGATTCACGACGTTTCCTTCACCAAGCGGGACCCTCAGGCTCGCCCAGGAAGAGCTCCTTCACCTTGAGTAACTCTCCACTGAAACTTAACTGGAGAGGAACCTCATTTTCAGGGTGTATGGAATCAATGCAGGGTACAGATGTGACTTCTGTCACCCACAGGAAGAAGAGCAAGCAGGGCAGCTAATGTCAACCAGGCACTAAAACTAAGCACCACATGTCTGACCCCATCATCCCGCTCATGCCCCCAATGCCTCTGTGAGGGGGAACGTTATCTCCCTTTTTTTATTACAGAGCTTAGGCTCAGAGAAGTTAAACAATCTGCCGGTGTCCCATGGCTCAGATAAGGACTGAGATATCTATGTCCCTACTGCCTCTCTAGGTTTGGGTAAAAATATAGATTTGAAACTTAGATCCTCATCAAGAGAGGATGATCACATTGTCAACCTCATGCCTGGTATGTAAAACCACACGTTATCCAATTCTCAAGGAAATGCGACACCACAAACACTTGTTACAGGATTCAAACATAAACTGACTTTAATCCAACAACAACTAAATCGCTCACCTGAGATACCTGATACCTGAAAGACTGTAATGCACATGGTCCCTGTTCACTCCCTCGCAATGTTCTGGCTCTTTCACTGTATCAAGTTACATCAGCAAAACGCAGAAAGAATACAGGTCCTGCAATCTCCGTTTCTCAAAGACATGCCACACAAAATGGTTAAAAAAAATCTAGGCCAGGTACAGTGGCTCATGTCTGTAATCCCAGCACTTTGGGAGGCCAAGGTGGGCAGATCACGAGGTCAGGAGTTCAAGACCAGCCTGACCAACATGGTGAAACCCCATCTCTACTAAAGATACAAAAAATTAGCTGGGTGTGGTGGCATGTGCCTGTCCCAGCTACTCAGGAGGCTGAGGCAGGAGAATCACTCGAACCCAGGAGGCGGATGCTGCAGTGAGCCGAGATCACATCATTGCACTCCAGCCTGGGCAAGAGGTCTTGAAGGGGAAAAAAAAATCTAAATTCTCTCCCTTTACAAAGGGTCCATACACTACCACCTATTTGTGAAACCACCCTTAAAGACATTGTTCACTGTTGCTCACTGTCCTTTGGGAAGACTCGTGTCATTAATTCTACTTCAGGCTTATTCCACAGAAAATGCTGTTTCTGTAAATGAATTTTTAAATACTTTTTCTTATCACATATTTTTCATTTTTCTCTGTCCTGCCAGGACACGCTGACCCAGCCTCACCACTCAAATGCAGGTGCTCTGTTAACTGGCCCAGTAGCCTCTCTCCTTCCTTCCGTCTGTTTCACTTTGCATCACAACAAAACAGGTAAACCACCCATGTCCCCCTATAGACATAAGAGCCATAATACTAAACAGAGCTGAAGTCTAAGGCGAGCCGGACACCCACTGCCCGAACCCATGGGTCTCCCTGTCCACCTCTTCTCGAAGACTAGTGTGACATGGCCACTGACACTCTGATAAGATGGGCAAGAACATTCCCTGTTGTCAGCTCTGCACCAGTAGACACAAAAGCTTCTCCGCTGGCCAGGCACGGTGCCTCACGCCTGTAATCCCAGCACTTTGGGAGGCTGCAGCGAGTGGATCACCTGAGGTCAGGAGTTCGAGTCCAGCCTGGCCAACATGGTGAAACTCTGTCTCTACTAAAAATATAAAAATTAGCCAGGCGTGGTGGCATGTGCCTATAATCCCAGCTACTTGGGAGGCTGAGGCAGAAGAATCGCTTGAACCTGGGAGGCAGAGGTTGCAGTGAGCCGAGATCGTGCCACTGCACTCCAGCCTGGGTAACAAGAGTGAAACTCCGTCTCCCAGAAAAAAAAAAAAAAGCTTCTCCGTCAAGTTGTGTATCAACAATAACACAAACACAAACATTTTTTGAAGGAAGTAACACATTCCACATTTGCAAGGAGGCAAGGACGTTGGCAAGAAGGACGCTACATAATCACATATCTACCACAACCAGCCATCTCGGTGGCTCAGGATTATGCAGAGAGACCAAGACGGGGAAGTGACTCAACAGAACAGACAGCACAGGTGAAAAGTCCAGGGTCTTCCACCCACCAGTGGCGAGTGAGGCTCTCTACATACCCGCTGCACACACGCACAGCATCTGCGAAACCTGCCTGCTTTTGGCTTCTTCCTAAAAAAATTTCTATTTGGTCACCCAAAAGGTTAAAGTGACTAAGAAAACCCAACATAGGCTGATTTATTCCCTAAAGAAGCAACGATGGATGCACCCAAAACTTCTTATTCCCCTGCCTCCCGGGGCTCGGGCAAAGGCAAACCTTTACTCAGCAAATGAGAATAGCCAGTCCCATACTTACATGTCGCTGCCTGGGTTGGGTTTGACTGAGTCCTCAGCTGGTAGGCAACATTCCATGATCTCATTAAAGCCTGCATTCCCAATATTCTTGGCGAGCTGCAAAAATGAAAGTCTATTTCAGGATACTCAATTATTAATACATTCTACTGCTACACATTACCCATCCCCATCTGATGATTTATTTAATGGCCACTAAGAAATAGAGCAATAAAGTGGTTTGCCTTTAATGAAGATGGACAAAACCCAAAGCCCAAAGGTACCCATAAAATTAAAGATAAGAAGCGGCATGCCTATTACAGAGACGCATTGTCATAAAACGCGCTCTGGATAGAGTACAGACAGAGACAGGGAGAACCAGTAACTTGGTCCAATGTGAATTTCCATCCTTACCCACTCCTCCCAATGACCTGTGCCTCAACCAAAGTGAATCTATTTCACATCCTCAAACAACCTTTACTTATGCCAGCTATGAGGTAGTTCTGGTAGAGTGAAGCGGCACTGAGCCAGGAAAGCTAAGACTCAGGTTCAAATCACAGCTCCATTACCGGCTGTGTGACCACAGGCAAGTCAGTTTCCCTGAGCGGCAGAGTTTTCATCAGTAAAATGGGATGATACCTATACTTCTGGGTTGATAAAATTTAGGTGAAAACAGTAAACTGAAACACTAAAAATGTAATATATTAGCTCCAGATGTAAGGTCTTTACTTGCCAATCAATCTTCTGACATGTTAAACATTAAATTAACACATTCTTTTTTTTGAGACAGTGTCTTGCTCTGTTGCCCAGGCCGAAGTGCAGTGGCATGATCATGGCTTAATGCAACCTTGCCCTCCCCAGGCTCAGGTGACCCTCCTACCTCAGGTTCCCAAGCAGCGGGGACTATAGGCACACGCCACCACGCCCAGCTGATTTTTGTATTGTTTGTAGAGATGGGGTTTCACCATGTTGCCCAGGCTGGTCTCGAACTCCTGGGCTCATGCAATCCGGCCACCTCAGCCTCCCAAAGTGCTGGGATTACAGGCGTGAGCCGCTGCGCCTGGCCAGGTCAGATTCTTAAACGTTTAATGAAATAATACCAAAAGGGAGCACCAAGCTCAGTGCTTTGAGAAAACATATTTTCATTTCCATGTTCTGCTGGGGAGTCAGTGACGCTTGTGATATTTCTGCTCTCTATTGATTATGCAGGCAGGCCAGGCATGGTGGCTCACACCTGTATTCCTACCACTTTGGGAGGCCGAGGCGGGTGGATCGGCTGAGCTCAGGAGTTCGAGACTAGCCTGGGCAACAAGGTGAAACCCCATCTCTACTAAAATACAAAAGAAATTAGCCAGGCATGGCGGCGTGCACCTGTAGTCCCAGCTACTCAGGAGGCTGAGACAGGAGAATTGCTTGAATCCAGGAGGTGAAGATTGCAGTGAGCCGAGATCACACCACTGGACTCCAGCCTGGGCGACAGAGTGAGACTCCATCTCTACAAAAAAAAAAAAAAAAAATTATGCAGGCAAAGGAGTTAACAAACATGCTTTGGGAGAGGCTGCTGCAGCCTGAAATCGGGTCTATCTCTTGTAGGGAACTGACTGAAGGAGAGCCCAAGAGGTCTGGGTTAGATACACTGGAACTTCCTGGCGGCAAATAACATCAAACGGTGAAATGGGCTAGTGGGCTAGTGGAGGATGCAGACGCAATTTTTTAAAAACAGAAGAATTATGTGGGGTAGCCTAATAGCTGGATGATGAGCTTTCCTAATTCAACCCGGCCCTTGACACGTGGAAAAAGCTTTTTCTAGGCGGCCCAAAGCATAAAACATTAACCAACTCCACCTCCTTGCTCAGTCCTGGCTCTGGGACCTCAAGCCATCAGTCAGGAGGCAAAAGCCTAGAGGCTGCGTTGCAATTTTCCCAGGGACAACAGAATGGTCAGGTGGCACACCACTTAAGGTGACAGGTACCTATGCACCAGGAAGCTAATGCCCTGTGAAGGGTTTCTCAGGCAGCTGGTGTCAGATCCAGGACTGAACCCCAATGTCAGAGCGCCTGGTTTATAGCCAGGCAGCATACAATCCAAGCAGGACACTGTCCCCAGGTGAGCACAATGGTTTTCCCAAGTTGAGTGACAAAAATCACTGTGGCCCCCTCTATGAGCCAGGGGCCAACCACCCTGATGCCTCCTAGTTTGTGTTAAGCAGATGGGGGTGGGGAGATGGGAGGAGGAGAATTCCCCAGGAATCGAAGAGCTGCTTCCCTTCTGCTTGGACTTGGCTGGTTAACTGAGAGACAGCTGGTCCAGGGAGCCACCGCATCCATGTGTCACACTCATCCAATGCTAGAGAAACGTGCTACCTTGCAGTTCTGCCAAGTTCCAGTTTACGTTTCAGCCCATAGAGAACCCCTCCAGACCCATCGACAAAAGCAAAGCATTTGCAAATGGAGGCTGCAGGTGCCAGCAGGACAGGCAGGCAGAAACCAAGGGGGCAGGAAGGTGGCTGTCGACCTGAGCCCTGGCATCTCCTGCTTCTCACTGGCACCCAGAAGGAATTTGTGGGCTGCACTGAGGCAGAAATTGAGCCAGACTGGATGGAGGAGAGGAGGGAGTGTTTAAGTTCTGTATCACCCAGGGTAGCTCAGCCCAGTCCGTCGCCCTTCCTGTGGCCTCAGGAGCACACTCTGAGCCCCTCGTCTGTGCTGGGCATGAGGCATGAGGCACCCTCCTGCTCTATGGCAGCTCACTTCAACAAGGTAGCGATGAGTCAATAAGAAGCCCTGGAAAAGAAGTTCATCCTGAACACTATGAGGACAGCGGCACCAGGCCCAGATGAGCAGAGCAGTCCCTTGGCCAGGAGGCCCCTTTTCTTGGCACTCACCATACGGGGGAGTCGTCTGTGTGTGGGCATCTCCCTCCCTGATGGCCACACCCAGGACAGAGACACAGAATCACACACCTGTACGTCCTTAGCACCTACCTGAGCAGGGCCCACTGAGCCAAAATGAAGCTTTAGGTTTTATCTGGACATTGTTTTGAGAGTTTGGGGTGGGGCAGGGAAACCTCCTGTCCTGTTTTCATGTCTCCATGAGGAAGGACAACAATTGCTGTGACATTCTTCTCTGACTCACCCCAGGAGAGAACAGGCAAGTGAGAGAAACCAGACTTCCCTGACCGCTGAGCTCAGGAGACCCCAAGGTCAGCTCCTCCCTGATGTTAACTGGGCCCCTTGGATCCCCGAAGGGTGGAGGGCCTGAAGAGTGCAGTCCAGCTCTAAAGTACAGAGGGTAAAGGCCCAGACAAGGGAAGGGGCTTGACCAAACTGCTGCCTCCAAAGCAAAGAGCACAAAAGGACACTCTGGTGTGCAGGGAAAAAGTTTACATATGATGTCTTTACCTGACCCTTTAAAAGCTCTATTTTTGATGTAGTTTACAAAGTATGTATTTCTTAGTAAGTGTAGGTACATCATATGTAAGTAAGTACATGCTTTGGTGCTCAATTTTTTCTGATAGACTTTGTGGTTTAAAAAATGTTCAGAATCTTGGCTTTAAAAAAAAAGGCTAAAACACAGGCTCTGGAGTCTGATAGTTGGAATGTAAATCCTGCACTGGGTAAGTTTCTTAACCTCTCTGGTCTTTTTTTAAAAATGGAGCTCTCCATTTAGGTTAGATAATACAGTGTACGTAGAACACCTACAACAATGCCTGGAGCATAACAGTTCCTCCGTAAATGACCACTGATAGTCAATTTCCTGTTGCCCTAAGCAATTGCTTTTAGTATCTGGGTGGCACATTTCAGTCCTAGGTGAACTTAGAAGACAGTTGTAAGTCGTTAAGTTCTTCGTCTTTGAGGAGCTTTCCTCTCCACATGCTCTCTTTCAGATCAGACTGTGTGTTGACCCGCTTTAACATTTGACAGCTTATTAACAACCGTATGAGAACAGAAATAGAAGAAAGTCAAGAAACAGAAAGCTGAGTCAGTAAATATTTGGTAATGCTCTTGATGCCTGTTTTTTAATTTGATGTTTTTTTGTTTTGAGACAGGGTCTTACTCTGTCACCCAGGCTGGAGAGCAGTGGCACAATCTCAGTTCACTATAGCCAACCTCCTGGGCTCAGGTGATTCTCCCACCTCAGCCTCCCTGATAGCTAGGACCACAGGCATGTACTACCATACTCAGCTAACTTTTTTTTTTTTGTAGAGATGGGGTTTTGCCATGTGGCCCAGGTTGGTCTTGAACTCATGGGCTCAAGTGATCTGCCTGCCTCAGCCTCCCAAAGTGCTGGAGCTATAGGTGTGAACCACTGCGCCTGGTCTCATAAGATTTTTAAATGACTGACTCAAATTCAATTTCAGAATATCAAGAATTCCTTTATTAACTTCATGTATGATAGTGAAATTGATCATGATAGTAGTACCCTAGTACCAGTGATACTGTTTTTCATATGACCTGAAAAATCAAAGCTGAAATCATGATCTTCTACATTAAGAAGGAAATTTATCTTTTTAAAATCTGTGTTTACCAGAAAGTTTTTCCCAAAGTAGGTTTGCTTTAGAATCTAAAGATATTAAGCTGGTGTGTGCTAAAGTAGTTAAGATGACATGATTCCCCAGAACTAATTAATAATTCAATTATGCAACTTCCATTCCATTGGAAAAGAAGTAATGCTAGGCTGCAGGCGGTTCATGCCTATAATCCCAGCACTTTGGGAAGCCGAGGCTGGAAGACCACTTAAGCCCAGGAATTCCAGATTAGCCTGGCCAATATAGTGAGACCCTGTCTCTATGGAAAAATTTTAAAAAATTAGCTGGGCATGGTGGCACATGCCTATAGTCCCAGCTACCCAGAAGGATTGCATGAGCCTGGGAGGTAGAGGCTGCACTGAACCGAGATGGCACCACTGCACTCCAGCCTGGGCGACAGAGCAAGAACCTGTCAAAAAAAAGAGAAAGAGAAGACCTACAAATGACCAACAGGTATATGTATGAAAAAGTACACAGCATTAATCATACAAATCATCAGGGAAATGCAAATTAAAACCACGATCATCTCACACCTGTTAGAATGGCTTTTATCAAAAAGACAAAAGATAGCAAGTGTTGGCAGGGATGTGGAGAAAAGGGAAGGCTTGCACACTGGGTGGGAATGTAAATTATTATAATACAACCATTATAGAAAATGGTTATGGAGGTTCCTCGAAAAACTAGAACCACCATATAACCCACTTCTGGGTATTTACCCAAAAGATCTGAAATCAGTTTGTTGAAGACACGTCTTCACCATCTTGTTTACTGCAGCACTATTCACAATAGTCGAGATAGGGAATCAACCTAAATGCCACCAATGGACGAATGGATTTTAAAAATGTGGTATATATACATAATGGAATACTATTCGACCTGAAAAAAAGGACATTCTGTCATTTGTGACAACATGGATGAACCTGAAGGACATTATACTAAGTGAAATAAGCCAGGCAAAGAAAGACAAATCCTGCAAGATCTCATTTATATGCAAAATCTAAAAAAGCTGAACTCATAGAAGTAGAGAGCAGAACTATGGTTACCAGGGGTTGGGGGTGGGCATGTTGGTCAAAGCATGCAAAATTTCAGTTAGGATGAATAAAGTCTAGGGATCTAGTGTACAACACAGTGACTCTACTTAATAATAACGTACTGTATACTTAAAAATTTTGTTTTGAGACAGTCTCACTCTGTTGCCCAGGCTGGAGTGCAGTGGCAAGATCACAGTTCACTGTAGCCTCAACTTCCTGGGTGCTCAGGTGATCCTCCTGCCTCAGCCTCCCAAGTAGCTGGGACCACAGGTACTTGCCACCACTCCCAGCTAGTTTTAAAAAATTATTTGTAGAGATGGAGGTCTCCCTATGTTGGTCAGGCTGGTCTTGAACTCCCAGACTCAAACAATCTTCTCACCTCAGCCTCCCAAAGTACTGGGATTACAGGCGCCGGCCACCACACCAGGCTCAAGAGAGTAGATTTTAAGTGTTCTCACCACAAAACATAAGCATGTGAGGTGACAGATATGTTAACTAGCTTGATTTAGTCACACCCAATGTATACAACATACTAAAACATCATGTTGTACACTATAAATACATGCAATAAAAAATTAATTAAAAAAATAAAATCCTTTGCTGTCACAGCATGTCACCCTGAAACAGAGGCTGTTCTATTTACCCAAAAGAGGAGAGATGCTACTCCTGTGAGAGAACCTGTCCAGGCTGCACCCACCACTCTCCTTTCACAAGGCACCAAGGGGCCTAATGAACACTCACTATACAATAAAACATACTTCAATAAGCAAGTCAGCCGAGGCCCTGCATGGCATGCAACTCTGAATTGGAAAGGTTCGTAAGAACAGACAACCAGACAGACCATGCATGGCCTCCCTGGGGGTTCACATGCTAGCACATGGGGACCATTTTTCTGAAAGGATTTTGTTAAAGGAGATAACAATGATAACTAATACTTTATGGTTCTTAACGGTGTGTCAGACATAATTCTAAATACACACACACACACACACACACACACACACACACACACGCAGAGAAAGAGATAAGATAAAGAGGTAAAAAGACTTCAGGAAATCCTTCATCCCAGTACCTGATTGTCTAAGCAAAATAAAACAATCTGGATACTTTTAAAAGGCTTGAGGCCAAGCGCAGTGGCTCACACCTGTAATCCCAGCATTTTGGGAGGCCAAAGCAGGAGGATCACTTGGGTCCAGGAGTTCGAGACCAGCCTGGACATGGCGAAAGACCATCTCTACCAAAAATGCAAAACTTAGCCAGGCGTGGTAGCACTTGCCTGTAGTCTCAGCTACTGAGGAGGCTGAGGTGGGAGGATTGCTTGAACCCAGGAGGCAGAGGTTGCAGTGAGCTAAGATTGTGCTACTGGACTCCAGCCTGGGTCATGGAGTGAGACCCTGTCAAAAAAAGAAAAGGAAAAGGAAAAGAAAAGAAAGGAAGGAAAGAAAGAAAGAAAAAAGAAAAGAAAAGAAAGAAAGAAGCCTTGAAATTTCCAAGCTTTGCCAATGAATACTAACACCTGACACCCTACGTACTGCTTAACTGAAGGGCTAAGGAATAAGGTTTAGAGCCACGACACCATGACCACACTCCTAGCATACAAAAAATGGATTGGGGGAGCCGTGGGGAGATGTCCACCTCCTGTGAACCACAGAGGACCAGCCAGAGCTCAGGGAAAGCAGGGTTGAAGGGAGTAAATCCTACACAATTCACTGCTGTCTCTACTTTTCCTGATAACCACTGAGGAAAAAAGACTTGGGTAAGGGAGAGTTTAAAACTCTGGAAGCAATTAGATTTTGAAAATATCTGCAGACATTGATTAAGCAGGCACTGGCTGATTTCTCATTGTGGGTGACAGCCAACCAAACTTTAAACTCCTACAAGAATGCAGATGGAGGCTCTGGGAGACAGAAATGGAGAATTTAACCAGGCATTAGAAGTCACCTCATCGTTTCATCAAGACAGAACAACATATTCCTTTCACCTTTCTTTGGCATTTTCTTCTTTAGTAGGCAACTCAGTCTCATGAAGAACATGAAATTTCTGAGACACATTTAAAAAATTATAACAGATGGTGGGGTCGGGCTCCTACCAGCTCATATGAGTCAACTGTTAAAATTTCAGGAATTTTGCAAGCCAACTGTTAAGCACTGCTACTATTAAAAATTATGCTATATAAACTCATAATTATGTTACATTAATAACAAGTATATACTCAAAACTCATCACTTCCTAATTATACTGCATTTTACTATTGTCCATGTTCATGAAGTTATTTACATCCACTGTGTTTGCATAGTGAATGTACTATATAATGAACATCTTTTTCCAACTTCACATTGAGTAATTCACTTAGGTAGCTTGAAATTGGCCATTGTGGGAGTATTTACACCATGAGAACAGGCAGGTTGCAAACCAGGGTTCTTTTTTCTCCAGAGTTGACTGTTAAACATTTGTTGGGGACGGTGATAGGGAAGGACAGTAGAGATGTTTAAATGTTTATCATCTAGCAAGACAACCCACTAAAATGCCAATTTGTGTCCCAGGCTCGTCAAAGGTTTAAGTGTGAGGTCTGGTATCAGATTAAAGAGGCCCACACCCCAGATCTGTCACCTTAAAAGCTTCATAACCCTAGGCATACTGAAACATTCTAAGCCTCAGTTTCCTCCTCTGTAAAATGGGGATAATATACCAAGGTCATCAGGTTGTTACTGGAGATCAAATGAGCCTAGTATATATAAAGTGGCCTGCAAAATACATAGTACAAAATAAACAATTATTACATCATCTTGAATCACTTAACACTTTCCATTGTTTTAAGAAAATCAGTAAAAGAAACAACTGCCATAGTTCACCAGTGTTTACTGAAAAGTACTTTGTGCTTCTTTGAAAATGTACCATGACAACCTCCAATCTATGCCATCATCAGTTATCCAAGAGATACCACATGTACACCTGTGCACCTCTCTAAGCTGTAGGTTACGTGCATTATTACATGAACAATAATTGCTGTATGTAACCAGGAAGGCACTGTTTGGAGTTCCTTAGTTTTACATTTTAAGTGAGTCTAGCTTAGTTTTAAACTGTAAGTAACTAAGGATGTTACTAACTAGGCTGCCAGGATCCACTGTAGTTTCTCCCAACTCTGTCTTTCAAGACCATAAAGGAATTCCTAGAAAGACTGGAAAGGTTTGACAAGAGAGTTCAAAATGCATTCGAAGTTCAGACACACTGGATTCGAAGTCATCAATAAGACTGATGGCCCCTTGAGAGGAACATGGTCCACAACTATTGATTTTCTGTCAAGACTATTGCTCTTGACGTTAAATTCCCTACATGTAAACTTTTAAATTCAACATTAAAATCAATGCCAATCACTATCTACTTACTGTTTACTGTCAACATCCAGCTATCCCAGGAGAGAATTCAAGAACTGCTTTCTAGGGAAGACAGTCATGAAAGCTCATGTATTAGGTGGCCAGAAGCACCCTGTCTGATGGACCTTGTGGGACTACAGTCTCGATACTCTTGAAAGCCACTTCACAGAAAATGCTTCTGTCTCCTCCTATCTCTATCACATGGCTTAAGTGTTACCACTGAACCAAGAATGAAAGACTTAAGAAACAAAGGCAGTAAAAATGAAGACCAATATCTCCCCCCATGGGGGACAATCTGGGGTAGGGAGAAGTCGGAGGCTTGAGGCAAGTTGTCACCACAGCCTTGTCAGAAATCGCTGGTGATAAGGGAAAACAAGTACTTTCCTGTCTTTAGACGTTGCATTCCACATCTGTCTAATGGATGGGGTGAGCTGGTCTATGTCACCATCTTACTCCATTTCTGTAGAATCTCACACCACTCTCAATGCTCCTGTTTTGGTTTCACTCCCCTTTATTCATTTAAGAATAAAGTTTTGCAACAAGAAGTGCCCTCAACCACAAGTAGCTAAAAATGAAGAATTATCAATGAGTTTCTAATTATCCAAACCAATCTGGCAACATATCAACAACCACTAGCTTACCAAAATGGATTAGAATGCCAAAAGTAAAATTTAGCTTACAGCTCATTTGTTTCCAATCTGAAATCAAGGATTTAAAAATTACCAGCAGCTCAGATGTTCCCAGTACATCTAAGGTCAGGGACTGCATCCTGGAATAATGAACCCCCAGCTCTCGGTGGATTCCGGAACACTCGATGCAGGTCAGGATGCCCAGGTTGGTGGAAAGCCATGTAGGATCTGCCAAAGAGAACAGGGCAGATTTGAGCTTCCAGTAAAAAAGAGGGTCAGGAGTCACATCTTTCTTCCTGCATAGTTACTGAACAAGCAGTTCTGAGCATGAGCATTTTCTGATCCTTAACACAGCTGGAAACTTTGTCCATAATTACCACCAATTTACATGCAATACCCAAATATGCACACATCTACTCTCCCTCTTCTTCCCTCTCTCTCCATCTCCCCATCCTTCCATTCATGTGACAGGTGCTGTGTGTGCAAAAATAAACAGGACACACTCCAGTGACCAAGGGCTCCTCAATGGCTGGTGGTGAAAACACACCATGCCCATCACCAACTTGGTCACACTAGCAGAATGGAGCAAGAGGAAAACAATGAGACCAGCCAAAGTCTACTTGTAAAAGGGGAATAGGCTTAAAACATATGCATCTACAGATGCTGATAATAACAGAGAACGTACTATGTACATAAGATATGCTGTGTTCAGCATGCTGGTAGTAGCAATAACAGTTTGTGTTGTTAAGAGCTTCAGCAATCACAGAGCACTTTTGTATCAAATCTAAGAGTTCCATGAGATGACCAGGGCAGGGATTTTTATCTCACTATATGGCAGAGACAGCTTTGCGATGCTCAGGCTCGAGGTCGCCAGGGAGTGCAGAGCAGACTGTGGCCCTGCCTCTACCTGAGTTCAAAGCCACGTTTTCCCCTCACAGCTCGGCTACTCACTAACATGACCTACCATACATTTAGCAGATGATAGGGACCCACAAAATGCTTGACAGATGAATGTGGAATTTGCTAAAAATGGGAAATTAAAAATAAGATGTCCTTGAGTACATCATCACAACCCATAAATACAATTCTCTTCAGAACTGTTTGTTGCCCTGAGAAACTCACGGCAGGTAAATATCGCAACTTTAGTCAGTAGGAAATCATGAAGTTATTTTTTAAATGTTCAAGTTATTAAAAATGTTATCCATGTTGGAAAACCTTCTTGGCGTCTGTGTCTGCACTTGTGTAGGACGACTCCACTGTATTTGTGCTTTGCGGAGGTACAAGCATCCATTTAGGTGACTCTACATCATTTTTATATTACCCACACTGTCTTGGCATTTTAAAATAATGAGTACATACCTTTGAGTTCTTTATCAAAGCGTATGAAACACCCAAATCATAGACTGTCTTTACCCTTTCTCAAGAAAGACCATGATTCACTACTTATCACCCCCTACCTCATCTCCTGCCAAAAACGTATTTTCGGGTTTTTTGTTTGTTTGTTTTAAATACAGTCTCGTTCTGTTGCCCAGGCTGGAGTGCAGTGGCGTGATCTCAGCTCACTGCAACCTCTGCCACCTGGATTCGAGTGATTCTCCTGCCTCAGCCTCCTATGTAGCTGGGACTACATGTGCGCACTACCACGCCGGGCTAATTATGGTATTTTTAATAGAGACGAGTTTTCACCATGTTGGCCAGGCTGGTCTTGAACTCCTGACCTCAAGTGATCCGCCCGCCTCAGTCTTCCAAAGTGCCGGGATTACAGGCATGAGTCACTGCACCCAGTCGGTATTCTTTTTTTTTTTTTAATGGATCCAAGGCCAAATACAGTCTTCAGGGTCATGGGAACCTAAAGGTAATTCTCAACTGTCCACTCTTATTTTGGTTGTGTTTGGTTTTTTAAGAAAAATTGTCATAGAATTAGAGGAATGAAAAGGGGATTAACCATTCTAGCCAAGCCTCCATCTTTTTCATTTTATAAATGTTCAGAAAATGCACCTGTGTAGTCCCCGACCCCCACTCCCCACCATTGTGTCTCAATTAGAATAAGCAAATTCCTTAAATCACATCCTACTATAAAGCCCCTAATATGCTTTATCAAAATGTAAAAATAAAATCTTATTTCACAGAATGTGTCAGCTGAAAGGGTCCTGTCCCTTCACTTTACAGACAGGAAAATCGATGTTTAACAAAGCAAGTGGCTCTCCCAGGGTCACAGAGCCAGACAGCGGCTTAAAGCTACTTCAGAAGTTCTGCAAAGTAGGATAAAGGGAGAAGAGAGCAGATTCCAAGCAAGGAAGCCCATCCACATGCAGCCTCTCAGCCCACATGACCTTGAGTTCACTCTCACTGTACCCTTCAGTTTTCATTTCTCAAAAAGCATTTCAAACTTTGCAGCTCTGTCAAACCCTCTTTACTCAGTCCTGCTCTGGGGCCCGGCAGGCAAACATCTTCCCGCCCCTCTCCCCTGCCGCGGTCTGCACAGTTCATTAAGCATTTGTGTAATGGGATGAACTCAGGCTGAGCTGCACTTAATTTCGTGTTTGAAATGAAAGTGAAAATCAATGAACGGATTCTGTGAATCAGAATGGGATTGAAATGTCCTAGAGCCCAGGGTCGGGTGGGGTCCCTGGGTCACCTGGCGCCCCACAGTCACAGCAGACGTCATTGCCCGTCATCCTCTGCACTTCTGAGATGATCTCCTTTGTCAGTTCTTGGACGATGTTATTTTCTCCAGTATTGTCATCCCCCTTAAATGCATTGTTTAAAGCTTCTTCTTTGCTATTTTGCAGCACAGACATCCATCTAGAAAAACAAGAGCAACGCTGTGTTAAATTCCACAAACAACGGCTGAGTCCAGCCCAAAGTCCCACCACCATGTAACTTACATTTGACATTCCTGTTCATCTTCAGCTTGAAAGTGGTAAGTTCTGTCATCTGCATAGCAAGAGGAATTTCAACTGTGAGCCCAGACAGCAATCCATACACAATTCCAAAAGAAAATAGTTTCTAATTAGCCTCTGGAATAATCTTAGCTCTCTGTTACGAAATTACTGATTTGTATAAAATCAGGCACTCCCTCATATCCTCCAAATGTCTGCCTTCACCAACGGTGGCATTCTAATGCAAAATAAACCTGCCCTTTCCCTCATTCAAGTTTTAAAAGACGCCGCTTCTAAAAACTGAAGCTATTCAATGAAAACCATCACTATCCTCTCAATAGCTTCATTTTAACTCACTACAGAGTTGGCCCCCAAAAAGTAATTGTTCAAGCCCTTTGAATAATAAAAACCTTTTTTAAAAAGAATATCTTAGAAGTTTTCTGGCTTTCTCAGAAAAAGATTAGTATGAGAAATTCTAAGAATAATATGCTTTGAGAATCAAATACTAGAAATGTAGCTAAATCAAGAGGAGTGTGTTAAATAATGGTCGAATATAAAATCCTACACTTACATACTGCTGGTGTCAGCACAGTTTTACAAGTGTTTTGCCAGGCTGTGGACCTGTGTGTGTGTGCAGCAGGGAGGCGGCTGTGTGGGATGTGGCAGCATCATTCTGTGCTGCTCTTGCCAAAAACATATAACCTCAATCCACTCATGAGAAAACACTAGAGAAATCCAAATTAAGGGGAGTCTGACCAAAAAACAGGTCAATACTCTTTAAGAAGGCATCATGAAAAACAAGTGAGACTACAGAACCGATACAGACTGCAAGAGACCAGGATAAAATCACAACTAAATGTAACATGGGGTTCTGGATAGAATTCTGGAACAGAAAAAAGGACATTTGGGGGAAAACTGGTAAAATCTGAGTAAGATTTTTAGTTAATAGCATCAAACCAATGTTTCCTGGTTTTGATAACTACATAAATATGATTGGATAACATGTACCACGGACTACTGGATAACTGTATTAAGATGTTAACAGAAGGGAAAGCTAGGGGAGGGATATATGGATATTCTCTGTCTAAAAGCAGTCTAAAACCAAAGCAAAAAATAAAATTATATTTAATAAAGAAAAGCAGGGGCAGGGGAATCCAGCTTTTGCAGATGGCAGAATGATGACAAGTACCAATTCTCTTCTTAGGGAAACACAACGAACATCTGTGCTCCTAAAAGTGAGTGGACACGCCACCTCTCTGTAGTGGTGTTTACTCCTGAAAGCACGTTGGTTCTTAGAACAACTCTTGGTAAGTGACTGGGTGAGGGCTGAAGCCTAGAGAGGCTAAGCTGCAAAAAACAAGCATAGCCAGCAGCAGAACTTGGTTCCTGGACTTCTGGCCCGACCACTTTCTACAACACCATGGCATCTTTTTCTTTTTCTTTTTTTTTTTTTTTTGAGACGGAGTCTCACTCTGCTGCCCAGGTTGGAGTGGAGTGGTGCAAACGTGCAGTGCACAGCTCGCTGCAGCCTCAATCTCCCAGGCTCAAGCGATCTTCCCACCTCAGCCTCCCAAAGTACTGAGATGACAGGCGTGGGCCACCGCACCTGGCCAATTTCTGCATTCTGACGTGTAAAAACTGCACAAGCAGGAGGCAAACCTCTGAGGAAAAACTTCAAGCAAGAATCCCCTCCACTACACTCTCTTTAAAGATGCTACAAATAAGCGGACGGCTTCCAGAGCTTCAGCCGTGAGGGAGAAGAGCAGGAGGAGACAGAGGGGGCGATCGGAGCACTCAGGTGCTGGTGGCCAGTGAAGGGCAGCTTGTGGCCAGGGCTCTGGCTCTACTGGCCGCTAACCTGCCATGTGGACCTGGAAGGTCATTGACTCCCTCTGGCTCCATCCTACTCAGGGGACTCACTTGGGTCACCTCACAATTCTACTGTTCCTTCCATCCCTCCCAGGGTGCCTATGGGGTTCGCGGATAATGGCTCAGGACTTGAATTTGCTATGAGTGGGGTCGGTCTGCAGGCAATGGATTAGATGAGCTCCCAGAAGGGCCGGCCTTGCCACAGAACCATCCTCCTAGAAAAGCCCATGCTCATTTACATCTTTTTCTTTTTTTAAAGAGACAAGGTCTCCCTCTATTACCCAGGCTACAGTGCAGTGGCACAATCACAGCTCACTGCAGCCTCAAACTCCTGGACTCAAGTGATCCCCCCACCTCAGCCTCCCAAGTAGCTTGGACTATAGGTGTGAGCCACTGCCCCTGGCCCCAATTCCACCTTCATGAGAATGGGAAGCCCCTGTTTAGGAGCAAGGATGGTAAAGGAACATCTTGTAGGAAGTAACTGCAACCAGCCAGCCAGTCTATTGCTCTTCTGAGTTCTCTGGGCAGATTCCAAGATGAACTGACCAGATGAGGAAGAGGAGGAATGGGTGACCATGGAGTGCCTGGCAGATGCACACAGAAAATATCACCCTCACTGCCTCAATGCATGTGCCTCCACTTGACTTCCCCAACTGCCCAAATGTCTTTTTTTTTTTTTAGACAGTCTTGCTGTGTTGTCCAAGCTGGAGTGCAATGGCACGAACACAACTCACTGCAACCTCAACCTCCTGAACTCAAGCGATCCTCCCATCTCAGCTCCCTGAGTAGCTGGGACCAAAGGCACATGTCACCATACTGCACTATTTTTAAATTTTTTGTAGGTCTTGCTATGTTGCCCAGTCTGGTCTCGAACTCCTGACCTCAAGCAATCCTCCCACCTTGGCCTCCCAAAGTGCTTGCATTACAGGCATGAGCCACTGCCTGGCCCACCCAGGCAGTTCAAAAGCATCTTGAGAGTTCAAAAGCATCTTGGTGATACTCATCCCATGAGGCTGGTGAGGAAGTAGAGGAGGAATCTGAGAGGGGTGAAGACAGATGCTCCTCAATCAGCCAGAATCAGGTCTTGACCCCATGTCCCTCACCTTCTCAGGATGTTCATCAAATCACGGCTTATACTGCAGCCAGGTTTCCTGTGATGACTCTCTGGGGTATCTGGCCAGTTTTCAACCCAAACCCACATACCCCTGCACAAACCATTTTCACTACAGATACTCATAGGAAGGCACCTTTTGAAAACTCACTGAGGATGAAGAATTTGCAGGACTGGAATTCATTTTACCCACTGGAAGACAAGCAGGGAAGGAGGAGGGATGAGAGCTCTTTTCAAAGATGACAATGGACTCTAGCAAACTCACGACACTGCCCCCAACTGGGCTCAGCAAACCTGTCTGGGCATCACAGGCTACAAGTCCTTCCTGAAGATGTTTCAATGCATCAGGCTGCAGCAAAGACACTGGCAGGATCTTGGTAAATATCAGTTGGCCACAGAGCTTGTGTGTGGCCAGATTCACAGAGGACTGCATTCCCACACGTGTAAGGGCTGCAGTAACTCACACCCAGAAGGGAGGCATGCACACTTGCCGTCTACTGATCCTCCCTGCTGCCTGCTGTGTTGTAAAAAGGTGGAGGCTGGGAATACATTGGAGCAAGTGCTTCTGCACATATGGCATCTAGCAGGGTCTCCCTGTGGAGCATGCTGGAGGGGCCTAGGGCAGTTGAGGGAAGAAGTCCCTACACCCACCTCCAGGTGATAGGTTCACTATTATTGCTTATGAGTTAAGGATGGGCATTTTAACGCATGGCTTCTTGTGTGTTACTAGTTCAGAAAACAGAAAGGCCTAAAACCCTGAGTTAGCCCCAGCCACTGGCAGACATCAGATTACACCATCAGGTTTTCTGAAACTCTTCAATTCAAGCCTTTTTTGCTAGCTAGACACAGGTATCCCAGCAGTGGTGTGTGTGTTTGTGTGTGTGTGTGTGTGTGTGTGTGTGTGTGTGTTTGTGTGTGTTTTAAAGAGTTAGGGTCTTGCTATGTTACCAAGGCTGGACGTCTACTCCTGAGCTTGGGTGATCCTCCTACCTCAGCCTCCCGAGTAGCTGGGACTACAGGATCACACCACCACACCTGGCTTGCAATCACATTTTAAACTCTGGCCAGTACTCAGCATTTTATAACATCTTGTATGAATGAAAGGCAAGCTTTGATGAGAATCTGTGGACCTTACTAGACTGAGTCAGGATGGGTGTTTGACACAGGATAAAGTCCATTTTATTTTACAAATCAGTCTAGAGTCTGAAGAACAGAATAAATGGTACTGGAACCCTCTGCACATATCACAGTGCTCAACCCTCCCCAGAGATTCACACAGAGGGTATGAGAAGGGGAACAGGGAGGATAAGAGCAAGCCATTGTGGGTGAGGTGGAGTGATAATTACCCGCAGTTTGCTGGGAGCGCTGAATCACATAACAAGTGACTTCCTAGCCCTCAATAATACAGGTCAACTGACATTTGAAAAGGTAGCCATCTCCCACTCAGGGGTACTGAGGCACAGAGAACAGCACCGCCTTCCTACAGTACACAGTCCGGCGTGGTCCTCTGCAAATGTAACTCTTGCACCCAAATCCCTAGTGACTGCCTCTTCAAAGGGGAGACTGGCCCTTTCTTCCCCTAGACTCTAACCCTGCCACACAGAACTACCTAGGAAAAAAGGTTTATCTTATTTTCTTTTAGACATCATGGGCCCTTTAATTTAGGGGGTGCTGAGTAAACATTCACCACAATGGATGGTTCTGTGGGGATTCTTTTGTGAACGCCACAAAAAGGAAAAGCACAGAGAAGCAGAAAGACTATTCCTGTGGTGAGGAAGAAAAACAATTTCAAACACTGAAGTTTCAAGGGACCTGTTGAAGACCCTCATTTTAGCATTTCTAACATCACCCAAATTATGTAAGTTCTTGAAAACAGAATTGTCCTCCTTCTCTCTTTTTCAAGTGAAGGAGTTTTAGGCTTGTGGGCTTCTCTTGTAGGATCTCCCTATTTAGGAACAGGAATGCTGAGGCTCAGAGAGCCAGGTAATGTCTCAGGACTACAGTGCCCCCAAGGAGCAGGGCCAGCCCTCAAAGTCAAACTCTCAACTAGAAAGGCTGGCAAGCCAGCAGTTACTAATGGAACACAAAGCACGCATATCACTAGAAAAAGGGTATGTCTCTTCAAAAACCAATTCTTCCGAATGCAGTGTTTGAAATGTGAAGGACGCCCCAGAGGAGAGCATAAGACAACGTCTCTATGGCGCGGCATCTCAGAGGGAGCCTTACGTGAAATGAGGTCAAAGCACTTCTTCTCCTCAGGGTTGGTCTTCACCTGGCAGGTTAGCAGGTTGAGCTTTGCAGGAGGCCGGTTAGCCTGTTTAAAAGCAAAAAACAACAAAAAAGGTTGGGGTTGGGTGGAAGGAATGGAAAATCATACAGTATCAATCCTCACGAGATACAGCAACAGCAAGCTCTTCACTAGTTTGCAAAGGTGGCCTTCAGACTTGACAGAGGAAGGCTTGACTGGGACAAGTTACAGAGGCCTTTGAACTTCATCTCCACAGAGGGCAACTGCCTCCCTGCAAGGGCACCTTGGTGGTCTACACAAACCCACCTGGACAAGAGGACAAGCGATGCCAGCTTTGAGGCTGCTGGCAGTGGGTGCCTTCAGATCAAGATATTGCATGGCTAAGCCCAAAACATTCAGTTCTGATTCCTACCGACAACACAGTTGATTTGCCAGGTAACTTGGGCACCCAGCTCAATTTCTGGTGATCTTAAAAGCGTTTTTTCTTAGCATAAACCTCACTTCCAGTGAAGGTAATTTCACAGTACAAAAATGGCAGAGAAATTATTTTCCTACTGTTTGAAGTGGTGACAGATAACAGACTCACATTCCTAAATGCCAACCATCACTGTCACTTAAGTTTCAACAAAACATACTTCATTCACATCTGTAACCCCCAAACCCTCTCCCCCACACACGACACCAAGCGATCACAACATACTTTCATCAGAGGTGTATGAAAAATGGCTATTTTATTACAGTTTCAAAAAAAAGATCATACTTAGTCCAAGAAAGCAAAGGACTGAGGGTAAGAAGATAATTTCAGAAACAAAAATTTCGAACAGCAGAATACCTCTTAGAAATCTTGGAGGAATATCCAAATGGGAGTGGGCTTATCTTACCCACCTACCAAGCTGCTAAAGGAAAGATCAAATAAGAATGTCTTAAACTTCCATCGTTCTTGGGCCCCACTTCCCTTGGCCACCGGTCACTTCAAGATGAAAAAAACCTGAATTTGGGATTAATCCAGATACATACACATATGCATCTACACCTGGACAGACCTGTGAAACCCTCAAGCACTTACAGGCCCAGCAGCTTCCTTCCAGTAAGTCTACAGAGTTAGGGTGGGAGAGTTGAACCCATCCTTGCAGCGTGAAGGATTTGGGTTAATAAATGTAAGTTTGGACTAGTGAAAGTCAGATAAAGTCAGATAAACAGGGTTGTACTAGACTCTCCTGGTTCGTGGCTGTGTTGGTCTTTTCCTCTACAGGTTAGTCAGATATTCTCCATAATCTGTAGATATCTCAGAGAATTCCTGGATCGTCAGAAATCAGTATTAGAAGATACCAAGCTCTGCCTAATCTTGTAAATCTGGACACTTTCAAGTGAAAGCACCACTGATCGTGGATTGTTACCAATCGGATTACCTAACTTATCCAGGAACCAATACAGCAAATGATCTATTTCTAGAAACATGGTTACAAAACATGTATGCAACCAAGTACTTTAACACGGGTGTACACCCACCCATACGTAGCCTGTGTCTATTCTGTTACCTCCCTGTGATGACACAACTGTACACGTGCAAATTTTAGGGCTACTTCCAAATTGTGGGGTCTTAGATATAGGAATAACTCCTATATCTAAGGTTTGTGTGCTTTGATAAATACAGAAGCACCTTCATGGACAAAATAATGACTTTGAATAACAATAGCTACATTTACTCAGCTATTTTTATTATATACCTATACAAGGCAGGCACTGTTCTAAACATTTTTCATGAAATAATTCATTTAATTTTCCTAACTGCCCTTTGAGGTAGGAACTACACCAATTTTGTAGCTAAAGACACTGGCCCGGACAGACCAAATAATCTGGTTGAGGTTATACAGCTAGGGAGCGGGGAAGCTAGGATTCCAACAAGTCAGGCTGGCTCCAGGGCTCGGGGCTCAACTGCCACCCTCCCTGTCCTCGACGTGGGTATCCATGGAAGGCGGTTGCTTGCCTGGACTTATCTTTAAGAGCAGCAAAGAACCACAACTTAAATTACTACAACTCATTCTCCCTCCCCACCTCCACCTTGCAGTCTTCCTTTTTCCCTGTGATACGGGGAAAGGTGTTCGTTCTTAACTACTATCAAAGATAGATTTCTCACTTCGCAGCATACCACAAAATAGAGAAAAATATTCAGCACCTTTGTTTGAAGTAGGAATAATTTATGAAGACATAAATGTGCCTACATATTAAAAAATGACAACCATAAGAATGGGTCCACAAAACACACAAGTTGATCTTAAGCAATATCACCAGCAGTTCTGTTTTACATTAATAACTGTTTGCTATTCAGGTTAAATATTAAGTACATAGATTAAGTATTAGCAAACAGTAAAGCTATTAGAAAAATTTATGGGAGAAAATTCTATCCATTAAAATCCTTCCCTGTTGCAATTTGGAAAAATACAGTGTCACCTGGGCGCAGTAGCTCACGCCTGTAATCCCAGCACTTTGGGAGGCTGAGGCAGGTAGATCACCTGAGATCAGGAGTTCCAGATCAGCCTGACCTGGCTGATTTAGTAGAGATTTTTAGTCTCTACTAAAAATACAAAAATTAGCTGGGCATGGTGGCATGCACCTGCAGTCCCAGCTACTTGGGAGGCTGAGGCAGGAGAACTGCTTGAACCCAGGAGGCAGAGGTCACAGTGAGCCATCCAGCCTGGGCAACACAGCGAGACTCCGTCTCAAAAAGAAAAAAACAAACAAACAAACAAACAAACAGACAAAAAAGTGTCATCAGTTAATTGAGATACAGAACGGTTTCATCTAATTCACAAAATACCAGTATTTTCTTGAGAATTTAATTTGAGAAGCCCTAGTTTAGTAGAAAACTTGGGAAGGAATGGTAAAAAAAAGATGCAACAGCTTTAGAGTTTGCCATGCAGGCAGAGATTATCAGTGATTCTCCATTCTAATCGTGCCGTTCTATTTTTTCCCGATTTGTCAGGCTTTTAGAAGGAAGGTGTTTTCTTCTTTCTTCATGACTGATCATTTTTTAAAATTTTAGATTGTGTAAGAGCCAGTGGACATTCCTTCCAGTGTAACACAGTCCCCAGCCCTCAGTGGTGTGGCAATCCTGCGAATCTGGCAAAGAGGATATCTAATTAGAGTTATTTTGTCTCAAGGATCACTTCTTCCTAGGGCCAGAAAACAGACTTGGCTAAGAAGGAAATTCAACTCGGGCTTTGAACGAATCTCCCGGATGTTATCCTCAATCCTCTGCTCCAATCAGAATACAACAACTTCATTTCCCAGAGGCTGCCAGCTTCCTGGGAAGGGTTTTCCTACCAGTGTAAATACACCCTGTGTGCTTCCATTTCTTAAAGACCTGCTTCGCAGCTATGTGCCAGGCTCTGCTCTTAGACTTCCACTTAATCAAGTCTTTGGAAATGTGCCCTTTTTTCCTGACTGTAAACGAGCACACTCAGGAGCTGCTGGCCAAACAGGTGAGCTGCACAAGAAATCAAGTCAAAACCAAACCAAACCAAAAGGGCATCTCTCAATTCTCTTTCTTGGTATGGGTGAACTCACTTCCCCACATGCAACCTCTCTGTAGACGCAGTCATACAGAGGGGTCCTCTGGATTCTGACTTCCAGAGCACGCAGGGAAATAGGGAAAAGGTGAGAAAAGGAACACTCAGCCACTGAACGGAGGGCTGGAAAACTACTTTATTTTTCTGCATGGCAGCGAGGAAGTGAATCAAGACAGCCCCACCTACCACCCCTGCAGGATGTAGGCGGCGATGGCTGCTAAAGGCAGGAGGAGACCTCTGGAAGTGGAGATTCCCTGGAGAGGGTTTTCCCCTCCAAACACAAAGCACCTATTAAATATGCACACGCTGTGTGACAAGCTGAGTTCTCAGCATCCCAGTAATGCCGGTTATAACCGTACTATCTGCCAAAAACTGGGGCAACCCATCCAAATTTAAAGACAACTAAGCCTCCACATCTTTTGAGAGGAAGCTCAAGCTATGGAAGTGACTCGAAGTGAAGTTTATGCTGTCAGCAAAGGATTACCAGACCTGTTTTCCAGCTGCCATGGAAAGAGCCACTCACTGGCTTAAGCTGAGGCCTGGATCTAGGGGAACTCTCAATGAAGCAAATATGCCCCTTGACTTCAGAGCTGTAAAAGCATGAACTAGAACTTAGTTGTATGACAGTTTCTGCACTGAGGCAGTCAATCGGAGTTCAAACAAACAGCGAGTGGACACCAATTCGAAAGCAAACCACAGAACCACAGGTGTTGAGATCTGGAAGGTATTTAGAAGGGTGCCTAGTCTCATCTAATCTAACATTCCTAATATTAAAGACAGTGATAGCTGGATAAATTTGCTTCCCTTGGTCTACAGAACTCATACCCTCACATCCACGCATGGAAAGAATGGCTTTTTTTTTTTTTTTTGAGATGGAGTCTTGCTCTGTCTCCCAGGCTGGAGTGCAGTGGCGTGATATCGGCTCACCACAAACTCTGCCTCCTGCGTTTAAGCAATTCTCCTGCCTCAAGCAATTCTCTCCTCCCAAGTTGCTGGGATACAGGCATGCACCACCATGCCTGGCTAATTTTTGCATTTTTAGTAAAGACAGGATTTTTGCCATGTTGGCCAGGCTGGCCTCGAACCTGACCTCAGCTGATCTGCCCGCCTCGGCCTCCCTAAGCGCTAGGATTACAGGCTTGAGCCACTGCACCTGCCCATAATGTCCCATTAAGATCCATACTGCATGGCCCTGGGGTCGCGGGGGCAGGGGGAGTACGGTGGTGATCACATGACCAGTGAAAGCTGGGTTTTGAAAATAGAAAATGACCTTCATTTCCAAGTTCAGAGACACATTCAAACCCCTAGACCAGAGGTCACCGAGAATCCCTCCACTGGGTATATACTATTCTAGCTCCTCTCTCCCTTTCTAAATCGAAGTTGGCAAAAACAAAGGCACCCCCAGAGGAACACAATCCTTGCTGCTGTGACATGCTTCGGCTGGGGTTTTACTCTATTCCCTTATGAACCTCAGGGCCGTTTCTCTGGACCCCATGTTGAGTGATGACATTTCTATAGGGGCCAGAAAAGCCCCTCTGAGCTCCTGCCCAGCTCTGCCTTCACCAGGGACTGGAGGGACAAGGGGCAGGAAAGACGGTTACTATCATCCACTCACACGCCCAAGGCTGCTGGCTTGCATGCACTACTAGGCCTCTGCTTGGGGAATGGGAATGCAAACAACCCTCAGCATCTCTCTAGCAACAAAAAGGCAACGACCTCGGCCTTGAGATGTTACCAAAGCTGTCTACCAGCCCATGTGGTTATCACCAGCTCTAGTCATGCCAGGTGAGGCAATAGTATGTATAACGCTGCCATGGAAAGAACAGTGTGGTGTGCAGGGCTGTGTCTGTGATCCAAGTTCCTGGCCTCTGAAAGCTAGATTGGTAAGGAACTTTATCCTGACCGGCTTTTCATAAGCTCAACATAGAGGGCTCCGTTTTTTCTTGCATAGACTCTGATAAACAGGATGATGGAAAGAGGCCTTAAAGTTGGGCACCATATGTTAAGATTTCAATAATAAAATCACTGAGATGTCTTTTCTCATGGATTTCTGGTCCCCAGAGTCCTGCCCATTTTTTTCTCTTAATGGAAAAGTAGAAATCTTCCTAAGTGAGATGTTTGATTTCCAGAGACAAAGAGAGCTGGGGGAGCAGTTTGCTGTTCTGTGCTTTCTGGAGTCACAGGCTTCTAAATAAAGACAACCTGGCTTATCAGTTACTCCTGACTCTGCTAGGGAGTGGAAGATAACAAGGACAAGACTCCATCTGGCTAAAATAAAAAATAAAAATTAAAATTAAAATTAAAAAAAAAAAAACATAAACAGGCTGCAGGTGCACCAAATCAAGACGGAGGCCAGCAAGCGTTTCTGACAGGGAAATTCTCTAAGACACATCCTTAATACCATCACACACGGAGAACAACTCCTGCCCTCTAACTTCAGAAAGTCCTCCAACACCAACCTCACCTAATACAGCAGACACCATGGATTAAAAGAGAATACTTACGGTACCATGGGATATGGTCAGAAAACCATTTTTAACTGAACATTTCCTTTTCTGCCACACTTTTCGGATCCTTGTGGATAAGTGGGAGAAACAATAAGAGTTTAGACATTTTGGACACAAGATAACGAACGTACATTTAAACTCTAGCCACACCCCCTCACGTACCCGTCACTCTTCTTGTAGAGGCTGCCGTTCCGCTCGGTCCCATGTTCCTTGTTTCCCTGAGGCTGATGTAAGCTATAAGCTGTGCTCTGACGAATTTGGGAGTCCTAAAAAATGGTGAAGAGTGTGTTTTTAATCTTGTCCAGGTCCTAATTTTTAGAAAAGCAGTACACAAAGGAAACTTATGCCTAATGTGTTTTTTTTTTAACAACAACAAAAATTGGAGAAATTTCCCTTTCTCAACACAGCAAAAAAGGGACATCAGATTCTGCTCTAGGAACTGATAAATGCCATCTATCAGGCTGGAGAAGGAAATGTCAGGAAACCAATATTCCCAAACTGGCTGAAGGAATGAGCCCTGGAAGTTTCCAGGTTTTATTTCATTACGAGCCTTAACCCCCTGACAGTGACATGAGGCTCCCACTACGGCCACAGTAGCCCTCGAGGAGGGAGGTGATGCAGTGAGTGGAAAGGCAGGGGTTTCCAAGCAAAACGACAAAACCAGCTTTCTGTCCCTTACTACAGAACCATCACATAAGCTCTCAGCCTCAGTTCCCTTCTTGGGCAATAAGAAAAGAATACCCAGTAAGGCCAATAAACAGTAAGGACTCAATAGGATCACACATGTGAACATCAACAAGTATTGCAAAAATCTTCACTTCCTCCCTCCACCAATCTTGAGTAAGGGGGGTCTGACCCTGACCAAGGGAGCTTAATCATAGGTAAACCATCCACATGGTCAGCTGAGAATCTGATTGAATCTACCACAGTTGGGAAATTCCAGCCTATCAGCTTCTTAGGGTAAGCGAGGACTAGCAATGAACACCCAGGGCCCAAGTCCAGTGTCTGGCATCCAACAGGTGGCTCAACTGGTGTTTAACAAATGATATCAGGCTGGGCGCAGTGGCTTATGCCTGTAATCCCAACATCTGGGGAGACCAAGGTGGGCGGATGGCTTGAGCCCAGGAGTTCAAGACCAGCTTAGGCAACATAGCAAGACCTCGTTTCTACAAAAAATACAAAAATTAGCTAGGTATGGTGGCAGGCGCTGGTAGTCCCAGGTATGCGGGAGGCTGAAGCAGGAGGACTGCTTGAGCCTGGGAGATCGAGGTTGCAGTGAGTCATGATAGCACCACTGCACTCCAACCTCAGTGACAGAGCGAGACCTTGTCTCAAAAAAACAAAAACCAAACAAAACAAACAGTAGCAGACACTCTGAGTTGAGAGTAGGAGGCCACCAGTGCCAGTGCAGGAAATTCTATTTCCCTGAGACTTAAAGGAAACGAGAGGGGAGCAAGATGTGAACCAAGTGTTCACAGGTCAACCAGGAAAGGGCCGAGGGCTGCTCGTAGGTGTTTAATGAGAACGCCTATCCAGTTCATTCCATAATGGGAGAAACAGGGACACAATGAAAATAAGTGGTTTGCTCCAGGTGCAGAGCTCCTTAAAGCAAGAGCAGAGAGTGGAATGGAATCCTGCCTTCCACTCTGAGGCTCCTTCCATTACACCATCTTCTTTCCCCACAGAACATCCTCAGAGTCTAGGGCCACTCTCATCATTGCCACTGAGCAGCTCACCATCCTTGGAGAACGAAGCACATCCCCAAACGATGAAAGAACTAACGCAGGAAAATCAGTGTGATGGAAGCTGAGAACAAGAGCACTCAGGAACTGAAGAGTCAAAGGGAGAAAAGCACAGGAAAAAGCGAGTTTTAAACATGAAGGCAAGAACTGGCACAGAATCAGGGTAGGATCTTCAAGGCAAAGTGGATAGTACACAGAAGACACAGGGAGGTCACGGTCACGTGGTCAGCACCCAGGGAAGCTAGACAAATACTGCATCTGAGGCAGTAAGGCCCAGGGGTGGACAAGACGGGCTGGAGTCAGAGTTTCGACTGCATCCCAAGGCACAGGCAGCCTCTTGGATTTCTGAGTTTGAAAAAAGATTCTGAAGCACAAAACTTTTTAATTTTAATGAAGTCCCATTTACCTACTGTTTCATTTGTCACTTGTACTGTAAGGGTGCTATCTAAGAAACTATTGCCTAATCCAAGGTCATGAAGATTTATACTTATAAATCTCTTCCAAGAGGTTTATAGTCTCAGCTCTCATTTAGCTCTTTGACTCATTTTGAATTAATTGTGATTATGGTGTGAGGTAAGGGACCAAGTTCCTTCTTTGCTTGTGGCTATCCAGCTGCCCCAGCACAATTTGTTGAAAAGACTACTCCTTCTCCATTGCCTTGGCACCCTTGTTAAAAATAAATCATCTCTAAATGTAAGGATTTATTTCTGGACTCTCAGCTCTATTTCATTGGTCTATATGTCTCTCCTTATGCCAGTACCACACTGTCTTGATTATTACAGCTTTGTGGTAAGTTCAGAAATCAGGAAATGTGAATCCTCCAACTTTGTTCTTCTTTTTCAGGATTGTTTTGACGATTCTGGGTCCTTTGCGTTTCCACATGAACTTCAGGATCAGCTTGTCAATTTCTGCACAAAGGCAGCTGGGATTTCTGATGGGGACTGCACTGAATGTGTAGATCAATTAGGGGAGTACTGTTATCTTCACAATAAGTCTTCCAACCCATGCACATGAGTGTCTAGCACTGACTTTTTAAACTCTGCCAAAAAAGAAAAACCAAAAAACTCCACGTGAGCAATCAGTAACATGCGGAGGCACTCTCCATTACTGAACTGACAACCAACCCTGAAACAAGCAGAGCCCAGGAGGGGAGAAATGAACTCATTTCCACAGAAAGTTCACACAGCACTTGAGCCTCTGGATAAACTAGGGCACACACGCATTCATGGGATGAGGATGGTCCCAGCTTCCACATTTTCTCAGAAGGGCGGAACATCGGCACCAAAATTTAGAGCAAATCCAGCTTTCAACGTTGCTGAGAACAATGCTGTGGAAGGAATGTGGAGAAATACTGCTCACCTGTACAGCGTCTCTGTGAAAGACTAAAAATAAACCTGTCAGGAGACTCAACTGCACAACCAAGAAATACGTCTATTGATTTGGGGGAGAAAAAAAGCCCTGCACAAAGTAAGTGGTGAAATCATGTGACAACACCGCTAACACTGTTCGTGCCGCGCATATTAATCAGAGCGATTTTCAGGTCTCACGAACAGGATAAGGGACATTCTTCTCAACAGAATCAGACCCTATGCCAGAAGGTGACAATGAAATCACCCTGTTTTATTCTTTTCTTTAGGCCAATTGAAGCATGCAGGCAAATCTGAATTAAGCTGGCCTATTAAACTTCACATTTGTAAAAAAGAGGAATATAATCTGTTTAACATAAAATTGAAACTGTTTTAGTGCGAATTACTTCAGTATCCTCTAGGTGACTCCCAGGCGACCCCGTAACAATAGCCTTTGTTAGCCTGTACAAAACGCCTGACCAGGTGAAGGCCTGACAGAGAAAACCGGCCCTTTCACATGACCAAGGTTCTGACTTTTAGAATACTATGCAAGGAAAAAGAACCTCTCCTTCTGGAGAGAAGAATAACATAAAAAGTAAGAGAGGCCAGGGCGGTCCATGTTGCCCCAATTCCTGGAGACTCCAATGTACTCTCCACTTTCCTAAGAGAGACGAAGACAACCTAAACTCGACTGACAAAGCCTCAACGTGCAGGGACTGTTTGTGTGCCTGAGTATGCAGGGTAGGTGGGCACTTGGTGGAACCTCAAAAGGCTTTCATGAAATTCTATCAGTGTCCAACATCCTCTGTCCTGTGACACCCAGACAAGTTCTCAGAGCTCAGGCATCATCCTTGATCTTAACTTTTCTGTGGCCCTATGAAGTATTAGCCATTGGGTCTGGCCAACACAGAATCTGCCCAGATGACCAGTAGAATCCTTGAGCTGTCTAAGACTCTAAAGACTCTAGGATAGCTTAAAAACTGACATTTTGCCCACTTCTTAGAAAGTCAGTGTCCAGACAATTCCTGTGATTGACAAGCTTGTCGAGGAGTCATTTTTGGAAGCTTAAAATTTCTCTGCCCAGGAGGGCTGTGATGTCCAATTCATTCCCCCATCTTCTGAAGATATGACAGGTATGTCCACCCACATGGGCACAACTGGGAGCTGGAAGCCTTGCTGAGCCAAGCACTGAGCCATGGTCTAAGAACAATGCTTTCAAATATCGTTACCACCTATTCTCCATTATTTAAGGGTAATTTTTAAAAGACTCCGGAGAACCAGTTTGACATGGAATAGATCAGGGTCAAATCCTGGCTCTGATGCCACTGTGTGAGCCCAGCAAGGGCACTTATCCTCTCTCTCTCACAGAATAAAGTTGCAGACATGGCTGGCCGGGCGCGGTGGCTCATGCCTGTAATCCCAGCACTTTGGGAGGCGGAGGCGGGCAGATCACGAGGTCAGGAGCTCGAGACCAGCCTGGCCAACATGGTGAAACCCCGTCTCTACTAAAACTACAAAAATTAGCCAGGCGTGGTGGCGCGTACCTGTAATCCCAGCTAATTGGGAGGCTGAGACAGAAGAATCACTTGAACCCAGGAGGCAGAGGTTACAGTGAGCCAAGATTGCACCACTGCACTCCAGCCTAGACGACAGAGGGAGATTCTGTCTCAAACAAACAAACAAAAAGCTGCAGACATGGGCAAACATTGCCTACCCTGTAAAGTGGCTTGTAAGGATCGTTGGCCACACTTGTAAAGTGCCTGGAAAACCTGAAAAGTGAGGTAAACAGGAAATGCCCTGCAATGGATAGGAACAGGTCCCTCCTCCCCTAGAGTGAATGTGGAATGTGACGCAGGCTGGACACAGAGAGGTGGGTGAGAGGCAGGTGAGGCTGGAAGGCCTGGGTCAGGAGTAAGAGGAGAAGCCTAGAGCTGGGTATGACAGCATCTTGAGTCAGATAGTGAAGAAGGAAGAGGGGCAAGAGCCATGAAGACATAGGGCCAGAGGACGGACCAACAAGGAGGCTAAGGGATATGTCACACACAACGACAGCAGCAGTATCCATTCCTGTTGAACCTCTAAGAGCGCGACACCATGAGGGAAGGGAATTTGGTCACTACGGTATCTTTACCACCTAGGAGCTCAGTATTTGTTGAATGAACTATTAAGATAGTTTATTAATATTTATTAAGATTATTAATAAATAATTTTACTATTATTAAGATAATATGGTAAGTGCTCTACAGAAATTATCTCTTAGATCTCCTGAAAACTCTGAGGTTGGCTGTATTATTCCTATTTGACAGACGGGGAGACCATGACATGGAGAGGTCCAGGAACCTGCCCAGTGTCACAGGGCAGGGTAGGAAGTGGGAGACCCAGGATTCAAATGCCAAGATCCATGCTCTTCTGCTCTGCTAGACAGCTCCCCAGGCAACCCCGTCCTAGTCAGAAGCTGTCCTCTCCACCAGCCTCACCTGCTGGGACTCTGCTAACTCCTGCCCCGTCCCCAGTTTTTTGTTTTTGTTTTGGAGATGAGGTCATGCTCTGCTGCCCAGGCTGGAGTGCAGCAGTGCGATTTTGGCTCACTGCAACCTCCACCTCCCAGGCTCAAGGGATCCTCTCACCTCAGCCTCCCGGGTAGCTGGGACTACACGTGCATGTCACTACAACTGGCCAATTTTTTTGACTTTTGGTAGAGATGGAATCTCACTATGTTGGCCAGGATGGTCTTGAACTCCTGGACTCAAGCAATCCACCTGCCTTGGCCTCCCAAAGTGCTGGGACTATAGCTGTGAGCCACCATGCCTGGCCTGCCAACTCCTAATCATCCTTCTAAGCTCCATCCCAGGTATCACAGCCTTTGGGAAGTCATCCCTGATGGCACCTGCCCAGCCCGCACTGGGCAGACACTGCTTCCTGGAGCTGATGTCCACGAGTGCTCTCATTACACTGCACCCCAATTGCTTCTCTGTCCCCACCCCCAGAGCATGATCCCCTGAAGAGATGATAACCTGATCCATCTTGTTCTGTTGTGTTTGTGGAGTGCTGGCTTAGGGTAACAGTGGAAGAAAGGGTAGCTGGATGTGTGAATCAACAAACGAGTCCTCCACTGAGGGTGACATGGAGGCCAGAGCCAGGCTACCTAGCAGCTTGGCAGGAGAGGCAGGCAGGTGGCCCCTGGCAGAGATCTCTGTGATGAAGGCCAGATTTGGGCATGTAAGATACGCGAACCCAGAGGCAGAAGAAAATTATGGCTGTGGTGGACCTTGGCTGCCTGGGTGGCACAAACTGTTCTATCACATCCTACTAGACAGGATGCTTGAAAAAGAGGGAGCAAGAGAAAGAGAGAGAGAGAGAGATAGAGACAGACAGAGAGAGATAGACAGACACAGACAGACAGAGAGAGAGAGAGAGAGCAACCATACTTGAGATCTGCAGAGTGGAAAACCATGGTGGTTTCAGCACTCAGACCTGTGAGACCATGCCCCAGAGCCTGATCCTCCCCATAGAAGCACACAAGTCTGGGTTCTCCACATCAAACAGCAGAGAGAGCCTGCACACAAGTGATGAGGCTTTGGGACTCCGCCAGCACCCCAACAGGGTCCATCCTGGCAGAACACCATCGGATGGACGACGTGGGATGGGGAAGGCAGGAGGCGAGGCTGACGGGGAGAGAGCTCAACCAAAGATGAGCAGTGCCAACGAGTTTAACTGTGTAAATAGGATCTTCTCCAAAAATCAAACACTATGGTACATAGTTCGATCCTCATTGTATAATATTGCACTATGGGTGGTCACTGCACAATTTTTCAACTTTTCTCCAAGTATGAAAACCTTCACAAAGAAAAATAATGGAAATACCAAAGAGTAGTATTCTCCTTACAGAGAGCAGAAAATATCAAGAACAAAACATGAATGGCCAGTGATTGGGAGGTGTGAGGTCACCGGGACCAGAACGGCACAAGCTCCACACTAAAACAAAGCTGCAGGGTCACAAGGAAACAGCAGCACGAAGCTACCACACTGGAATGGCCACTCTTCATTCCTTCAATAACTGATGCTTGGGATTTACAGGAAGAGAATGAGGAGCACTGGCTTCTACCAACCATCAAGGCAGTTTCTTTGGGGCATGTTACTTAATTTCTATCAACTGTTATTACACAGGGAGGGTTAGAATTTTTATAACACTGAATAAAAATCCTCTTAACACCTTCAGTTGTCTAAGTCACAGAAGAAAATCCAACCAAAGGGAATGACGGCCTAAACAATAATGACCAAATGATCAATTCTTATTGCAAATTTGAGGTATACAAGATGGAACCCCCATCATAAAAATCATTTTAAAACAGAAAATTTAGCATTTTCACATCTGCTTATTACTTGCAACTGTGTTCAAAGATTGTCCAACTTGCTGAATGCCATCACCTAAAAGCAACGCAGAGCATGATACACAGAAAACACAACACGCCCACAACTAGGAGACTGTTGAGTTAGGTCTTGACAAGGAGCCAACTGGGCAGACAGCCAAAGAAGAATAGTAAAGGAGGTTCATTTGATCCCTCTGTGCAATCAGGGGCAGATGGGCTGGTTAACAAAAAACAACAAACTATAAAGAACTTCTGGTCTGTGCTGGTAAATTTGTTATTACTTTCCTGCGAAGCTGTAAATAACCAGTTCTCTCACAACAGCCCGTTTTCCCAAACCTCCTAATTCTGCACAGGCAAAGCAAACACAGCCTTTGCACTGTGCCCAGAGGGCCATTTGGCCCCAGCAGCTGCTCTGCCTTATTTTAAACCTGAGCTTTGCTTCATGGGTTGGATCTTCCTTCTTAGACAAAGGCAGTTCTCGATCATTTCCAACGGTGCGCTGGGGAGCAGCCACCTTGGACGGCATTCTGGCTCCTGCCCTCGCACTACCTCCTCCTCGTTACCGCTAGCCCACTATTTTCTCCTTACGCCAAGTTTTTTTTCCTTTTTTTGCTTATTGGGAATATCAAAGCGTCAGGGCCTACATTCTCTAGACTAGGAGGAAGTCACCATGTTGTAGGTCCTTTCTAGCACTAAATATAACCTTGCTCTGCCAGTGTCTCACTTAGTTGACCCATGTTTACCAAAATCCTACTAAATGAGCGCTGTGGCACTACAGTGTGATGGAAGAATGGCTCAGAAGGCAGGGTGGCATCCTCAGGCTGCTCGAGGTCCAGCTGGTGAAAAGCCATCTGTGCACTTAAGGCACAACCAACACTCAAAAAGAGGAATAGGCTGTGATTCAAATGGGGCATTCAAACAGGATGTGCTCTGTGAACTCAGATCACTGTGGGCTGGGGTGATCAGAGGCAGCGCTCCAGAGGTGGGGCTTCAGAGGGACTAGAGAGATGTGTAGAATTCAGCCACTCAGGGGAGAGAAAGGGAGGGAGGGAGGGACCTGCTTCATCTTCATAAAGGAACAGCAGCAAAAGTGTAAACTGTAAACCCAGAAAATGTCCACTTCCCTAATATTTATGCAAACTCTTCAGCCTTTAATAAAGTCTACAACAATGAAAGGTGAGGGGTTAAAATAAAAAATGCTACTAACCATTAATATATAAAAGGAATATATATATGTATGTTCACGAATAAAACATGCAAAATTCTGCAATTTATTAAAATACTGAACTACTTACTCTCCTAGACTTCGGTCACAAAAGGTAAACGCATTTGGGAGAAAAACAACAATATTCAGTTATAGTACAAGAACTTACAATAAAATAGAGCTCACCAAACTGCCAACAGGGAACTTTATGCTGTCAAGTAGTTTAGCAATTTCTCTAAAATCACTAGATATATGTTTAGATACATTCCTTTTATTAACAAGGAAATGGATTTATACTAAATTCACATTATGATACCCACATTGTAGTGAAAATATAGTAAAATTATCTTTAAAACTTACTTTTTAATGGCTTTTTAAAAACAAGTCCCCACAACACAAACTGTCCCTGCTGACGTGTTAGCACACAGAGACGTCATTACAGAAAGAGGGGAAGTAAGAGAACTAAGGATTTCTGCCTGTCATGATGGAGGCAGCTGTAAGAAAAGCTCATGCCTCATATTTTATAGAACACAATCTCAGGGCTGGCAGAGCCCCAGCTGGTCCCCTGCTACGTGCCTAGGCCTAAAGGGGCAGAGTCCACGTATGTCAGGGTAGGGAAATGACACAGGGCCAGGTACAGGATAAATAGCACAAATGACACATGGTCTCTGTGACGAAGCCACTGAGAGCTCCTTATCTAGCAACTGACAGAGCACAGGGTTTATACACCGCCATTAAGGCCATGCATGTAGTAAATGCTTCCTCCTGAAATAAACATATTTTAAAAGATGGTTTTATAGAACTAAATTGCAAGAATACATTAAATGTTTTACTGGTGCCTGACACAGCCCGAGTGAACTGTGAGCTCCTAGAAGACATGAACTTCATGTTCTTCAGACCCAAAGCCTCCAAGAATGGGGTGAAAACTGCAATCTTTCAAAATTAAATCCCCTCACCTCTTTCTGTTCAACCTGCAATGCGGATTTCAAAATATCTCGAAGCTGTATCAACTGCCTTCTTTCTTCATCCTGGGCCTGTTTGATCTTTAAAAACACACACACACAACAGAACCAATCAGAAAATTAAGACTGAGGTACAGTGAAACGTTGGTGCTCATGGGGCCATTTCCACACAATGCGACAACTGCCTCCCTCGCTGGTCAAACCTTCCCTCCCACCAAGACAGAGGACAGGCGTGGGAACGCCACACTCCACGTGGGCGGCACGGCATGAAAACACAGGATTACACAGAAGTGACATTTAGATGAAAATGTCTGTTGCATTAAGATGGTTTTAAACCACAGTGGGAGGGAAGCTACTCACCGTGTGAAGATCCGTAGACAGCGTTTCAATGGAAGGTTTGAGGCTTTCCACGGCTTTGAGTCCATCCTGAAAAAAACTAGCAGGAAAAAGAAGAAACAGAGATGACATTTCACAAAGGAAAAAATAATTTTGTCAGACAGATTAAAAACTTCTTTAAAGTGACTGAAGTCATTATGTAACTCCTGGGGGAAAAGACTGTATGAACAGAACCTTAAAATATCAGGCAAACCAAGAATAAAATGACACTCAAAATTAGCAGGAGCGAACAGAAAAGGAAATGCAATAAGCTTAAGTATTTGAGATTTTTCTCGACCCATATAAAATGAGGCCTTGAGTTTCAGTTTATAACGGGAGAGGTTCTGCATCTGAAGCCAGAAAGGCCATGGGGCGCAAGTGGAAGACACTGAAGAATGTGCCGCAACAGGCGACCGCGACATGGAAAAGAAAAGGAATGCAGAGGCCGGGTGCTGTGGCTCATGCCTATAATCCCAGGGTGAGGGACTTGGGGAGGCCAAGGTGGGAGGATCACTAGAGACCAGGAGTTCCAGACCAGCTGGCCAACATAGCAAAACCCCTAAAAATACTCTATTAAAAATACAAAAAAAAAAAAAACAAATACAAAAATACAAAAAGCTACTACTCGGGAGGCTGAGGCACAAGAATTGTTTGAACCCAGGAGGTGGAGGTTGCAGTGAGCCGAGATCATGCCACTGCATTCTGGCCTGGCGACAGAGTGAGACTGTCTCCCAAAAAAAAAAAAAAAAAAAAAAAAAAGGAGAAAGACAGAGACAGAGAGAGAGAGAAATAATGCAGAAAAGAACCAACCAAGCAGCTTTGGTGGCCACACTGTGTCTGCGGGGTAGGAAACCGTGGGTAGAGAACTTGAGATCAAATATCAAGAGGAATTTTTTATTTTAAGGCTGAGAACTCAATGCTGTGAGGTCACCTATAACAAGTGATTCAGGAAATACAACAGAGGCTGGACAAGTTTTTCTGCTGGAGCCATGGGCTGGTGTTCAGTGCTGCCTCTGGAGGGTGCTGTGTGTAACCCTTTTGAGAGGAATGAAGAACGGGCATTTCCACGAGCTAAGGAGAAAGTTCTAACCTGTAATGAGGCCTGATGCAGCTCCAGCCTCAATCCACACCATTCCACCCTCTTCATTCACTCAGTTCCAGACATACCGGCCTTTTCTCCCTTCCTCCATGACCACCAAGTTCTCCTGCCCCTGGCCCTCTGCATTCTGTTTCTTCTCTCTAAAGCCTTCTCCTAAGGTGTGTCTGCTTCACCTGGCTGATTCCCACTCATTCTTCAAGTTTTAGGTTAAACATCCCCGGTTAGTGAGGCCTTCCATAATCCCCTACAAGTTATTCCCCTATAAGAGGCCTTCTTATACTTTCTCAGAGCATTTTGTATTTTGCTTCAAAACACTTGCTGTAACTGCAATTATGTATTCATTAGTGTGATTGTTTAAAACAGAATTCCCTCATTAGATATGAAGTTCTAGGAGACACAAAGTACCCGCAAAGTTTGGTGTATTTCAAGCACATGCCATTTATTGAATGAATAACTTAATGAAGGATGGACTGTCACCAACTTTAGCCAGTTTATTAGATACCAAGGAGACTATCTTTAAAAAGTGATCTGGGTTTCACATATGTCATGTGAGGTGATGTTTACTTCTTTTAAACTCAGCAGTAGCTCTATGGGTGTTTCTCAGACCAAATGCGTCACACACAGAAGGCGCCGTGAAAACACTGCAGCGTGGCCTTTAATGCAGCAACTCCAAGGAGGAAGGAGAGGGACACACAGGCCGTGGGGCATGAACTCTGACCAGTGTTTATTAGGAGTCACAGAGGTCAGGATGCTAGAATGTTTTCATTCACCTTTAGACAGACACATCATTCTTTATTTTATACTCTTGTTCCTGTATTTTAATACGTTTTTTTCTGAATATAGAATATGTTTCTGAACTCATCTAATTCTTGTATTTTATTTACGTGTTTTTCTTTATGTAACTATTTTCTTAATCATTTCAAATTCTTGTGAAATAGATAGGAGGACAGAGATCTCTAAGATCTAAGATAAGGAGTAGGAAAAATATTACAGGTGATAAATGCAAAACCACCCAGGGAGAGGGAGCAGGTGTACAGCTCCAAGAATCTTTGCGACCTGGCAATTCTCCCTACGGTCAGACAGAGAGCGAGAGTGAGAGCGCGTGAGCATGAGCCCCGTAGTGGAATCAAGTGCTCAGAGACTTCTCGTCAGGATGCTGTTTCCAGCATGACGATGAATGGTGTACTTGGAATAACAATATGAATTTGGATTTAGATTTAGATTTCATCTCTGTAATAGCCCAGCCAATCTTCACCATCCACCTACCTGGAAAATCTCCTCCCTCTGATTTTTCAAAGTGCTGACCTTCCCGTACCCTCCTTGAGGTGTGTCTTGGCACCCAGACGCCCCTTCAAAGTGCAGTCAGCCCTGGCGTCAGGAGAAGCTTCAAGAAAAGGAACACTATTCCTTCTCCGCTGGCTGCTGTCCCTATGACAGTCCTAACTACATAGCCCCAGAAAATTTTCTTAAGTTGAGCCCATTAACACTTTTCCAAGCTTCACAGAACTTTTACCATCAACATTACCCAATCAAATTTTGTTGTCTATTAAACATTTTCTAGCCTGCCTCACCAGGCTAGAAGGGGTGTATTTCTATCCTTTAAAATACACCCACTTAGAGGCAATTATCAAACCCACCAAGCAGAGTAGCTCCTTTCTTCTCTGGGCCCCACACACCGTGCCAGGGCCCCTCCTGCAGCCTTCACGCCACCACATTCCAATGCGGTGTCTGCTGATGGGGTCTGTCTGTGACACCCGCCCCTCCCTCCTCTGCAAGCTTCTGCAGCATCCGGGGCTGAGCCTTATCTTGACCATGCATTCCAAGTTCACTGAGCAACAGCTGGTCACAGTGGTTTCCAGCAGGTATTGGCTCAAAGAACAAGTCAATTCAACATTCATCACCACCTTTCAAACCATGGTTGTATTTTTTTTGAAAAAAAAAAATCGCTCTGTCGCCCAGGCTGGGGTGCAGCAGCATGATCTCAGCTCACTGCAACCTCCGCCTCTTGGGTTCAAGTGATTCTCCAGCCTCAGTCTCCCGAGTAGCCGGGACTACAGGTGTGCACTACCGCATCCGGCTAATTTTTGTATTTTTAGTAGAGACCAGGTTTCACCATGTTGGCCAGGCTGGTCTTGAACTCCTGACCTCAGGTGATCCGCCCCCCTTGGCCTCCCAAAGTGCTGGGATTTCAGGCATGAGCCACCATGCCTTGCCAAACCATGGCTGTCTTTATTTTATAATGTTATAATGCCCTACTTCTAGATTCCGCTAGAGTACAGGATCTTCAATGTTCAGGAGCAAAGACTAATAAGACAAGTTTTCAAGATATTCCAGGAAAGAGGTAGAGATGAAAATTCCTTCCTTAAATGAAATAAAAATAAAAGAACACGAAGTATTCTTTAAGAACACTTAAAGCGAGAAGAAAAAGCAAAATAACGCATATCTACGTAGTTCCAAGGGTCAACAGCCAAACCTGAGCCCTGGAATCTGGTTTACACAGTGGCCTCTTCACCCTGGCGGAGCACAGCAGTGTGCAGAGGCCCGCGTGTACCCAGCAGGGCACAGCACCCAGCAGGCAAAGCTGTGCCCTTGGGGGCGAGAAGCGGAAACTGGGCGTGTGTGGTGGGGGAATGAGAGGCGCTCCCACACGTGGAAACACGCACGGCTGCGAGCTCTTACTCTGCAGCTGAGTTGCTCGAGCTCCACGTTGTACCCTCCAGAATGTGAATTGAGAAAGTCAAAGCTGCCTGACTGATTTGAAGAGCAGGCAGCGTACACACTCTCTCTCATATCCAAAAACGAAGTAATGGAAGATTCATATTTTTAAAGGTTACTGGGATCATGTCCATAAAAGGCCAACTACTTCACTTTTCCACAAGTGGTCTGTTGCTACCCAACTGACTGGTTTGGGCAAAATAAAGGGGCGGGGGAAGGAAATCCCAGAATAGCTTCTTCTTAAAAATAAAATATCAGCAAGGAAGCGACCCACTTCCTAAATTGCCTGACATAAGAACTGTAGAAGTAATTTGCATGCTCATCACAAAGTAAGAATTTTGAGTCTCCATAAAATAATTCATCTTGAAAACTATATAATTGCAAGGTCTTTTCCACCAAGTAGAGATGAGCTCTCTTTTTATATTTTTTAATATAAATTCATGGGGTACAAGTGCAGTTTTGTTATAGGCCTGGTGGTCAACTTAGGGCTTTTAGGGTATCCATCACCAGAATAACATACATTGTACCTACTAAGTATTAATAATTTCTCATCATCCCCACTCCCTTCACCCTCCTGAGACTCTGCTGTCACTCTACTCTCTACATCCATGGGTATGCCTTTCTTAGCACCCACTTAGGAGTGGGAACATGCGATATTTGTCTTTCTGCGGCTGGCTTGTTTCACTTAAGATAATGACTTTCAGTTCTATCCCTATTGCTGCAAAAGACATGATTTCACTCTTCTTTTTTTTAAATGGCTGAAGCTCTCTTTTAACTTTGGATGAACCACTCAGCACATCCTCCTTTGCCGCCTGACCTCAAGTGCTTTAGAAATGCAACATCATCAAAGCTGTATTAAGAATTCCAAAGCAGAGCTCAGTTCAATTCCACAGTGCAATTCACTGCTGCAAATACGTGCCAGGTAAATGTGCCACACACTGTAGATATAAAACAAATAAATGGCATGGCCCCTTCCTTAAGAGCATATAGTTCAGTGGCACAGAGACACAAGGAAGATGTCATCATGGAGACAAGCAGACGGTGTGGTGGCAACACAGGAGGAAGAAAAGGAATTCCAAAAGGAAGAAGCATCGCAAAGCAGGAATGATCCATAAGCTGGGTCCTAGGAGGAACAGAAGACAGGGAGGGCACAAAGGAAAGAGGCCTTCTAGGAAAAGAAACAATTCTGTACAAAGGTAGGCTGCTGGTGGCACAGCCTGCTCTGGGAAGGTAAGCAGACAGGCATGGCAATTCCACAAGGAAAAGATTTCTTGTCAGTCCACACCTTCCACTCCCGCTGTCACGAAGCCAGGTGGGCCATCGTCATCTCTGGTCTGCACAGGGACAGGAGCTGTGTACACAAGCAATTGCCCACATCCACCCTTGTCCTGTTTGGTTCCTTCTCCACAACACACAGAGTAATCTTGTTACAGCCGAGAAGCTTCCTGAAGCTGCTTCTAACCAACACCACTGTCTCTCTCCCCATCACTGTTTTGCCTTTTCATAAACTCAGTTAAATATTGGCTCGTGTTTCCTACTTGCCTCCCCCATGAGACCCCAGGGTCCGTGAAGGCAAGAACTTTGTTTTCCTCCTTACTGCATCACCAAAACCCCTAATAGCGCCTGGCAGATCACAGGAGTGCATACAAATGGTCCTCTGCTTCAATTTCTTCAAGAGCTTCCCAACATATTTGGGATAAAATCTAAAAACTTTTGCAAGATGTCTGGGGCCATCCACATCCCTAAGGCTTTTCCATGCAGTTTCGTTTCACGCCACTCTCCTTTTTCACTGAGCTTATGTCACCTTGGCCTTTTTCCTGCCTTAAGACCTAGACCCTGCCTGGAATGTTCTTCCCCCACTCCTTATCTGCCGGCTCCTACTCATACTTTAGATCTCAGATCCATGTCTCCTCAGAGAGGCCTGCAGCTCATTCAAGAAACAGCCGAGTACCTACTGTGTTCCGGGCACTGTGTGCTGGCTGTTGGAGACTGTATCAGGGAACAAAATAGAAAAACAAAAAACAAAAAACTCTACCCTAAATCTTTATCTAAATCAGGTCCCTGTATTATATTCTTTCTTAGATTCCTATACTTTAAAACAATTTTGTAAACATCTAATTAGAAATTTGTCTCTTTCAGTCTAACTTCCCTACTTGACTCTTTGAGTAGGAACTATGCCAGCACTGTACATCACTGTGTCTCTCGCCTCTGGTCCAGCACCTGACATGTGTGTTGGGTGGGTGAGTGAAGGAGCCAGAGGCCTGTCTATATCAGTGACTGGGGGTCGAGGAGCAGAAGCCAGGTCAGAGACGTGGGTCAGACTGAAGTACTGACACAGATGGCAAAGCTGAGTACTTGAGCAGCCCCTGCACGTGGAATCCTCTCCTTCTCCTCTACTAACATCTTCCTTTGCTCATCACAGTCATTGGCTCCACAGGATAATATATAAAAGTGTTTTCTTATTTTAAAACACTGCATTAACATCGTATCATTTCTCTTTTAACAAACATCTGAGAGTTGCGGAATAGGTCAAATGAGTTTGTCCCTCTACAAAAAGAGCCAAAAATAAATATATCTGGCAATTACTACAGATTTTTTATGTTGTATATATGCTTTTATTTTTAATTAAGATATAATCCCTAAGCCATAAAGCCATAAAATTCATCCTTTTAAAGTGATTTTTAGTAAATTCACAAAGTTGTGCAATCATTAGCACTCACTTCTGGAATATTTTCAATATCCCACAAAGAAACCCTATACCCGTTAGCAGCCATTTCCCATTTCCTTCTTCCTCCAAGCTGCGGCAATCACTCACCTGCTTTCTGTCTCTGTGGATGTACTTATTCCTGACCTTCCAAATAAATGGGATCATACAGTACATGGCCTCTTGTGTCTGGCTTCCTTCATTGAACGTGTTCTCAATGTTTACCCGTGTTGTCGCATGAGTCAGCACCTCATTCCCTTTACTATAGACTTCTAAGTGGTGTTTATTTCCTATGAGCTATCTATAGATCTACCAGAAGTTGCCACACATGAACAAACATTTAAGATAACATAACAGAGAAGAACTTACTTGCATTGGGCATGAAAGTATTTGATCAGATTCTGAAGTAAATCTACTCCCTTTTTAATCTTGATTTCGTTGACCTTCAGCAGATACTGTTGAACAATGAAAAGGAAATGTCATGGAAGTAAGCAGAATACGAGTTTAAAAGGAGCTTCTGAGGACTGAGATGATTTCTTCTACTTCTTTGGCATCTTTTACAATGCGTAGAGTGCATGATCGACACTTAGTATCGCCTGGATTCCGTAACCGTTTCTTTATTTTGGGGCCATATGAATTATCTGACAGTCAGATAATTAAATATTGAAGTGCCAAAAACTCCTAATAATAAGACAGTCTATCCTGGCCTGCTAGGAGAAATCTTCACTCTAGCTACATGGAAGACTATGGATGGTTCAAATAAATGGGATTTCTAACCATCTCAAACACACTCCTGCCCAAGGTCCCTTACTTTAGGAACAATAACTGCTAACGTATTGTAGCTGAGATGCTTGGCATCATGTCTCTCGTCCTGAGACATTTCCCTTACAAGGAAAATAATGTGATTGTTGGAAAAAAACAAAGTTTAATTGAAATGAATTAAAGCTATTTTTAACTTGGAGAATTCATTAGTGACCACGAAGCTATCAGAAAGCCTCAGGGAGCTACAAAACCAGTGTCAGGAAATAGAAGGACTTCATGAGTCCCCATCCCCTCCGCTGTCAGAAGATGATCTCTGAAATGGAATGTCCCCTGGAAAAGCTGCTGATTCATGCCCTGGCTCTCAGCTGTAAAGGATGGGCGGGGGTGGGGTAGGGGTACCCAAGTTCAGTTGCTGGCTGAGGTCTCTCTGCAGCCCAAGGAGGAGGTGGAAAGCTGCTGTGAAACTGTAAGCTACAAATTGTCCTTCTGCCTGTAACAACCACCTATAGGTCCTTCTTTCCCTCTTTCTTTTTGATATTAAATATTTGGTAATGTATCAAATTTTTAAACGTATGTACATTTTGACCTAGAAATTCTACTCCCAGGAATTTATTCTAAGAAGATAACCACAAAAGTTTACAAAGATGAACAGAAAAGAAGATACACTGCTATCCTGTTTATAAAAGTAAACAATGGCAACAGTCCAAACCTAATGAGTGGGAAATTAACATATGGTGCATCCATACAGAAAATACTGTGCGGCCACTAAGCCAATAAAACCCAAAATTTCTGACATGGACATCAACATACTAGAGAGTGAAAATAGGTTATAAAGCATCAGCAGCGAAAGATCTACTTATACGATTTTTTTTGAATGTATACATAGGGACATATAAAGATGTTTACTTAAATGTCAAAGTGGTTATCTTTGGATAAGTAAAATTTGGGGGCGATTTTTAATTCCTTTTATATATATTTTCTTATATTAACCAATTTTCTTTAAAAGTATATACTATTTTTACAATCAGCAACAGAGGATCTTCTCACGCCTTCTCCGCTCACAGAAGGTCTGTACTACCTATTTGACATACTGAATTTCTTTATTAAATGAATTTTGAAGAAAGGGCTCCATAGCTTTAAAATAAAAGCCTGAAAGCCACTCTTCTGGATTAGATCCTGGGCAACTCAAATTTTAAACACCTAAACAACAGCAAGCACTTAAAGCTTGAGAACTTCAGTTTGGGGAAACAGTCAAATAATTTTAAAGTCATGTTTGTTTGTTTGTTTGTTTTTGTTTTTTTGTAGAGACAAGGTCTCACCATGTTGCCCAGGCTGGTCTTGAACTCCTGGGCTCAAGGAATCCTCCCACCTCAGCCTCCCAAAGTGCTGGGATTGCAGGTGTGAGCCACCCTGCCCGGCCTTTTAACATGATTTTAATGCAGGCAATCTAATTCACTTCAGAGTTGGATTCTCAAGGAACTGTTTTTCAAATGATCTTTCTCACCCATGGAAAGAAAGGCCTTCACGGCCCATGACTATCTGGCCAACTTCTACACTCTTCATCAGATGTCTTCTCCTGTGAAAACTGTGAGTTTACTGTTAGATAAGCCCACCTCTGCTTTTATGCATGCATATAGTACAGCTCTCACTCAACTGTGAAACATTAGTGCCTGACCCCTCCAAGTGCCAGCTCTGCAGAGCCAGGACCCAGCACTACCTGAGGACTGCTCGAAAGATGGCTCAAGTCTATGACTTAGAGGCATCATCTACACAGTGTATTTCCATTAAAATAAATGACTTAGTCAGTTCACAGGATCAATTCACCTGGATACAGAAGAGAAGTAGTAACCAGTGCAAGGTGCATACCACAGGAAGCAACGACAGAGCCAAGTGGGGAACCAATTACTCCTCAAGTCATGGCTATGACCTTCACATACTACTTGAATGTCAAAATTCAGTACGCATTTTAAGTAGTCTTAAAGTGTTTAGGTAAATAGATGTCTACTTTACTAACCAAAAAGAGCATGACCTGAACACAAACACCCCTTTCCAAATTCATTCTTTGTAAAACACTACTACTTAATTTCACCCTGATTGTTTGTAAAATGCTACTACAGTACTTAATTAGAAACAATACCCTTACAGAAGCAGGATTGAGAAAAACAAAAACAAAAACCAATACTTTGTGCTTGTATAACACACAGCAGTTTCCTAGTCCCTGTCTCATGCTGTCTCGCTGATTTCTCTGCCACTCTATGAGGTAGGCCAGGAAGGTGGTATTATACATGGTATGTGCTTTTCTTTTGAGAATGCAACCTCTTACACTACACATGATATGTGTTTACAAAAAAATGTGTATAAAAACATCCATTCTCCTGTCTATAAGAACCCTTTAAGTTTAATTAAAGGCTTTATCTTGAGAATTCATTTCATCAAGTGAATATTTAAAAATATTTGCTTGTTTTTCATCTAGTGAATATCTCTAAACATTCTCTCAATGAAAAACAAGGCGGTAAAGGAGGAATCAAGGAGCAAAAGACACGAGACAGACATAAAAAAAAGTAAAATAACAGAAGTAAATCCAATCATATCAATAGTAACATTCAACGTTAATGGATTAAACAATCCAATCGAAAGGCAGAGATTGTCAAACTGATAAGAAAAACATGATCCAGCTATATATATTATCTATAAGTGATACACTTCAGATTCACAGGTTGAATGTAAAAGGGTGCAAATAGTAACCAAAAGAGCTGGAGTGGTGATATGGTTTCAATGTGTCCCCTAAAAGTTCACATGTTGGAAACTGGGTCCCCAATGCAGCAGTGTTGAGTGGTAGAACCTTTGGGAGGTCACTGCATGAGTGGATTAATCCATTCATGGATTACTGGGGGAGTGGTACAATTATGAGAAGAGTGTGTCTGCTATTAAAAAGCCAGTTTGGCTGTCTCTTGTGAGGCCCCCACCATGTGATGTCCTGCACTGACTTAGGACTCTGCAGAGCGCCCACCAGCAAGAAGGTCCTCACCAGATGCAGCCCCTCAACCTTGGACTTGGCAGCCTCCAGAACTGGGAAATTTCTTTTCTTTATAAATTACCCATTCTCAGGTATTCAGTTATAGCAACAGAAAACAGGCTAAGATAAGTAGATATTCTAACATTAGACAAAATGGACTTAACTTTCAACTGCCACCCTGATTCCTGGGACTGATTCCTCTCTGCTGACCACTTAAGAGTCTGCTCTGGGAATAAAAACTCATTTAAATACATTTCTAAGATATATGTATTTATAAGGGTTAAGCTCCTGCTACAATTAACAAACATACATTCCAAAATCAGAAAGTGCCTTCTGGATTAGCTTTGTTGTTGATTGCTCAGAGGGAATTAAGAGCTGGCCAATGCCAGTTTCAGTGCCTGTCACAAACATCACCCACACATTGTGTACATTTGAAACCTAAGTTTGCACTGCTATGAGAGGGAAACAAATACCATCCAGTGCAAGGGAGCTTCGCTGGCACTGCCAGGAGGAATTAACCCCAGGCAGAGGTGGCAGCTGTTTCCATGTGCCATTTGTATACACGTACCTGGCAAGCAAGGCACAAAAATAAAAAATCTGTGAGCAAAGGCCTTCATAATCCATGGTCTCTGATCTCAGAGAAATGCTCTGAGAGTGTCCATCCTGCTGTCTCCGCCTCACTAAGGGAAGGGCTGAGGCTGCGGGTGGAATGGAGTGGAGCAGAGAGGCGCTCCCCAGGCCACCTGGGCCTTCGGGCTAGATGAGTGCCCCCGCCTGAGCAGGTGAGGTCTAGCAGGAAGTCAAAACAGGTGACTGGACTTCCCATCCACTCACAGACACTGACACAGGCCATGGTCTGTCATCGCTGTATGTTGTTTTCAGCTGACTTCTCACCCTCCCACAAGCCAGTCACTGACTCCATTGGTACAAGGGAACTCAGAGATCTCATTTAAATACACCCAAGGAATAAATATTTTAGCAAGAGTACGTACGTGAAGCCAGAAAGAACATTCTAGACATTTAGTGGTTTTTCTCTACTTTTAAGAAAATGTTGGTGTTAAAGTAACCTAATTCTACCCTCCAGGAGGCTAACGCTTCCCTAGTAAAAGAAATGTCAACACAGGGGCAAAGGGAGTCCAGCAATGCATGTGGTGTTTTCTCTGAAGCCGCTGGTACCGGTGAGATGCTCCCACAGGTGAGGGCAGAGCCGGCACAGCCTGGGCTGTAGGACCTGCCTTCACCACCGCCTTACCTCGCACATCTGTAGCTGGAAGAAGCGCCTCTCCTTTTCCATCTCTTCGGCAATTTCCGCTCCGCTTATTTCAGTCCGAATCATCCCATGGAGCTTGGCGTGTTCCTTTTTCTCCTTTTCTATCTTGGTTCTACGTGTGAAAGCAAGGATACATCAAGATGCCTGTTGGCACAGAACTCAACGGGACAGCCTTGAAGCCACCCCAGTACCCAGCCTGGCGAGACCAACGCTCACCACACGTTTCAGCACAGGCAGCCTCTCAACTCCCTCAAAAGGAAAATGGGTGTCCTCACGAAGATGTCAAACCGGGTCTTCCCACTTACTCAACAAGTATTTCCTAGGCACCTGCTTTGAGTCAGGTATGGGTCAGAGGAGGTAGGAAGTCTGCACAGGGCTTGGAGGGCTCCTTTGGCATCAGCATTCAGAGCCTTCCTGCCCTCTAGTAACCCAAGGGCACCGTCTGACTCTTCCCTACCCACTGTTTCTCCTCCTGGACTTCCTCCCTAGTCTCTGTCATCACCTCCTCACTCAGTGAAGCCAGGCCAGCTCTCTGCCTTGACCTACAACACCGCTCATCACTGTAGAAGACGACCAACCACCTTTCCATGCTGTCGGCTTAATTATCCTTTCTACATTCATCTTGTGCCTAACCTGTATTACCTAAATGTCGAGTGTGCAGTTCAGGGTAAAAACTGACCAATGAGCACATCCAAAGAAGAGCCACCAGGGTAATCGTGGCTGCTAAGGTGGGCTTGAAATAGCCGTGAGTTTTTATTCTGGAGAAAAGGAGACTAAACAAAACCAACAGAAAGCACTCAAAAAACAGAAAGGGCTGCCATGAAGACAAGGGAAGCAGCTCTTTCTGTAGAGCCTGAAGTAGACACCAGAAGACCCAAGTAGCATGTTCTTTCAAAGGCATCCAGTGATGAAATGGGCTACTCAGGGTTCCAGAGGGCTCCCTGTCATTAGGGCAAGGAGGACTAGAGTGTTTAAGAAGAGGCAAGAAATGTGATTTCTCTGTGTGTCCTGCACTGTGTAGGTTCTCAATAATTTGAAGGAGTGAATGAGTGAAAAATAAACACACAGGAGACCCTTTGGGAGGGATGTTGTTGTTTAATGAGTCTATGCATCCGGAAAGGAGTGTGACTGGAGGGTCCCTGGGACTAGAATTATACAACTCCAAGGTGTCGCTGACACTCCTTCACAGGCAAGAGACCGTCCAGACACTGGTCATTTCTCTTAATAATCAGGTATGGGACTACTGCCCAGGAATTTTAAAGACATCTAAAACCTATTATGGTTGTTACATATCACAAAACCTCTTGGGATAAATGAATCTCCCACATTAATAAAGAATTATTTCCTTTATTTATCCTACAATTACTTCAAGTTTAAAGGGTGCTGCTCCCTCCTCCTAAATTCTAGGGTTTTGTGAGGAATTCTGTCCCCATCCTACCCATGTGTGTCTCGATTTTACAGAATTTGATGTTATCCTTCTTCCAAACCTTTTCTTTTCAGAACCAGATGACTCTCTCAGGCACTCTTCTTCAGAAAGCCCTTTCTGCCCTTGGTCTAGTCACACACAGGACCATTTCCTATCAGCCACAGAGACGGGCAGCAAGGGAGGCTGAGTGAAGTGGGAAAGCTGCTTCCTGGCCTGGCTCAATTACTCTTACTGGCTGACAAGCAGAAACCACTGACTCTTGGTTTTCCCTCTGCAAAGCAGGAATCCGCTGGTCCCTTCCCATTTATTTCACCCAACTGGCACACAAATAAAGGATGCTGACGGACCAGGGATCCTGGGTGGGGGCCTCCCTGGGCTGAATGGACCTGCAGGGTTCTCTAGTCAACACTCTGCCTGTGCTTCTGAATGAATGTACACCATCAATGAAACTCCAGAACTCGGGGCCAAGCAACCTCGGGTATGGAAATGTAAGATTCCCATGGATAGAAGGAGTATCAAAGGTGTGGGGCTCACTGATTTGAGCTTTGTGATCCTTCACCACTGGAAAGATATCCTGAGCTATTTTTTTTTTAAACAATCTAATGAAATACTTGTACTTAGATTTGAAATGACTTCCTCATAACACCTTTTAGTTTAACAGATAGCTTCATATGGAAGTTTCTATTTCCATTCAGAGCACTCCAAGACACAGAGATTACAAAGTAAACACCACATTTCATATCTTTCCAGTATTTAAAATAATTGAAGCCATTATTCCCCCCATAATTACTTGCTTGATCAATTCCCTGTAGCTCGACTCTCTCTACTCTAGGGATGAGAAACTGTGATTGGGGAAGTTACAACTGCCTGAAGTCAACCAACAGAGTCTTGTCTATTGGTTGACTTCGGGTCAGGAAACCAATTCTACTTCTTGTAGAAACCGTAGTTCACATCCAAGAATCAATTCTCCATTCTTCAGGTTATTTTTTGGCAGATGAATCTGAAGGAGACAGGTATTGAACCCTCTTTCTAAAACCAAGGGAACTGGTATTTCAGAGAAACACAGATACAAAGCTAAGCAGCTTTCACAAATCACCAGGAAGATGAAGTCTGAAAACTGCCCTGCTATCAAAAACAGTAACGGAATGGACAAAGTGTTTAAAAACAAAAACAGAAAGAAATACCTCCTAAGAGAAATTGGTCTTAACTTCCCTCAATGAACTTTCCTGAAAATAACATCCTATAACCACTATGACATCTTAGACAAAGGAACAGAAGAAAACAGATTAGAAGAAGAAGACAGCATCACCAAACACATCTGTCATCAAAATGAACCACAGCAACATGGCTGATAAACATTCTTTTCTGGATTAAGGTTTATTTGGACAATCCCTTTAAGCAATACGAGGTTGGTTTAAATTTGAAATCCCAAATTACCTATACGTAAATTTAAAAACGAGAACACTCACATTTTTGTTTCATAGTCCTTCCAAGCTTTATCAAAAGGCTTTTTCAGATCCTGTAAACAAAGAATAATAAATTAGGCAAGACTAATCATTCACTTCTGTGCAAGATAAACTTACTTATCCCTGTACTAGCCCTGAAAGGAGCATTAATTTCTGCAATAAATGACGTATGTAATCCCACGAAAAATAAAGAACCAAGAGTACATGCTTTTAAGTAGACCAGTGGTGGCATTTCCTTTCTTTCTCTTAAAATAATATAGAATATACTAAATGTACACAAAAGCAAGGTGCTGCCACCCAGTTATGACACTCTTGGGCCACCTTGTGTCACCTGTGCCCTACTCCCTGCCCTGGGCCTAATCTGAAAGTAAATCCTGAAAGACAACCTTTCATCTGCAAATACTTCAGGATGTCTCTCTAAAAGAAAGGAACTCTAATTGATAGATGAATCTCATCACATCTAACCCTGCTTTAAGCCCAACGACAGAAATAGAAAGGCCGCCACATCCTCCTAGGGTCTCTTACTGCTCTTCCGTGTGCAATTCAGGACTTCATACACTCTGGTAAAGCCTGCCTCAAAAACTACTGAGCCACTGGAAATTCTATTGAATGGTCCTCACCTATTTATGCTCCCTTCAAAGGGGTTCTTCAGGGAGACAGAAATCTTTTTGTTGTTGCTGTTGACTACTTTTTGGCTTTTCAATGGCCTCAGGTAAGGCCCAAGTGCCACAGCCTGGCACACAAGTCCCTGCACGAACTGGCTCCTCCTGCACCCTGGCAGCCTGACATGCAGCACTGAGCCCTGCTCCCTGTGCGCACCTGCGCCTTTCCTCTGCCTGGGATGCCTTCCCGCCCGTGAGTTGGGCTAACTCCGCTGACCTGTTCTCCAAGCCCCTGAAGGCTCGATGGGGAATGTGTCTGAACAGCTCTCTCCGGGCACACTCTGTGAAGGAGACCCTGAGAGGCCTCTGTAGAGGTCCTGGAGATGGGTCAAGACTGGGTTTCCAGTCATCCCCGATGGGACCCAGGAATCGTGCGCAGATCCAAAGAATTTGAGTCTCCCGAGAAGGCAGCCACAATCACGTCCCTTCCGTGGTGCACGTCTGTCAGGGCTGGCGATGCGCAGGGGCAGCGCGCTGCCTGGCAAACGCGCCTCTAGCCCTGTCCGCTGCCCCCGAAACAGCTCCTGGCCTGCGTGCTCATGAGCAAACGCCCCTCCAGCCCCGTCTGCTGCCCCCTTAAACAGCTCCTGGCCTGCGTGCTTATGGTGGCTAGGCATGTCCTAAACAGCCAACATCCTCTGAAGGACAGAGAGACAAAGTTGGCTCATGCCTGACGACTGCGACCTTCCCAGCAGGAAAATACACCCTTGCTAGGATCCTTTCCCAGTGCTAAATGGGCAACGTGCCAGCTAGAAAGCCCGACTCCTCCCACAGGTTTCCCTGCTCCCTGGAGAGACCGAAACTCTTTACTTTTTCCAAAATAGCAGTTTTCTTTCCCTTCCCAGTCTCCTCCCCTCACCAACTTTGTTGTGCCAACAGGACGGCCAGAAAGGCCAGAAGTCACCACCTTTTTGGCTGAAAGGTGGTCCCAAGATGGCAAATCAGAGGAAGCTGAGATAAAAGAGCCATCCTATCGTCCCAATGAGAACGTACTGGCGTGGCTGCTGCCCGGCAGGCCAAGCTACTGTGACTCTACATGGTGTAAAAGCTGCCCCTGGTGTCACAGTGTCAATGTCATACCCCTTTCACTCCTTTCAGGTCCCCCTTCAGCAAACTGTCCAAAGGGAAGGAGATTATGTTGTTCATATTCTGAATCTAAAAAACAAAAACAAAAGGAGATTCTTATTCAGCTTCCTTGTGAATCTAAAGTAAGGACAGCAAGGACATTAGAGAGAACATTTGATAATGATTCACCTCCACCTAAAACCTGGCCGGTGCATGTACTGTGCCTTATTCAGTCATACATTCTTTGTAACAATTTCATCTTACAAATGAATAGAGGGCTAATGAAAAGTCTAGGTCTGTATATATTTCACAGTAACAATCTTATATTGTTATGCTAGAAAGTTTGTAAAGAGACAATCATTGCAGTGAAGAAAAAATATTTCAAAACATTCAATGACAGAATTACGTCGAAAGCCTAGAATAAAAGGAAACCCCCACTTCTGACTCTCAATCACGGCTCCACCCATAAGCTGGACTGTACTGGGGTTGGTGCTCTGGGCCCCAGGCCCCAGTCTCCACAGCAAGCTCCAAGCAGGGGAAACAAAGGCAGAGTCTTCTGTCTGCTGCAAAGGCACACGAGCGAATGCTGGGTGCGAATGAGAAAAGACGTGTGTGTGTTGGGGACGGAGAGTGTGTGTCAATGAGTGTGTACGACTGAGTGAGGGTGTTGTGGGTGTGTAAAGGTGTGACTGTGCTTGAGTATAAGAGTGAATGCACATGAGGGTGTATGTGAGTGAATGTGGGTATGAGTGATCGTGTAGGTGTGTGAGGGAGCATGTTAAGGGACTAAGGGTGTGATTGTGTGAGTGTGTGAATGCGATTGTGTATGGGTGTGTGAGGGTGTGATTGTGTACGGATGTGAGTGTGAGTGTGGATGTGAGTGTGAATGTGATTGTGTATGGGTGTGTGTGGGCGTGTGAGGGTTTCAGGATGTGATTATGGATGTGAGTGATTGTGTAAGTGTGTAAATGTGTGTATGGGTGTGTGTGGGTGTGATTGTGGATGTGAGTGCGTGAATGTGATTGTGTACGGGTGTGTGGGTGTGTGAGAGTGTGATTGTGGATGTGAGAGATTGTGTGGATTTGAGTGTGGGGTGTGATTGTGGGGGTGTAAGTGGGTGTGTAAGGGTGTAAGTGACTGAGTATAAGGTGAATGCACATGTGTGTGTGAGAATGTGAGTATGTGTAGGTGTGTGAGGGAGCATGTGTGTGTTTGAGGGTGTGTGTGTGGATGTGAGTTGGGGGTGAATGTGAATGATTGTGTGAGGGTGTGTGTGAGTGAAGATATGATTGTGTGAGTGGATGTGGGGGGCTGTGATTGTGAGGGTGTGAGGGTGTGGATATGAGTGTGTGTGATGCACGGGGTGTGTATGAGTGTGGTTGTGTGATTGTGTGAGTGTGGATGTGAGTGGGTGTGATTGCGTGGGGTGTGTGTTGAGTGTGGTGAGAGTGTGGATGTGAGTGGGTGTGATTGGGATGTGTGTTGTGTGGTTGTGATTGCGTGGGGTATGAGTGTGGTTGAGTGTGTGTGTGGATGTGATTTTGTGTGGTTGTGTGGAGTGTGGATGTGAGTGATTGGGAATGATTGCATGTTGTGTGAGTGTGGTTGTGAGAGTGTATGAGAGTGGACATGAGAGGGTGTGACGGGGGGTGTGTGGGAGGGTGTGAGAGTGAGGGTGTGATTGTGAGGGGGTGTGTGTTGGGGGGGTGTTGCTAGGCAAAGGAGATAAAAGGGAACAGGAAGGGCAAGAGCCTTGGTGCCCCCATTCTTCTCCCTGAAGCAAGAAGGCAGGAGAGTGGGGACACACACCGTCCGCATGGATTAAATTGGGTGGAATGGAAGCCTCCTAACCAACAGGTACACGAGGAGCAAGCAAGTCTCCGTGACAGCAGTTCAAATGCGAGTCAACTCAAGATGCGAAACTTCAGTCAGGAAGAGCCTTCAAGTACGGACTCAGAGCCCTGAGCCTGAAAAGATTCCCTCCCTCAAGTGGAAAACGAGCTCGAAACCCACTTTCGCACTTCCCAGGCTTGGACCACTCCCCTGAATCAACCCAAGGGCCAGTTCCCACTGCTGGGCCCCTGTGGCTTCTGTGACACTCTGGGCTTCTAGATTACAGGCCCAGAGAAGGAGAAGGACGAGAAGAGGGACTTGGGACCTTATGTATTCATTCATACCATCAAGCAAAGGAAAGTTTTATTTTTAGTATAATTATCTTAAATAGGAAGATAAAATGGCACCACTTTTAAAGCAATATGGCATCCGATTTCTATACACCATTCAGTGTACTAATTTTTTTTTCTTTTTTTTTGAAACAGGGTCTCACTGTGTCGCCCAGGTTGGAGGGCACTTCAGCCTCAACTTCTTGAGCTCAGGCGATCCTCCCACCTTAGCCTCCTGAGTAGCTGGGACTATAGGCACGGGCCAACATGCTTGGCTAATTTTTTTTTTGTAGTTTTTGTAGACAGGGTTTCACTGTGTTGCTCAGGCTAGTCTTGAACTCCTAGACTTAAGCAATCTGCCCTCCTCGGCCTCTCAAAGTGCTGGGATTACAGGCATGAGCCACCACGCCTGGACTAAATTTTACATTAGAAACAGAAATGTACTTGGAAAACACTGGTAAGGTGTATAATAACGTCTGCATCCACAGCCAATTCTGCTAAATAAATGATCAATTAATGACTGTCATTTCAGAAATAAACTTTTTTGGGGAACTTTTGCCCTAGGATTAAACAACTCAACATTTCTCACGTACCTGGCCTTCCTCCAAGGTACAATGTCATCAGCTATGTCTTGCTAAGATCAGCCTTAAGCATTAAATTTTTAAATGCTGAAAAGCGCAGTTTAAGGTGCGGTCTTAGGAACGACTGGAAGGAACAAGGACAAACAGAAGGCCGTGCTGATGAGTAACCTACGACAGCAAGCACGCCTAGATTTCCACTGTCATTGACAGTCCTGGCAGCCAGACAGGTGAGTGAGGAATGAAACTCCCGTCACAGTTCCCGCCTCCAGGGCCACATTTCCCTCTACTTGCAGGCAGCCCCAAGTATGCAGCCAGCTCTCCTTCCTCCAATGCTCTTCCTTCCTACAAAGCCCTCTCTCCCACCCTCCTCACTTGCTTGACACCCAAGAGTCATCTCTGACCCCAGTGCTGCCACCCAGCCGTGCGGCACGCTTCTCAACAAATTCCAGGTCTTAACCCTACATACGCAGACCCGTCTTCCAACATTCCCTCCATGCCATTCTCACGTCCACTGCCTTGGCTGCGCCTCACTGCTCCTTCTCAGGACTAAGGCTATGGCTTCCCCTGCTCCCTGCTGCCGCTTCCTAGTCTCTGCCTGCCCCACTCCCCGCTTCAGGGCTATGGCAGGCTTGTCTGGGGTTGTGTCCCTAATAAAGACTAAACTACTTATTCCTGCATTTCACACTCTCCACAATCCATCCTTATTTTCCATGTTTCATCTTCATATTTCTCCAAACTGAACTCTCTCCTTCCCTGATTCTACGCATGTGCTCAATTTGTTCTATTCGACGGAAACGTCTTCCCTATCCCTGCTGTTCAAAGCCTTCTCATCCATCAGGAGTTACTCAAACGCCACCTTCTCTACTAAGCAACCCCAGCAGAATGTGATCCCTCCCTCCCCCAGATCCTCCAATATTTTCTTTTCTATTTTTTTTTTTTTTTTTTTTTGAGATGGAGTCTCACCCAGGCTGGAGTGCAGTGGCGTGATCTCGGCTCACCGCAACCTCTGCTTTCCAGGTTCAAGTGATCCTCCCGCCTCAGCCTCCCGAGTTGCTGGGATTACAAGCACCCACAACCATGCCTGGCTTTTTGTATTTTTAGTAGAGACGGGGTTTCACCATGTTGGTCAGGCTGGTCTCAAACTCCTGACCTCAAGTGATCCACCTGCCTCGGCCTCCCAAAGACCTGGGATTACAGGTATGAGCCACTACACCCAGCCCCTTTTCTAAATGTTTTAAGGCACTTGGCAGGCTCTTCTCGTGTTCATCTTAGTGATCTCACACACTAAGTTCTAAAGGGTAGCATCCACCTTTATTGTATTTTATATTTACCAGAGCTCTTAGCATGGGGCTTGGCCTAGAATAGAGGCTTAAAAATTATTGATGGAAGAAATCAGTATACTGAAATATTTTTTTGGGCATCGAATATGTGAAAGACAGAATCTACAGGGGCTTCAGATAAAATGTTAGTTCTATTAACACCTTAAACCAAACATAATATAGCAAATGCATGTGTGAATTCATTCATTCAAGTGATTTATTGAGCACCTATTTTGCATACAGCAACAGTAGGTAAATTTACAAAGGAGGCTGAGTGTGGTGGCTCATGCCTGTAATTCCAGCACTTTGGGAGGCCGAGGCAGGCAGATCACCTGAGGTCAGGAGTTCGAGACCAGCCTGACCAACACGGCAAAACCCCATCTCTATTAAAAATACAAAAATGAGCCAGGCGAGGTGGCGCACGCCTGTAATCCTAGCTACTCGGGAGGCTGAGGCAGGAGAATCACTTGAATCCAGGAGGCGGAGGTTGCAGTGAGCCAAGATGACACCACTGCACTCCAGCCTAGGTAACAGAGCGAGACTTTTGTCTCAAAAATAAAATAAAATAAATTTACAAAGGTAAATGAAACACGATGCCTGCCCTTTCAGAGGAAGAATTATGTACATACACACCAAGAATGTAAAATTCTAAGAATACCACATAGTAGCATATTTTACACTGCACAGATACTAATGGCTCCTCATTGATGAAAGGTGAGAAAACAGTGACTTAGGTTTTAGGTGGTCAGGCCAGCTGGCCTGGGCTTGGGAAGAAGGAAGGGTAACTGTCCCAGTTACTAACCCCTGAGATGCTCACTGCCCACTCATCTACACGATCATACAAAACCACAATCAGAGTCACCGGCGCAGGTCAATTTGGTCCTGAACCCTGCCTGGCTGGGAGCCAATGCTGTGCGGTCTAGAACAAGGCACGTGCAAGAAAGAAGGCAGCCTACAGGGAGGATTAGAGTCGCTGTCCGGCAGCTGGCGGGGGCAGCGCCAAAGGCACCAGAACCATCCAGTGATAAGGTGGGTTGTGGGGAAGAAAGTTAAAAGTGTCCACAAGTTAAAATTCACATTTCTAAAGAGAATCTTAGGTTTTTCATGAAGCGGGAGTACACACATGAACATGAATGTACACGAGTGAGTGGGAAAAACAAGATTCTCTGCAGCAGAGAAAAAGAAATTCATCACAATTTGGTTTATCCATCTATTTTGAGATTATTCGTTATTTAATTCCAATAAGAACTTAGGTGCTGTTAATAATAGATTAGGGTGAGAAGAGATCAACTATGCTTTGGGACCTACAGCAAAAACATTCAAGTGGAGAAGAGTGAACACTCCACGGACATGCAGACCCACTTGGTCGGCTTGCTTTCGTTCTTCGTTCATTTCAGCAGTGAGTGTGACCTCTGGATGCTGGGAACAGGGCCCGCAGCCTAGTGGGCAATGAGACACTCAACAACCAATTGCAGCTTTTTTTTTTATTTTTTAAGACACAGTTTCACTCTGTTGCCCAGGCGGGTGTGCAGTGGCACGATCTTGGCTCACTGCAACCTCCACCTCCCAGGTTCAAGTGATTCCTCTGCCTCAGCCTCCCAGGTAGCTGGGATTACAGGCACACGCCACCATGCCATGCCCAGCTAATTTTTGTATTATTAGTAGAGACGGGGTTTCATCATGTTGGCCAGGCTGCAAGGACAGCTCTGATGACCACTGTAAAGGAGCCACATGTGGCCGCAGTGGTGGCAGGAGAGGGGGGTGTACGGATGAGTTAGGAAACAAAAACAAGCTAGTGAGGACCTCAGTCCTCAGACAGCCTCTCCCCTCGGGTGAATGGGGAGACACGCCCCATGTTTAGGTAAGTAAACTACCAAGTGGAAACTCTGAGAGCCAGGAATGAGACACCATGGAACTTCAAGGAAAACACATTATTTCTAGCCTAGATACCAGAGGAGCCAGGACTGAGACATCATGGAACTTCCATGAAGAGAACATTATTTCTAGCCTGGATACCAGGGAAATCTCTGTTAAGCAGTGGATGTGAGACAGACCTTCAAAAGATGGGGCATCGTGAGGTGGGGGCAGGGGTAGACTGGGCAAAAGGAATGGCATAGAGGGTGGTCGAAGTGCTGGTGTGGGCCCTGCCAGCCGTGGCAGTCGAGGAGTCAGCAGAAGGCAGCAGCTGGAGAGAGAGAAGCCTGGTGCCAGGTCAATGAGGGGGATTCTGGTTTCATTCACGGTTTTTCTCTTTGGAATTATTTAAATTATCCAAAATAGGAAACTATTACTTTTCTAATCAGAAAATAAATTATTATAATAGAGATTGAAAAGTAGATCAGTGGTTGCCTGGAGCAAAGGGGAAGATGGGATTAACTGTAAAAGAACATGAGGGTCCTTAAGGGGAGAAGAAAATGTCCTAAAACGGATTTGAGGTGATGGTTGCACCACTTGGTAAAGTTACTGGAAATCACTGATGTGTACACTTGAAATGGGTGATTTTTATAATACATAAAATATGCTTAACAAAGGTGTTTACTTTTTAAAGAAAATCTCACAAATATAAATAGAATCCCCATCGATGGCTTCACTAATAAAGCTTCCAGACTCCTGGACATCAGCCTGCTTGCCTCTGCCTTTCCATGCTTGGTGTATGCAATCCACACAGCACACACGCCTGGTGGCTCAGGGAGAATTTCCCAGGACATGGCCACTCTGGTCTCTGTCTGGGCCAGAGAACAAGTGCGTGGGGGCCAGACGCGCTTCTCGGCAGGTGTGCCCTGCAGCCTGAGTGGCGGGCAGGCTCTGGGCTTCCTCTGTGTGTCCAGCAGCCTCAGGCCCGCAGCCGAACGAGCCATCCTCGAGTTCTGGCCGAGAGGGACGGAAACCACAGCCAGAAGATGATTACATATCCCTTGTGCTCAGGCAGCTCCAGTCTCAATTTATGAGTAATGACATTTTCATGCTCTATGGGAAGAATTACATTATCCCTGGGTAACCCAACCAGAATATTTTCCTTAGCACCAAGAAAGCATAGGGCTTTCTCTTATGTTCTGACTCACTTTTAACAAATATATTATGTAAAATGGCTTTTTAAAACATCGAGTGCAACCTGAATACAAATTATTAATCTTAATCACTGCTATTAACGTTGGACCAACAAGCAGGCAAACTTTTTTTTTCTTTTTTTTTTTGAGAGAGTGCCTCTCACCCAGGATGGAGCACAGTGGGGCTCCAGTGATCCTCCCACCTCTGCCTCCCGAGTAGCTGGGACCACAGGCATGAGCCACCATGCCTGGCTAATTTTTTTATTTTTATTTTTTGTCAAGACAGGGTCTCCCCATGTTGCCAACGCTGGTCTCAAACTTCTGGGCTCAAGCAACCTACCCACCTCAGCCTCCCAAAGTGCTGGGACTATAGGCATGAGCCACCACACCCAGCCCAGGCAATCTTTCAAAATAACAATCCTTCCTTTCCCCACCCCTACTTCCTGTCTTAGCTTTTCCCCCCGAGTTCACTTGGATATGTCTGACAAGGTAAGTAAGTAGTCAAAGGTCTGTGATCTCACAAGTAGAAATAAAATGATTCAGTCAGTGGGGCAGGCAGCACATAGAGCTATTAGATATAAAGAACAAAATCATTATGCTAATGTCACAGCTGATGAGCAAACAAAGATAGGCCAGAAGGCACAGAGGAGGGGAACAGAGCCAGCCAAACAGCCATCTCTTCACAATGTCCTTCCTAATATTTTTTATTTTTTGGTGGGGGTGGATGGTGGTGGTGGGGATCTTAAAATTCCTTGCCTGTAGATCTGTCACTTTCTACTTTCCCCCACCCTTCAGTTCACAGGTCACCCTCTCTGTTCTCTGGCCACTGATCAACAGCTGCTGATCCAGCCAAAGTGTGGAGGTGCAGCCCCACCCCAGGGAGCTGCAGTGCTGCCTTCTGACTTAGGCAGTGAGTAATTCTGCTTTGTCAAATGATCTTGCCCAAAGGGATCCCATCTAGAAGCCTGAAGCTAGACAGGATTCTTACATCATAGCTATTTTTAAGGAGCAGCCAAAGGTCACTGGGCAGAATCTTTCCAGCTCTAGCCTCAAAGGTCTAGAAAATAACAGGTCTTCCCAGGGCTCACCTCCAAAACCCTTAACAGAATCCAACTCTCTTCGAGGATAATCAGCTTTTCCTTTAAAAAGCCATTTTGTTACCATGTAATATACAATATGGCCAAAGGATCTTACCTGAGGCTTGCCTGCATCATGTCACTTATTTGAATATGCCCAATTTATGAGAAACTTGAGAGGTAGAAAAGACGCTTTGAAATGTGGGGAGATTTTAATTCGAGCAAATGCTGCTCAGTCATAAGAGTTAAATAGGAAAAAGCACAGCTTCAGAGAAAGCAAACCACCTATTCACCTTCTGCACAGGCCAAGCAACACCTTGTCTAAGGGTGGGCAGTTGTAGAAAGACCTCACACCTCATTGTATCAATTAAGAGCATTCTTAGCAGAGGCTGCAGCATTAACAAGGGTATCAGAGTGTGAAACAGCCTTCCAGTGCTGGAAGCTTCCAGCCACCTCCAGGAGCCAGAGCTCACGGCCTACAACATGTGTGTGAGGCAGGCATTGAAGAGCGGAAAGTGGGCTTTGGACCTGTGATGTCCCACAGGACAGATAATAGCTACATGCCCCTCTTCACATTTAAATTGATTAAACTTAAATGAAGTTAAAAATTGAGTTCCTCAGTTGCCCTAGCCACATTTCAAATGCAATAGTCACATGTGGCTAGAGACTTGCTAGACTCAGTAAAGCAGATACACACTATTCCCATCAACGCAAACAGTTCTATTGGGCACCAACACTTTGGACAAATGGCTTTTGAAAAGTTTTAAGCAGCTTTATTGAAGTGTCACGGACAGACAATAAACCACACACATTTAAAGTATGACTTGATATGCTATGACACATGGATATTCCTATGAAGCTATCACCAAAATCCAGACTGGGAAAGTACCCTCTCACCCCAAGAGGATGTTTTCTTGTGCCCCTTTTGCAACCCCAGCTCCTTACCCCCAAGTCTCTGGCAACCCCTGATCTGCTTCTTTGCCAGAGAACACTGCACTTTCCGGAATTTTATATACGGTATCTGGAATCATCCCGCATGTACGCCTTTTCATCTGGCTTCTTGCATCATGATTTTGGGACTGCGCATGACTGTGCGATTCATTCATGTAGTTGCGTGTACCAGTAGTTCACTTCTTTTTCTTGGCCAGCACTGTTCCATCATATGGCTACACTGCCGTCTAGCCAGACACCTGCTGATGGACATTTGAGTTGTTTCCAGTTTGGGGGATACTACGGATACCACAAATAAAGATGCCATGATCATTTGTGGGATGGAGACTCTTTCAAATAGTGTCAGAAAGGCCTTTTTATAAGGTGGTCTTGGAGCAGAGCGCAAAGGAGGCGGGGCAGAGAGCCACATGAGGACCTGGGGGAAGTGCGCTCTGGGCCAACGGGACTCTAACACAAAGGTCCTGGGGCAGGAGTATGACTGGCAGGTTCAAAGGACAGCTCTCTGTTCTTTCTAAAGGCCGCTTATCTGAAAGAACGGGTATCCAGGCAGAAAGTATTTTTGAGAAGCACAAGGTACTGACTAAAATGGCCTGAATAAACCACCAGATGACACAGGGCCCTTTAATCCCATTCAACCCTTGCAATTACTCTGAGAAGTATGTGCCGTGACCCCCATTTTGCAGGTATGGCAACAGAGGCTTGAGTCATCCACGTTGCCTCCAAATCACACAACTATTAGCAGCGGAGTTGGCTAGAACAGTGAAGCCAGAGCTCTTCCTCTCAGCTCACTATTAAAGACGGCTGGACTGAAACTCCTGCTGGCACAGGGCAAGATGGTTTACACCTGCCAGGCCAGGCTAAGCTAAGCTGAGGCTGGGCACATGCTGCCATCCTAGATGCTGTCTCCATCGAAAAGCCCTCCTGTTCCCTTTTACACAGAGCAGCCCGTCAGGTACATACAAGGAAACTCTAAACAGGAAAATCACTGATGTGGTTTGGGTCTGTGTCCCCGCTCAAACCTCATGTCCAATTGCAGTCCCCAGTGTTGGAGCTGGGGCCTGGTGGGAGATGACTCAATCACGGGGGTGAAGTTCTCACGACTGGTTTGGCATCATGCCCCTTGGTACTGTGTAGCAAGTGAGTTTAAAAGTGTGTGGCACCTCCCGCCTCATTCTTGCCCCTGCCCACGGCCATGCGAAGTGCTGGCTCCCCCTTCACCTTCTGCCATGATTGTAAGTTTCCTGAGGCCTCCCCAGAAGCCGAGCAGAGCAGATGCTGCCATGCTTCCTCTACAGCCTGTGGAACCGTAAGCCAATTAAACATATGTTATATATGTGTGTGTTATATATGTGTTATATATATGTTACCCAGTCTCAGATATGTCTTTATAGCAGTGCAAGAACAGACTAATACAATCATCTAGGCCACTTTTGTTTTTGGTGTCAGTGAACAGATCCCCTGGGCCACAGAATTGCCTTGAGGTCTATCATACACACATGCATGCACACGTACACATATGCATGCACACAGACAAGCACACGTATGCACACACTCCCGTCTATGCACTCTCACACAGGGCCCTCCTGAACAGATGCGCCCAGCCCGTCCCTGGCAGCACAGTCGCTGTTTAATTAAAAAGGAGAAGGGGGAGCCCATGCTGATCCTAAGTGTTTAACACAAACTGAAAGATCAAAACCAGCCAGCTGCCAAAAACACATTGGCAACTTTCACACCAGAACAAGGAGGAAAATCGCTGACCTGGTTTCTGCTCTTAATGCTGCTTCTCTGGCAGTCAACAGCTCTGATCTTTCAGGCTCTAAGTGGAGAGAAAACTGGGCCCTCTGCCCCCTTCTCCACTAGAATAAAGGATAAGCTTGGACATGTCAGTCAGCCACCAACAACCACACTGACACCAGCTGAAGGCCGGTTCTGGGAGCCGGAGGGCAGCACTGGAGAACCCAGGACTCAGGCACCCAAAACTACTTCTAAAACCGGGTGATGGTAAAACATTTGCTGAAGCCATCAACCAGAAATGAAAGTACTTTTTCAAATGTATTACCTCCAAGAATCCAGGTTTAGGAAGTAGCTCTGACCTCCACAGGACCTGGGGCACCTGAAGTCTCCATCTCGCCAAGGGTGAGAGTCGGAAGCACTGGACCCAGGCTGTCCTTGGGGCAGTGGTTCTCAGTGTGGCTCCTGACCAGCAAGGCCAGCGTGACTAGGAACAGGAAATGCAAAACCCTGGGCCCTATCCCAGACCTGCGGAATCAGAAACTCTAGGGGAAGTCCAACAGGTGTGGTCTAACAAGCCACGCAGGCGATGCTGATGCACTCCAGCTGGAGAGCCACAACCCTGCAGGTGAGGTGTGGAGGCTGGGGCTGCGCATTTCTAACAATTCCGGTGCTGCTGGTGCAGCTGGCCCAGGGGCTGCACTTGGAGGACCTCTGCTCCAGGGCAGTGCTGCTCAAGCTTGACTGCCTGCTATTGCCTGGGGCTCCTACACACTAAGATTCTGGCTTTGCAGGCCTCCGAGAGGCTGGAATTCTAAGAAGCCCCAGGCGATTCCAGTGATGCTCTGTGGATGTCCGGCCAGGGCCCCTGGGGCACCAATGGTACAAACCCTGCCCACATGCCTTCTAAGCTGGAACCTGGAGTATATGGGCACTGATATGGGGTGCCAGGCTTCAGATTTTAAGCAATGATTACCAAACGGCTGAAAGTTCCCAAAGAAGGAGGAATGCAAACAAGCACATGCTGAATTTCTATCAATTCGCTGACAATTCCCTCAGCGAGCCAGGAGCAGAGGCTTGACTCCTGGCTGGGCTCATCAACCCGAGGACAAAGGGGCACAGGATCTCCACAGCTCACAGCCCCCCATTTTCCTTCTCATCAACCTTGAGCTTCCAGCTCCTTCCCTGGGGCCCAGAAACAGGCTCAAGCCCCTCTCACCCTAGGAACCCTTCCCACCTGCTTTCCTCTTCCGTTATCAACCCTTCTTAGAACAGTGAACACCTGTGGTCCCTATGCCTCCACCTGCAGCAGCCGCTCTTCTGCCTTTAAGAAAGTCTGGGAAACGTCCCTGAGGCCCCTCGCAGGCACCCAAGCCGACACGGCTGCTCTTCTGCATCCCTGCTGCGGATGTGGCTCCCCGACCTCCTTCACTCACAACCCCCACTACTACAGCCCTCCCACCCGGTATCTCTATCCCCTACAGCCCCACCAGGCCATATCTCCACCCCCAGTACTACAACTCTCCACGTGGTATATACACCCTCCTGCAGCGCTTCCACTCCCTCTCTACACCCCTAGAGCCCCTCCACCCCATGTCTACACCCCCACTACGCCAGCCCCTCCACCAATATATACACCCCTCACAGCCCCTACCCCCATAACCCCACCCCCTACAGCCTCTCTACCTCATATCGATACTCTCCCACAGCCCCTCCATCCCATATCTACCACCCCACTACTACAGCCTCTACACCAATATCTATACCCCACTACTACAGCCCCTCCACCAATATCTGTACCCCACTATTACAGCCCCTCCACCAATATCTATACCCCACTACTCCAGCCTGTCAACCAATATCTATACCCCACTACTACAGCCTCTACACCAATATCTATACCCCACTATTACAGCCCCTCCACCAATATCTATACGTCACTACTCCAGCCCCTCCAATATCTATACCTCACTACTACAGCCCCTCCACCAATATCTATACCCCACTACTACAGCCTCTCCACCAATATCTATACCCCACTACTACAGCCTCTCCACCAATATCTATACCCCACTATTACAGCCCCTCCACCAATATGTATACCCCACTACTCCAGCCTGTCCACCAATATCTATACCTCACTACTCCAGACCCTCCAATATCTATACCTCACTACTACAGCCCCTCCACCAATATCTGTACCCCACTATTACAGCCCCTCCACCAATATCTATACCCCACTACTACAGCCTCTCCACCAATATCTATACCCCACTACTACAGCCTCTACACCAATATCTATACCCCACTACTACAGCCTCTCCACCAATATCTATACCCCACTATTACAGCCCCTCCACCAATATCTATACCTCACTGCTCCAGCCCCTCCAATATCTATACCCCACTACTACAGCCCCTCCACCAACATCTATACCCCACTACTACAGCCTCTACACCAACATCTATACCCCACTATTACAGCCCCTCCACCAATATGTATACCCCACTACTGCAGCCTGTCAACCAATATCTATACCTCACTACTCCAGACCCTCCAATATCTATACCTCACTACTCCAGCCCCTCCACCAATATCTATACCCCACTATTACAACCCCCTCCACCAATATCTGTACCCCACTATTACAGCCCCTCACCAGTATCTATACCCCACTATTACGGCCCCTCCACCAATATCTATACCTCACTACACTAGCCCCTCCACCAATATCTTTACCCCACTACTCCAGCTTGTCCACCAATATCTATACCCCACTATTACAACCCCCTCCGCCAATATCTATACCTCACTACTCCAGCCTCTCCACTAACATCTACACCCCACTACTCCAGCCTGTCCACCAATATCTATACCCCACTATTACAACCTCCTCCACCAATATCTACACCCCACTCGTCCAGCCCCTCCACCAATATCTATACCTCACTACTCCAGCCCCTCCACCAATATCTATACCCCACTATTACAACCCCCTCCACCAATACCTATACCCCACTAGTCCAGCCCCTCCACCAATATCTATACCCCACTATTACACCCCCTCCACCAATATCTATACCTCAATACTACAACCCCTCCACCAATATCTATACTCCACTACTCCAGCCTCTCCACCAATATCTATACTCCCAAGACTACAGCCTCTCCACCCTGTATCTACACCCCCACAACTGCAGCCCTCCCACCTATGTACATCCCCCTACAGCCCTCCCACCTGTATCTACACCCCCCCTACAGCCCCTCCACCGCATATCTACACCCCCTACAGCCCTTCCACCCCCTATCTACATCCCCACTAGAGCCATTCCACACAGTACCTTGTAGATTTGGCAAACAATTTTTTTCTAAGTTTGAGGTCACCTACATCGTGGCAGTTGTCCCTTTAATAGCCAGCAATTAAGAAAACACACAATGACAAAAACAAAAACAAACCCTGTTTTAGGTTCATTAATACTTTCAAACAGAAACAGCATGTCCTACACACATTTGACAATTGTGAAGAAACTGATTTCTAAACCTTGCAAGCAGGCTTGTGTGCAGATGGACAAGTGCCATACTGCAGTGCCCCTCCACCCTCAGGGATCCAGGGAAGCAGGGACCCAGGGCTCAGGGCGGGGAGTCACTGCTCCCTGCTTCCAATGCTGTACCCTCAGGGCTCCGCAGGCTGCCAGTGGCTGTCCCGGCACATGTCTTCTAATAAAAGCATCTGTGTCCCCTGCCCAGGCAGGAGTTGCCAGAGGTCACCGCCCCATACAGCACCAGCGCATGGATAGCACCCAGCAGGTGCCCAGTCCTCGTCTCTGTGAGTTCTCCCTCCCACGCCCAAGGCCTCACCATGCTATCTTTGCCCAATATGGCTTCTCCCACTTTCTCTGTATGGGGGTTACCGTATCACAGCATTCCCTCCCAACCCCAAAAAGAAACAGTATCCAAGTCCAATGGAAATCTATTATGTGGCTATGCCACAACCAAAATGTAGATATCTGACACCAGCCTTATTTGTTCATTGTCTCGATCAAACAATGTGCTTTTGTTTTTGGTTAGAGATTTGTGAGTATAGAACATAGCTTAGCGTTGAAGTCTTTTGGGTCTTAGATAAGGAATTTCCAACTATAAATGAGGCCATGCCAAAATCTAAATGGCAGAGGTTTCTAGGGGCCCAAAGCGACTGTCAGCAAGTCCATCAAGGTACTCTCTCTCCCCTCCTCACTCAAAGCCCTAGCCCTCAAGCCCTCCTCAAGCGAAGCCTATGGACTCCTAATTTGCACCCAAGTCTAACAAGCCAAGTCACCTTGCTCTTCAGCTCGCAGCATCGTGAAACAGAGACCTTAGAGGCACCCAAGCACTGACAGCAGGAAAAAGGGCAACCAATAGAAAAAGTGTCAGAATATTAAAAAGCAAATGTCAGAAACGGACACCTAATAATAGTCCAGGACTAATCCAAGGGCGGATATTCCCACGTACCCCAAGCCACTGGGGATGTCTCTAGATTTCAGCATAGTTCATTAGTTTATGTCTAAAACAGTGACTTAAATCTTCCTCCCAAAAAGATGATACTATGATCATTGCTCTTGTTTAATTAAAAAACAAAGTAAGACATTTAAGAATCTAAGACATTTGCAATACAAGAAGTTAGGAGAAAGTCTATGGAAGTACTGAGGGTGAGGACCTCTGGTAGCAAGATGTCTATATTGAGTGACGAGACAAGCCTTACTAATATGGACAATCAGCTCACACTTAACCTAAGCCTGACAGCACTGGGCAGAGTCCTGCTGTACTAGTACCAATGCAGCCAAGCCAGGATGCCCCTCTGCCAGGTGCAGCACATATGAGAAAGCCACAAACTACTGCTTGTCCCAACAGAACCTTACTACCTCCCTAGTAAGGTTAGCTATAATGTCTTCTGACCAGGCGTGGTGGCTCACACCTGTAATCCCAGTACTTTGGTATTACAGGTGGTGGCTCACACCTGTAATCCCAGTACTTTGGGAGACCCAGGCGGGTGGATCACTTGAGGTCAGGAGTTCGAGACCAGCCTGGCCAACATGGAGAAACCCCGTCTGTACTAAAAATACAAAACTTAGCTGGGTGTGGTGGCTCGCGCCTATAATCCCAGCTACTTGGGAGGCTGAGGCACAAGAATAGCTGGAACCCGGGAGGCGGAGGCTGCAGTGAGCCAAGATCGTGCCACTGCACTCTAGCTTGGGCGACACAGTGAGACTCTGTTTCAAACAAACAAACAAAAAAAGTTGGCCAGGCATGGTGGCTCATGCCTGCAATCCTAGCACTTTGGGAGGCCGAGGTGGGCAGATCACGAGGTCAGGAATTCAAGACCAGCCTGGCCAATACAGTCAAACTCCGTCTCTGCTAAAAATATAAAAATTAGCTGGGCATGGTGGCACGTGCCTGTAGTCCCAGCTACTCGGGAGGCTGAGGCAGAAGGATCGCTTGAACGCGAGAGGCAGAGGCTGCAGTGAGCCAAGACTGCACCACTGCGCTCCAGCCTGGGCGACAGAGCGAGACTCCGTCTCAAAAAAAAAAAAAAAAAAAAAGGCTTCTAACTCACATCATCTGTGTTTGGGAAAAAAAAAAAAAAAAAGGCCGGGCGCGGTGGCTCACGCCTGTAATCCCTGCACTTTGGGAGGCCAAGGCGGGTGGATCACGAGGTCAGGAGATCGAGACCATCCTGGCTAACGTGGTGAAACCCCATCTCTACTAAAAATACCAAAAACTAGCCGGGCATGGCGGTGGGCACCTGTAGTCCCAGCTACATGTGAGGCTGAGGCAGGAGAATGGCATGAACCTGGGAGGCAGAGCTTGCAGAGAGCTGAGATTGTGCCACTGCACTCCAGCCTGGACAACAGAACGAGACTCCGTCTCAAAAAAAAAAAAAAAAAAAAAGATGATGGATACACACGTTGCTTGGTAGAGCTTTCCATTTCCTCTATCAACATGGGTGAGGGAAAACTCCTTAGCCCAGGGTCACCTCAGATCTCATGCTGCAACTCTGTCCTCTCCTCAGCACCCATTGGCTCCTGCTTTCAATGGATGCTGATCTTCATGTGGAGCGGGTTCTGCAGACCGTGAGGACATCTTTCACTAACAATCCTCTAACACTGGAGACAGAGACTACATATCTGTAACAAACCTTTCAGAAACCTGCCCTGAAATGCAGCCTTTCATTAGAAAGCCACTTCTCAGCACAGAGGTGGCCCTTGGAGTCTTTCCAGGATTCTCACATCCATTGGGGAAGAGGAAAAGAACCCCTGAAACTAGGCTGACTTCATAAGCACTTTAATTTCACACATGTCACATTTCTGGAGCCGTCTGGTTTTCCCTTTCATCCTGCATCACCGCAGAGAAAATTCACAGACTTCTGCAGGTGAGAATCTCACCCATTAGTAAGAAAATCTTGCTTTATATTAAGCTGGCATTTCTCTGGAGATCTTCCAACTGCTTTATAAACATTCTTTCACGCCTCCAAGCAGGTAGGTGGTAATTGTTATTCTTTCTGGACAAGAGGTAGCACTGTGAGTCTTAGCCAGACAGAACTGAAATGTTTTAAATGCCCGAGGGAAAGCAAAAGCAAGGCTTGGAAGATATGAGATAAGCCAGATGTGACCAAAAACAGGAAGAAGAATGGTGCACAAAATTCCAAAAAAGGAGACTTCCGCCATAATCCGCTCCCCATTTGCCCAGCTTTGCAGGAGCCGCCACTGGGCCTTCCTCTGGCTGTGCAGCTTCCACACCGGCGCTGGCCTGGAAAACCAGGCATGGTGAGTGCTAATTTTGGCTCATGTAAGAAATTTTCTCTCTCTTTGATCTTTGCCAGGAAATAGGATCAACAATCCGACTTCCATAAAGTGCAAGTTGAAACTTGAACCCTTATGATCAGTCAAGAAGGTGACAAGAGGCCATGGTTCCTTTAAATGTCACAATGACAACAACTTGGGTTTGGAGTGTTAATACCTGGGTTTGAATCCCAACTCTGTCCCTCACTAGCTAAGGGCCCTGTAAGTGACTGTGTGCCTTAAGAGGATGGTGATACAAACTATCCTGCACAGCTGCCAAGAGGAATAAATGAAACAGAGTATCCTTCATGCATAGCCCAGTGATTGCTACACCGGTGGGTGCTCATCAAATCACTGCCACAGATACCTTTATTGATACCTTTACTCTCTGTAGAAAGCTGGACAGCAACTAGGACCTGCAGTGATATGTGAAGTATTAAAAACTGGCAAAGCCACAGGGTGGTGAGCAATGTACCAGCTGTAACATGCAGGCCCTGCTCTGCTTTCTGCTTTTGCAGGAAATTTTATAAAGGAGAAGGAGGGATTCCTTTTATTTAACTATGCAGCTGCCCTTTTGTTAACTGAGACAAGTTAGTTTCGTCCGGATTCCATGGTGTGGAGTGCTCCAAGTGGGCCTGCCTAGGCAAGGACTCTGAGCCTCCCAAGAGAGATATTAGCTGCTGCTTCTTTTGTTTTTGAGACAGGGTCTCACTCTCTGTCGCCCAGGTGGAGTACAGGGGCGTGATGTCAGCTCACTGCAATCTCCGCTTCCTGGGCTTAAGCAATTCTTCAGCCTCAGCCTCCCGAGTAGCAGGGACTACAGCCGTGAGCCACCACGCCTGGCTAAGTTTTGTATTTTTTTGTAGAAACAGGGGTTCCCCATGTTGCCCAGGCTGGTCTTGAACTCCTGGGTTCAAAGCAACCCGCCCACCTTGGCCTCCCAAAGTGCTGGGATGACACATGTGAGCCACTGTGCCGGGCCAGATATTAGCTCTTCAAACCATTCAGGGCCTCAGTTATCTAATCTGTAAAGTGGGGATGACATTGACTGACCTTATGGGATTGTCATAAGAATTAAGTAAGCTATCCTGTGTAAGAGTCACCGGCTGGCTATAATCTATCCACACAATCAGGTATGGTATTATTATCTCCATGTTACAGCTGAGACAATCCAGGTCTAGATATCAGCTGAATAAAGGTAAAAGGGCAGTCTGGGAGTGAGAAGCAGAACCCGGGCCTCCACCCGTCTCCTACGTCGTCAGCCGTCCTGGGCTGGCTGCTTTCTAGGCCCCCTGCTTGGCAGCCCCGCTGGGACTTCCCTTCGCCATGATCCTCTTGGAATTCCCTTCCACTGCTTGCTTTCCTGTGTTGGGTCCTGTTTCCTGACTCTCAATTTCTTCTTTCTTGGCTTTTCCCTTCATTTTACTAAAACACATCCTTTAGGAGTTTCAGAGAAATGACACATGGGAGCCAAAGTTTTTAAGCCTTGCATGTCTGAAAATATCTTTAATTCTACTCTCGTCTTTGATTGGCTGGGCATCATTCCAGGCTGAGTTAGTTTCCTCACGATTTTAATGGCATTGCTCCATGCCATAACGTTTCCAGTGCTGCTGCTGAGAAGTTCACCACCATTCTGATTCTGAATCCTCCGGCTGCTGTCTGGAAGCTTTTAAGATCTTTTGCAAGTTCACACAGGGATGCCTCAGGGTAGGTCTTTTCCCTTATTGCGCTGGGTACTTGTGAGCCTCTCAACTTGGAGACTCTTCCGTTCCATTTTTAGAAATTGCCTTTAGATTTGTTGCATTGATGACAACCTTCTCTCTTTCTAAAACACCTGCCAGTTGGATGCTGGGCCTTGAGAATTAATCCTCGTCTTTTATCTATTTCCCACTTTTTGGTCTTTTTGATCTATTTTCTGAGAGATTTCCTCTACTCCAGCCCTTCCTGTTGGATTTTTAATGTTATATTTTCTTACCATAGTTGTGTCCCTGGCCTTCTTTCATAGCATGCTGCATCCCAGTCTTCCCGTACGTTCATTTTTCTGCTATTTCTGGTCTCCCTCATGCTGGAGGCTGCTCATCTGTACTGAAGTGTGAGGCACCAGGAAGCTAACAGGCAGCTCTGTGTGCATGGAAAGGGCTTATCCACCCAGGTGCGGGGAGAGCAGGCAGCCAACTGACTTTTCTACCAGGAGACGCCCTCCATGGCAGCATCTACGGATCTTTACCCTGGGCCCATGCAGTTTCTCCAGTTTAAAAAAAATCTCCACTCTTTCCCGACCTGGTGATGAGACCCCACCATGCATGCCTGCCAGTGTCCAGGGCATGGGGCTGAGGCAGGGCGAGGGCTCCACTGCTGAGCAGGTGGGCCGCCACTCTAGGATAAGGATGAAGGGGGATGAGCTTGACCAAAGCCCCAGGGGATTTCAAATTCCTCTAAGTGAAAAGCTCGAGCAGAGAAACAGTTTTTTACTTTTACCATTTCCTACAGAAATGTTCATAAGTGAAGACGGGGAGAAAGAGCAAGGGCCCGAGTGCTCCTGCTCTTCCCCTTCCCATTAGGAACTCACATGTGATGCTCCCTCATTTCTCCCCTTCTAAGGCCGGTCTCCCAAAACCACTGTCATCACCATCTCAGGAATGAGCTATGTTTTTCACTTGTTATGAGCTTCCTAACAGAGGACACGAAAAAGATGCTGTTGTGTGTGGCCTACAGAGAAAGCATTACTGAGTTCTTGACCTGGCCTTCCCTGACCTTTAGGAGAAACTGGAGAAGAAAAACAGGAAAGAAAAGCTGGAGCGATCCCAGGGTCCATTCCACCCGGGCAGGGTCCCAAACAGCCCTCTTGGGCTGCCCACTTCTTCAAAATGTTGTCCCCATCACGAGGATAGCACAGAGCTGCCAGGCACAAGAAAGGCGCAATTCACCCACAGCACCAAGCAGCAGCCACAGGCAGCAGGCACCAGCACCGCATTCCCACGGCTGAAAACCGAGGCATTGCTCTCAGTCCTGCTTTTTTTTAGGTTCTACACTTGGGAGCACAAAAGGCCTTTAAATATTCATGGTAATTTCTGTGCTTTGATTACAGGTTACCTTGCTGTGTAAGATGGGCCTGAAACATATTTATTAAATATTATAAGCTTAAATGCCTACTATAATTACCAGAAGGAGAGTAGTCTACACAGTTTAGAAACTGTTAAAAATTCAAGTCAGAGGCCCTTAAGAAGACGAATGCATTTACCCATTTTGTCCCATAGCTGTGTACATTTAAATTGCAGAGCTGAATTTTAAGTCTTGTTAAAGTAAAAATTACAATTTTAAACTTTATTCCAAACTGACCCAATGTGTATAAAAACATAATTCTTTTGGGTACCCAAGGAACTATGAAATGCATTCCTAGTTTATCAAACAAACCATAACTATCCTCTACTGAGCCACTTTCCCAACTGAAGTAACCGCAGCATTTCATACACAGAGCTGCTTACCAGGTTTTTGAAAAGTGCTGTCAACTCCTTTGTAAACACTGAGAACTTCAGGAACGCACTTCCTAAATCTGGGTCATCTCTGCATACACAGTTGCCGCCAAACTTCTCCAGAGCCTGGGTGTACTGCTCTTCATTTTCCACGTGAGCTGCAACAGAATGACGGAGGTGCTGTGAGTCTCAGGCATGCCACCCTCACTCCCCACCAGGTTCTTCTCGGTTGTGAATAACACTGAACACATCAGCAGAAGAAAAATCTGAGAAAAGTCAAGCTGCACCAGGAACAGAAATAGCTTCGTTATCCCAACAACAACCCGTGGTGCCGGCAACAGATCCCAAAGAACAAGTGTGGTATGCAAGAGGGGAAGCCCTTGCCCACGTCCAGTGGTCCTCAGCATATCAGATGAGATGGCCAAGGACACACAACATTTCCACCTCTCCGAGGACTCTTCCTTCACCAAATGATGGCACAACTCACCAGACTCAGCCCCCTCCCAGAAACTCAACCACAGATGCCCCATTCCTCTCTAGCCTGCAGCCCAGGACTCTGATTCAGAGCCCCACACAGCAGCTCCTTCTCCTTTTAATACAGCAACAGCAGTGGTCTTTGCAGCTCCAGTGCCTCTGCTCAGGATGCAGCCTCTACCCAGGGGCCCTTCCCTCCCAAACTCCTCTGCATCCTACAGACTCATGCTTCCTCCAGGAAGCCTTCCATGACTCTGCCCTACACCCTGGGTATTTCATTGGCACCTCTCCTATCCTTGCACTCAGCATGTTATATTGAAATAGTCTGGCAAATGTGTTCCCCATACATCGGATGTGCTTAGAGTTGACAGACTAAGTTGTATTCATCTTCGACGAAGTCGTGTGCCTGAAATATTAGACAACACACATGTTGTTTGAGCAGAAAAAACATACCAGGTGCTTACATCTCATGGCATTTTACTATCATTAGGCCTCAAAGTAGCACCTGAAAGAGTGAAAATCTGGACTCTGGGTCTCTGGCACAGTGGTTCTCAATCCCTGCTGGACGCCAAATGCATGCATGGATTTTCACCAAACTCTAGACACCACCGTCCCATCTCAGACCTCTGATTTAAACCGTGGGTAGGAATGGGGGAGGGGACACAGGTGATTCTGGTAAATTAATGTGGTTGAATATAATTCCCTCACTTCTAGGTCAGGCACTTTCAAAGGAAACCAGCCAGTCTATAATAAAACAACTTCTATCTGCATGGCTACCTAATTTCTATGTTTTCATCAGTTCAACTGGAAATATAACACAACTATTTACAGGCACAACAGGGCAGCCAGACCTGCGGTGTGAACCTGGATGTGAACTCCACCAGAGACAGCCTTAGTGCTGCAGCTCCTCCACCAAGGGACAGATCCTGAAAGCCCCTCTGTAGCTCCCGAATTCCTTCTCGGGGAAATGAGACCACTGTCAGCTAACGCCAATGGCTAGGCTGGGCCTGACAATGTGGGAAAACGAGGGAACATTTGTTCCTGGAGGGCAGTCCTGGACCCTGAGCCAATCCCTATGACCTATGAATGGTCTGCTCACCCATCCTATGGGGGAAGCACCATGTCTTTGACCTCCAGTGGCATTTGGGGGACTAGAGGGTTCTAATGGGGATCTAGCAGACACAAAAGAAAACTCACTTCACTGTTTGAGTCCTTTTTCTTTTTTAACATTCCAGTAAAGAGCCTGAGAGTTCTAGATAAATTAAATGAATTTCTGAGACCAGATTCAGCAAACAAATTCTGACAGAAACATACATGTGCACACACACACACCCGCAAACGCAGCTCCTCAGGAGCCCTCAGAAGATCTAGGTTCCAGTCCTATGTCCACCTGTAAATATCTGTATGACCTTGGTAAGTCACAGTGACGCTGGGCCTGCGGCGTCAGCTACATAAAGGATAAAAACCTGCTGGGAGATGCTCTCAAGGTCAGAGGAAGAATGAAAGAATCAGGTAAAGAGACTCAGTTTACCACACTTGGCGCATAACCAATAACACTAACAAAAGTAACAGCAGCAACAGGCGTCACTTATTCAAAGCACAAACTTCACATATATTTTTTCTAAACTTCGTAAGACATGTATTATTTCTCATAACACTATTAGGCAATTAGGGCTCAAAGAGATCAAATAATTCATCCAAGGAAACACAGAAAGTGGCAGAGCTGGGATTCAAACCCAAATTTTCTGATTCCAAAGTCCACTCTCCTACTCTACTACACGATGTTTGTTTTCATCGTTAAAAAGTTTACCTTGTCAAACAAAAGTATCTAATTTTTAGATTTTTAAAATCCAGTTTCACAGATGGATCAATAATTCCTTCTGTTTTACTCTATTTATAATTCTAGAGTGTGGTTAACAGTGAAGGATAGGTCCTTTCAAACCACATACTATTTTTAAACTATCTCAAAATTAGCGGTCAAGACATGGGCAGTTTAGTTTCATTGGGTTCAGGAAGGGGGCTGGTGGCCACAGGCAGGCATCTGTCACTACACACTGTCTACTGCATGACAGAAACAGGAACGCAACCTCCATGGTCCTGCTTACTCCCTCGCTCGCTGCTTTCTGAGCCATGGGTCTTTCAAGAGATGACAAAGGAGGGGAGCTGGGCCGTGGTGTCCTCCTTCACGGTGCTGGGCAATGAATGCAAAGCCCAGCAGGAGAGAAGCTGAAGACTCTATGCAGCCTCGTGGTGTCCCTCAAACCAAGAGGAGGACTGGACCTCAGTGTTGCTCTAAGTGAACACCCAAAGGGAAGGGACTTCGTATAAAGGTCAACGCCTACTAGGTGGCTTGTAAGTCTTTTGTTCAGTTTAACCTGAGCACTAAGAGTTGGCTATTATTATCCCTATTTTCTTCTGAATCAAGTGCAGTTCAGAGAGTCATGTCACCTGCCCCAGACCATAGAGTTGGTAGGAGGATCGGTGCACTTTATGGACCACGCAGGCTGCCTCCAGCCCTTGGTCCTCCAGCCCTTGGTAGGAGAGAGGAGCCGGCCTTCTCACTGATAGTAGACTTTATGTTCCAGCACCAAGAAATACAAAAGCACTCCTTATCATCCCTCCTTCTGGGCTCCTCAACTGACTACCTGGTGTAGGTTAAGTTTTTTTCTTTTTAAAAAAATTAGTGGCCGGACACGGTGGCTCACACCTGTAATCCCAGCACTTTGGGAGGCCGAGACAGGTGCATCACCTGAGGTCTGGAGTTTGAGACCAGCCTGGCCAACATGATGAAACGCTGTCTCTACTAAAAATACAAAAATTAGCCAGGCATGGTGGCACATGCCTGTAATTCCAGCTACTCGGGAGGCTGAGGCAGGAGAATCACTTGAACCTAGAAAGCGGAGGTTGCAGTGGGCAGAGATCGCACCACTGCACTCTAGCCTGGGCAAAAGAGCAAGACTCTATTCTCAAAAAAAAAAAAAAAAAAATTCTTGTCCTTATACATCTTCTAAACGATGTATTGATCCCCAGCAACCCCAAGGTGATCAATTAGTTCTTTGGCTCATCATCACCATCATCATCTCATGGATTTACGTTTACAGTGCTTTCATCCACTGCAATCAGCACTGTCTTCTGATGCTCACACTGTACCAGTTGAGGTCAGTGGGAATCTTTGTGCACTGGCCTAGTTGGGGATTTTTAGATGTATTTTTCATCCTGCAAATGAACTTGAAGCTTCCTGCTGAAGCCCATAAGCCCCGTGTCTTCCTCTAACACCTAGCACGGTGCCCACCACGACAACAGCCATCCCTCCATGATTAACATGGCACTGACTGACCCACTGCTGCAGATCACCCCAAGGTGAAGATTTTCCTACTAGAGAACAGAAAATCATTCAGTGCCTTTGTTTTTCTTTTGCCAAAAACAACCTTAAAACAGGAACCTAAAATAAATAGCTTGGGAATAAAGTTTCTGGAAAGATCTCAAACTGGGTCTATCAGCTTTTATTTACAGAATTGTGAAAGCTGTTCTTCTAAAAAGAGCTCACACTCTCACCTCCCCCTTGTTCAAATGTATCTTAAACTCTAATTCTCATTAATGATCCAGATCCAATAATCACTGACCTGGGAGGGACTTTGGAAAATAAGAATCTGAGTCACAGAGACCATGCTAGGACAAGACTTCGTTTCTTCTCAATTCTAAGCCATCACCCCTTTATCTCCCCCACCTCACTGCACGAAACCCATCAATCCCTGCAAAAGGATGAACTGAGAGACTCTGGCAGAGAAATCGATCATGAAGCCAGCATGCATGTGTACATACAGAGTTTAGAGGCAATGACTAGGTTTTGTTGTGTGCTTTTTAGTTTACTGGATTCTGTTATTTAAAAAAACTGGTATCAAGGAGAAGGCCCAGTGCAAATTGTTTCAGCAAAAATTGCTGGATACAAAAAGGACAAGAATGGCTCCTTTGCGCCCCCTCTACGGGCCACACATGTAGATACGGCTCTTGACAGGTCAGTGTGGCCCACAGCACAGTGAGGAAGCAAGCCACCAACACAGCACTGCCAGAGGATGGGCGTCCCCCAGCCAACTCACCTTCAATCACCTCCTTTTTCATCTCAAACATAAAACTTACTATTTCCAGCCCGGCAACAGGGATGTGACGGTATGCTGGGGTGAGATACAAGGACACATATGCTCATGGCTGGGATGAATGCCTGGGGAAAGATATGTCAGTCTATGCACTGATCACTTACAATGCATCAGGCAATGTGCTAGGCGCTGAGGACTCAGATGGCAAGGAGACATTGAACTGGGGCTCCAAGGACAGGTAAGACTTGTCGAGTAGAGAAGGAGCAGATCACAGAAACAGACAGGCATTAGCCCCAGGGGAATACCAGGGAGTCCTATGTGTTCCCACTGTTAATACTTTCTCTGTTTTTCTTTTGTTTTTGTTTTTGTTTTGAGATAGAATCTCACTCTGTCACCCAGACTAGAGTGCAGTGGTGCAATCTCGGCTCACTGCAACCTCCAACTCCTGGGTTCAAGTGATTCTCCTGCCTCAGCCTCCCGAGTAGCTGAGACTACAGGCGCACACCACCACTTCTGGCTAATTTTTGTATTTTTAGTAGAGATGGGGTTTCACCATATTGGCCAGGCTGGTCTTGAACTCCTGATCTCATGATCCACCCTCCTCAGCCTCCCAAAGCCACCACGCCCAGCCTACTTTCTCTGTTTTAAAGCCCCTGTCTGCATCCAGCTCTCAACTCTCAAAATCGCCACAGGGCAGCACAGGTCTCATTGTCCCCACCTCCTCAGGGCTGCTATACTCACTGCTGAGTCCTTTCATTCCATGGATCCTGAAAGATGACCTAGTCTAAACATGGAAACCAAAGCTCAGAGAGGGTGATGACTTGCTCAAGGTCACACAGTGAGTTTGCAGCAGAGCTGGAACAAGAACTCGGGTTTCCTGACTCTGAGTCCAGTGCTCTTCCTCCCACAGCAAAAACCGTTTCTTCATTTGCTAATGACATTGTCGCTATCTTCAGCTCTTAGCCTAGATAAGAGCTAAGAGCTGAAGACAGCGACAATGTACAACCTTCCAGTCAAGTGCATGTACCATTAACCTGAACACCAAGTGCTGTCACCAGCATAACAGAACGAAGGCAGGGTGCACCAGCCTTATGGCTACCCAGCCCCAGCCTCCTTGCTGACCCAACAAAGACCCTCCAAACCCCTGCTCCAGGCCAGACCACAGGCCACTTGGGAATCAGGCAGAGGGAAAAGCACTTGCTGACACCCCACATTCCAACCTTCCATGCAGACAGCTCGGCGAAGGGAGCGTTTAAGGAGAGACATATGTTCTCTATGGCAGCAGCCTGGTGGAGACTCTCCCTAGACGGATGACATGACGATTACTACTCAAATGTGTGTCACGACACGAATGTTGTGATGTTGTGCACAACTCTGCACAGTGGAGACCATTTCCTCCGGCTGTCGGCTGTACATGCCACCTGTTTCCGACCTCACTTGTGGCGCATGATCTCATGGGAATGCAATTTCTTCAAATCAAACATCATCCCTGTTTCTTAACAGGGTCTCTACTTAGTGGACATCTCGTGAGAGAGAACCATTTTCAGAACTTTATTTCTAGAATCATCCCAACTAAACGGCTGAAAACATATTTTCATTTCCAATTTACTAATGTGTATCATTCTTCTGGATAATCCCACTTCCAGAAATCTATCCTAAGGAAATAATCAAGGTGATCAGAGATGTGTGTACAGAACATTTATAAAGAGTGAAAATTTAAAATGTGTTAAGTTCCAACAATATGAAAATGGTTAAATTAACAGTATTTCTACAAAATGGAATATTATGTTGGCTTTTAAAATCATGATATAGGAATATGGTAGGAGCAGAAAGCCAAGTTTAAAAAAGGGAGGACATAAAATTAGATATTTAGTCTCAATTTTGCAAAAAGTGAAATGTAGAGAGGAGGTTGAAAAGATAATACATCAAAATGCTAACAGTGGTGGGGAAAACTGAGCACTTGCTAGCAGTCAATAAACTGTCATATGCAAGGCTGTTATATACTAGGTCCCAGGCCAAGTGCTTTCTAGATGTTATTTTATTCTCCTCTGAGTGGACAAGGAAACAGACTGTCAGAGTGTGAACAAGCCCAGGATCCTGCAACTTCTAAGAGGCAGAGCTGTGTTCCAAGTCGCAGTGGGCCTCAGACCCAGCGCTCACCTGAGCCTCTGCTGGTTATAAAGATACTGAGATCCTGCCAGGCTCAAGACTTGCTTGCTTTAGTGCTTTTCTGAACTTTCCAAATTTTCTAAACTAAGCTTATCTTAGCTTTATAATAACAACGTAAGGAATAAATAAAACTTTAAAAAGAAATCTGAAGCACCAGCTCTAATGGCTAGATTGTTACAGTGCTCTGTGCCTGTGCCTATTAAGAACATTAGGCCAGGTGCAGTGGCTCACGCCTGTAATCCCAGCACTTTGGGAGGCCGAGATGGGCAGATCTCTTGAGGTCAGGAGTTCAAGACCAGCCTGGCCAACAGGGCGAAACCCAATCTTTAATAAAAATACAAAAATTAGCCAGGAGTGGTGGCAGGTGTCTGTAATCCCAGCTCCTCAGGAGGCTGAGGCATGAGAATCACTTCAACCCAGGAGGCAGAGGTTGCAGTGAGCCGAGATCGTGCCACTGTGCACTCCAGCCTGGGTGACACAGCGAGACTCCATCTCAAAAGAAAATAAATAAATAAATAAATAAATAACATTAGAATATGTCTTTCTCTCCCAAAGCTTTCCCTGGACAAGGTGACGGGAGGGACACAGCCTTCGGAACTGAGTATACCTGTATCATCTTTGACAAGACAGAAGTAGCCACAACCAGAAGGGGTTGAACAAGAATGTCCTCCCTATTCATAACCCCTGAGAGCTCCCGTGCAGGATGAGCAACTGGAAGGATGCCTCTCACCGGCTTCTTCCTGCCACTTCCTCCGCCTTCTCCAACACCCCGGGCTTGTTCCACTTTCAATACCCATTTCCATCATCTTTCCTAGGAAGTCCCTTGGAATGTGATTCCTCAAGAAACAGCCAGTCTTTGTGGATGGTACCCCAGGATGTATCTAGTCTGGTTGTGTTCAGCACAGGCAGCTAGCAATGGAGTTCACTAATCAGGCCAAGGTGTGCGCTATTAAAATACAAAACCTGTTGTCTATGATCATCCCATCCTCTTTGATCCTGCCTTATATTAATGATCCCATCCTTCCAGTGATGTTCAAATGAGTTCAAAGTCTGTGTGAATAACTAAACGTCACCCCAATGACCTCCCTGTGAAGCTCCTACTGCTTGTAGGAGTACACTTGGAAGGCAGGTGAGAGGGTGAAGAGTGGAGACTGGGCTACTGCATATTTTTTTTTATGTTGATGGTTTCTGTCCCTTTAGGCTTTAGAGTACAGAATGTATCCGCATTTACTTTTATTCATTCATTGTGTGCTTCCATTACGGGTCAAGAATATTTCTGGTTACTAAAGAATAAAATCCAATCACACTGAAAGTCTATTCTCCAGCAAGCACTAATGAACACAAAGATTCATCAAACAGAGCCCCTACCCTCAAGAAGCAAGCATCCAATAAGTGAGAAAGACTCAGCCCATCAGTTCAGTGCAGCGACACAAAGGCAAGAAACAAAATGAGCTCTGGGGAATTCAAGGCGCTTGGTGTGTCCAGAGCATGGGGAAGGGCTGGAGAGTCAGGCAGGAGCCAGAGATGAGGAACTTCATCCCAGGTAACGGAGAGCAGCCAAAAGGCTTCTAAGAGATCTGCATTCAAGAAAGATAATAAACCTTGGTACCTGCCAACACACAACTTAGCAAGACAAAGATAAACATGCGAAAACAATCCACTGTGATGTAAATTACACGAGGTGGAAACACAGCACTCTATGGGGAAAGGAGTACATTTTCTGGGGGCTGGTAACAGAAAAGGCTTCTTGGAGCAGATGACATTTAGAGGAATTTCCTCATTGAAAATGTAGTATGGCATGAGATTAAAACTGAGCTACCAGCTGCTTGACTCACCCTAGACTCTCCTTAACCAGAGAGCTGCTTCCCTCCTAGGGGTGCTCTGAGACCAAATCAGGGAAGGAGAAGGGGGTTGGAGGTGGTGGGAAGGGGGTTTCACTAAAAAACTTGCAGGGCTCTCCTTTAGCCTGGAGACAGGCTACCCCAAGGTGTCTGGGGTTCAAAGCCAAGAGGTGAATTCAACATTTGTTGTATGGGGAGTACAAGCTATTAGAAATTTTACTCCCAATTATATTCACATCCTTTAATGGAGGAAGAGTTCATGTTGGCAAAGCAATCTGACTCGCTACATTACAGAATGTGCATTTTGCCAGGGTAAGCAGCTTTCAGCCCTTCATTTTTGCCACGTCATACCCCATGACCCCACGCTCACCACAGTGATGACTTAAAAACACACGCTGCCCCCACCCAACTCCATGGAGGGCACAGCCCCTGGGAAGCAAGCTGACTCCTGTGGTTTCACGAGATCCTGGAGCCTCACCCTCAGGGACAAGCAGCCCTTGGAAAGTACATGGTCTCTAAAGCCTCAGATAGTAGCTACCATGAACACTGTGGAGATGACATACGTGTAGAAATATCTTTCATCCTTACAACTCTGCAGGATTTTACAGATGAGGAAACAGATGAAGTCATCGTGTTGATTTGGTAGAAGATTTAAGCTCAAGGTCTGAGCTTTTTTGCTTGGTAGGTTGGGTTTGCGGACAGGTTTATGGGGGTATGGGCATCCCAAACAGTGTATGCAAAATTATGTAAAGGTACCTTTTCCTGGAGGGATCATCCAAAACAGCCTTCTTATTTTTACTGATGTCTATGATAACCAAAAGATTAAAGAACCACTGATGAAACTGCAGCCCCATGTCTTACAGATGCATGCGGCCAGCAGGTTGGCCCACAGACTGGCTGACTATAAAAGCCAGCCAAATTAAATAGCAGATACCTCTGAACCAAAGTATGATTCATGCCAACACTTGGACGTTAGTTAAGTCACAGACCTCTGTGTTCCTTCAGAGGTACCCTCCTTCCATGACTAATGCAGTGGTCACTGCGGACAGGATTCCACAAGTCACCATCTAAATTCCAATCATTGTTGTTAGCCAGCAGCGGGGAGAAGGCTGGACTCCAGAGTCTCACAACTGGAAGACATCTCCAGGGCCTTCGAGCCCACGTCCTCACCTCCCTCTATAACTTCCTCAGAGACAGAGGCCGTCCACCCGCTGCAGGAACCTTCCAACCACCAGCTCGCCGCTCAGTCTGCTCACCCAGTTATCCTCTCCCTCATATCTGAGTCAAGGCTTGCTCTTGTGAAAGCCTCCTCTAGAGAGGAACAAATACTATGTCTACCTTCCTCAGCCAGAGAAAGCCCTTCATGTACGCCCTCTCCTGCCCCTTCCGAAACCAGGAGCCCCGCGTCCTTCAGATATCCGTCCTACAAGGAGGTTTCTCCATCCCTAAGGTTTTCAGGTTCTTCTTTAAATGCTGCTCTTACAACTAAATAATGAAACAACAACCTTATTTATAAGCACCAAAGACTTCACTGAGGTCATGTGTGGCTCACCTTTGGGGCATGTGCCACGTACTGGCTCACACTGACCCTGTAATCAACCAAAACCACCTGGAATTTTTCAGAAGGACTACGATGGCTCAGCCAGGTGGCACGTAGGGTGTTCCCCACGTTGCTGCTTGTTTTCTCCACCGTGTGCCCCCAGCAACTTCCCGCCTCAGCACCAGGCAGCATGCCGCAGCAGTCAGAAGCAGAGACGGGACGCTCACCTGGTTTTGAATCTCAGCTCCTCCAACTGTTGGCTAGATGACACTGGCAGATCACTACTCAGTGCCTCTGTGAGCTCATCTGTCAATGGACAGGACCCAACTCACAAGGCTGTAAGGATGGAATTCACATAAAGTTTTTATTTAGCTTTATAATACAAATATTCTAACAAATACCTCATGAGTATTTATTACCACTATGCTTCTACCCTCGTTTGTGAATATCAATAAAAATATTCTTTATCATCATTTATCATCTATTCCTTTTTAATCACACACGGTGTACATAAATTTTGCATCCTGAATTTTATTGCTGAAGATTTCATCACAAGCATTTCTCTTCCTGTTGCTGTATAAACATAATTCCAGCAAGCAGCTAAATCCTAATTCAGCTATATATAGGAGGCATCCAATTTCTCACTTTGATAAGCAGTGCAACAACAAAGTGAACATCTTTGTGCATGGATCTCCTTCCACAAAAAGATTGTTATTTTTCTTGATGTGTACCACCAAACTGCTTTCCAGAAACTCTGCGTGCATGTTTTCAGTGCCACAACAATGGAGCAGAGTACTAGTTACTGTAAGCTTGCCAAACAGTAAAGATTATTCTGATTTTGTTATTTTCTCATGTAACAGGTAGAAATCAGATACAGTATATATATATATATTTTTTTTTTTCCTTTTTTAAAAAAAATCCTTTTCCTTTTTTTCTGTTTTGGAGACAGGGTCTCACTCTGTCACCCAGGATGAAGTGCAGTGGTGCAGTTTCAGCTCACTGCAGCCTCAACCTCCCAGGTTCATGTAATCTTCCTGCCTCACCCTCCCAAACAGCTGGGACTACAGGCATACACCATCATGCCCAGCTAATTTTTGTATTTTTTTGTAGAGGCAGGGTTTCGCCATGTTGCCTAGGCTGGTCTTCAACTCCTGAGCTCAAGCGATCCATCTGCCTCAGCCTCCCAAAGTGCTAGGATTACAGGCGTGAGTCACCGTGCCCAGCCAGTATCTTCTTAATGCACAGTGAAACTTCATTTCCTCAACTATTATATATATTTGTTCTGAACTGCCCTGTTCTAATTGATAATATCTACAATAGAAATAGTTTTCTGTATGAATTTGAAGTGTATTTTAATATCATATTCCAATTAACACTGCAAACAACAGGCAGGAACACACACACAAAGTTGTTGTATTCTCATTTTCTTTTGTATGTGGGAGATGGTAAGGATTTGAGGGAAAATCAGCATTTCTTTGTACTTTCAAGAATGTGATAATTTTCTAGGATATTCTGATTGAGGGTAGGAATATCACTCTCGATAAGAATGTTCTAACAAGTCCTTATGACAGAATAATTCTAGAGAAGTGAAAATGAAAATCTTCTGTTGCTTCCTTCTTGATAGAGATGAATTTTTCCACCCACTGATATGTCAAACAGCTAAAAATGTTAGCTTCAACTTCCTGGGGTGTGGAAGGAACACCTTTGGGCTGAGCCAGAGCTTGGGAAATTTTAGACAAGTAAGAGTTTAAAATAAATAAGCAATCCATCACTGAGTGGCAAACAGTTTCTCATAAATCATTATGACAACTGCTTTTGGAAACCCAAGCTAAGACTCTCCAGAAAATACAGCTGGCTGGGTTGCCATCATTTTGAAGACTGGGAGCAAACATAATGCACTGACTATTGTGGAAGAAGACTACTGTTTTGTATACACGTGGGACATGCAGATACCCTTTTGTCCCAGTTCAGTGTTTGAAGTGGGGATGGGGGGTTCTGAGGTAGGATTCTCAAAGTCCAGTGCCGTCACCTGGGAGCTTTTTCAATTAGCAAATAAAATACTCAGGCTCCAACCCTGACCTGCTGAACCAGAAACTCAATCCCTATTTTAACAAGACCCCGGGGTATTCTGATACTCTCTCCAGTTTATAACCACTGCTCTAATGCAGGGATTCAAAAACTTTTTCCTAGAAAGTCAGAGAGTAAATATTTAAGCAGGGCACTAACCCCATCATGAGGGCCCCACTCTCATGCCCTCATCTAAAGCTAATTACTTCCCAAAGGCCCCATCTCCAGAGACCATCACACTGTGGGTTGCTGAGGCAATACTGAGGTTATTGTGCAGGTAACGATGGTAAGAAACCATTCTTAGCTTTCAGGCTGTGAAAACACAGGTGTCTGGCCACAGTTTTCCAGCCTCCATTGTAAGGCATCTTAAATCTTCCTTCTACATAAATCCATATAAATCCTCAAAGAATAGAATACAGGGCCTGTCGTAACACACACCACTTACATCTAAAATTGTAAGTTCACCCCTCCTACACTAAGAAAGCAGTGTAAGTACATACAGCAGGAACCTGATAATGTATAAACACTCAGTATTTACTGGGCACCTATTACCCGCCCACACCCATGGCAGCCACTGCAAGGAACACACAGGAGGTATGTCACAGCTGTCACACTTACCACGTGTATGTCCAGAACCATGCATGGCACTTTTTCATGTTATCTCACTTAATCTTCACTAGCAATCCTATGACCTATTAAATTCCCATTTTACACATGAGGAAATTGAGGCTCAGAAAGGTAAAATAATCGTCCTAATGTCACAGGCTTTTTGAGTGGCATTGCTAGCTTTTAATCAAGGGTTCTTGGATTCTAATACCTACGTCTTCTTTATCCTAAATGACACCATCTCCCAGAATTGGTCTTTCACCTCAAGGGCTTCTAATTAACTGAGAAAAGATCAACAGATACAAAACTACTAGAGAACAATCAGGAGCAATATTTAAAGTGTTAACAGTGCCTGCATGTTAGGTACCCTTTAATTTGTAGCTGAACAAAACAGTGGAAACTGATTCAACCTCCAAATCCTAAGAATTCAGGAGAGGTGTGGTAGACAGAATAACGTCTCCTCCACCACCAGATGCCCACCTCCTAATCCCTGGAACTTGTGAGTACGTTATGCTACTTGGCAAAGAGGAATTGAAATTGTGGATGAAATACAGTTGCTAATCAGCTGAACTTGAGATGGGGAGATTATCTGGATTATCTGGATGAGGCCAATGTCATCACAAGGGTCCTTATATGTAGAAGAGGGAGGCAGAAGAGTCAGTGTTTGCTATGGGACTGAATTGCGTCCCTTCCCCCAGATTCATATATTAAAGCCCTAATCCCCAAGGCAATGGTGTCTGGAGATGGGGCCATCGGGAAGCATAATAATTAGGTTTAGATGAGGTCAAGTGGGTGAGGCCCTCCTGATGGCATTAGGGTCCTTATAAGAGGAGAAAGTGGACATCTTGCTTTCTCTCGCTGCCATGTGAGGGTACAGGGAGAAGGCAGCTGTCTGCAAGCCAGGAAGGAGAGGAGAGCCCTCACCAGAACCCATCCACACTGACACCCTGATCTTGGACTTCCCAGCCCCCAGGCCTGTGAGAAAATAAATTTCTGTTGTTTAACCCACCAATCTATGGTATTTTGTTATAGCAGCCCGAGCCATCTAAGTGTCAGAGCAATGCAGTGTGAGAAAGACACCACCGGCCATGACCAGCTTTGAAGATGGAAGGGAGCCGTGAGCTAAGGAATGCAGGTGGCCTCTAGGAGCAGGAAAAGGACACCGATTTCCCCTGAAGCCTCAGGGAAGGAGCCCTGTTAACATCTTCATTTTAGCCCAGTGAGACCCATGTCGGGTTTCCCATGGCCGAACTGAAAGATAACTTTGTGCCATTTTAAGCCAACTCATTTTATGGTAATTTGTTACAACAGCAATAAGAAACTATTACAGGGAGGCCGAGGCTGGTGGATCACTTGAGGTCAGAAGCTCGAGATCAGCCTAGCCAGCATGATGAAAACCCATCTCCACTAAAATTACAAAAATTAGTTGGGTGTGGTGGTAGACACCTGTAATCCCAGCTACTTGGGAGGCTGAGGCAGGAAAATCACTTGAACCCAGGAGGCGGAGGCTGCAGTGAGCCGAGATCATGCCACTGCACTCCAGCCTGGGCAACAGAGTGAAGCACCATCTCAAAAAAAGAGAGGAAAAAAAAAAGAATCTATTACAAGAGAGTCAAAGAGGGCTACGCTGAAGTCAAAGAGAGCTAAGGCTTGATGAAAATGGGTGGGGAAGCAAGGGCAGGTCCCCTGCAGGTGACTGGGATGGGGGAGTCCGTTTACAGACTGGGTGGGGCTGTGCAAAGACACAGAAGTACAGCTGGCACACACTCAGGAAGCAGTGACAGGCCAGCAGCCTGCAGTGAGGGACACTGGTACAGAGATGGGTCAAATGGGGCCAATCTGTGACAAATCAGGAAAGCAGGCAGGAAATCTTGGTCCCAAAGAAATTAAGAAACATGAGACAAGACAAGGAATATGGCAGTATGAAGCATAAATGCTAATTTATTCTCACTGTTCTTTCAATCGTACATAAAATGAGCGCTCTTCCTATACAGGAATTGCCTTTGGTCTTTATTCTCGTGATCAAAACACTATGGGGACTTCTCCTTTGGAACCAGCTGCCTTCAGAGCCCATGACTGTAGTTACAGTGCACCGAAGCCAACTGTGGTCGCTGGCACTCAGTCCCTTCTTGAATATGCCTGACTTATTTCTGACATCTAGTTCTAAAAAAATTTAATCTATCCTTAGACTTCTCTACTAAATATATGCAAAAGAACGTGCTACTAAAAGCAGTTCTAAAGAGTTCTAAAGACACTGTGAATGATGTCATCAACATGACAGGAGAAAGTATCACGTTTCCTCAGGTGACTTCTTTGCAGTAGACAACGCTTGTTCCGAAATAAAGATTTCAGGATCAGGCTCTGGTTTTAGGACTTAGGACTTTTCAGGACTCAGACTCATGACCTTAGAATAACTCAAACTTGGCATGACATAATAGATGGCTAAAGGATGACAAAAATAGGAGACCCCCTCCAAGGTCACATGCCAGGCTGTTATGTGCGGGGCCTCAAAAAGGACATGAGCCCAAGGAGCTACGTTAAAATCCCAGCCCTGTCACTGTAGAGCTTTGTGACTTTGAACAAACTTCTCAACTTCCTTGGACCTCAGTTTTCTTTCATAAAGTGGCAAATGCTATTTTAAGCAAACAGCAGAGCATGAGCAGAGGGAAGAAGGCATAAAACGTGGCTCTCTGGGGAAAACTGCAAGTTATTTCAAAGAAGGGCACAGAGGAGTCCAGGTGGGGAGGGTCGGGACAGGTGGCCTGAGTCCAGGCAATGCACAAGAGCTCGGAACTCATCTGGTGCTCTGCAGTATTTACTCACCTGAGGCTCACAGTGGGGTGATCAGGGGAGGCAGTGACAGTTTCATCGACAGATGAATTGGGAAAGGGTTAAGAACGATAACCACTCACAATCCACATTACTAGCACATTAAAATCTTTGGATGGATCTGTGGTAAGAGAACCATCTTTATCCCAATTGCCCTAAAATTCTGAAGCCCACAGAGGCCTTCCTTCTCTCTCCCATGCTCTGGAACTGACTTCCACGAACTTCAAAGAGGGTGATGAAAAAATGCTATAGAGTTTTAGGCAGAGAAGTAACACCAGTGGGGTTGCATTTTAGCAAACGACGCTTGGGGGTGGTTAGAAATAGGAATGAGGTTTGTGGTACACGCTCAGCAATATAGGTCAGCATGGCAAATTAGACAGAGGTGCTGTTAAATTCCTGCAGGCCAGCTTCCTGACACCGAAGCACTAGCGCCTTCTCCCTTCAAATGCAGGGCTGTTTATAAGCTGTACTGCCAGCCACTGGGCCAGCCTTGGGAGTCACACAAGTCTCTCCTCCAGACGAGCAGCAGCTACACAGCCAGTGTTTGCATAAGACACAGATTATTTCATTTTTATTTCTGATAAGAGCAACCTTTTCAACATATGACTATAAAATCATTTTTGAGTCTGACCAGAATATCAAATATCCCTCAAGTTATAAACTCAAAAAGTCCAAGTGAACGCAGTAAAAAAAAAAAAAATCTTCCAAGATACTTTTTGAAATCTGGTGCTTGTCAATGAAACTGGGCGTACCATTTCTTAGTGACTCACTGAAGTCTTCAAGATGTCACCCGTGTGACAGACACACTGAAGGCATGGTGGCTTTGAAACAGAGTGGGCCACTCACTGCACACAACCCTGACACAGCAGTAAGACCATCAGGGTCTGAGCTCCAGCTGCACAGACATCTTGGGAACACCCAGAACTCTCTGATTTGCAGGTTACTCATTTGTATAAGGAGAATCAGTTGTTGACAAGATTAGCACAATGTACAGAAAGCACAAGATACACAGTAAGTGTTCAAAAAAATCAAAACTATCATTATTGCTCCCTGCCCCACACTTAATCCAGGTAAAAAAGCTAGAGACGGATGGCCACCTTCTGTATCAGTTTTAGAAAAGGCCTGTCAATTTCCGCTGCTGTAATTCTGACTGGGGTTGGGGTGAATCTTCAGATCAGTTTGGGGAGGCCTGACACTAACAGTGGTGACTCTTCTAACCCCTGTGCATCACATATTTCTCATTTAGGTCTTCTTTCATTTTGGTCAGCAGCGTTTTGTACTTGTTGATGTAGGATTCCTGTGCGTCTTCTGTTAAATTTGTTCCTAAATACACTTGGCAATGCTCAACTGTAACATTATCCTGCACCTGGGATTTCCTGCTAGATTCTTCCCGATTGTGGCTTGCACAGCTCTCATGGGGGGAGAATCAAGAGCGGCAACTGGAGCTTGTGCCCGCCCTATTGTAACTGGTGGGGGCGGTGGGGGGGAGCAGGTGGAATGTGTACTTCCAGGCTCTTCCCCTTCCCTCCTGACACCACGACCATCTAAGGCACTCCCTGTCCTCCTGTTCCAATCACCCCTTTCACTAAAGAAAGACACCACGAGGGTGAGGGGACACAGTATAGATGAAGGGACCTGACTACTTCAGTGGGAGCAGACCCCAGGCCCCTCCTCCTCCCACCCTGTCACCCAAACTCTATCTGCACCTGAGCACGGGCAAGCTCCCCTGAGCAACCCATCAGCCCTGTTTCAGTCTCTCAGGGACTCCTCACAGTTCCTAGCCCTGCAAGGATGCCACCTTTTTGTTGCTGAATGAAACTATATAGTCACTTAACGACTTTTAAAAAATATTTTGTATCACTCGTAGGATTTGTACAAGGGAAGGTATGCTACAGGTGACCTACTTGTCATCTTTAAGCCAAAAGTTGCATGGGTTTAAAAAATATATATGTGTAAATATATATGTGTAAAAAATATGTATGTGTAAATCTAGATCAAATATTACTTTATGTTTGTCTATTTATTCATTTTCTTCCTATACTAGAAAAGGCAAGACTGGGTAAAAGAGAAACGGAAAGGGCACTGTGACACAATTAACAGCAAAAACCAAATGACAGAGGCAGGAATGAATCCAGGCCCCCATCAGCCAGGCTGACAAAGTGGGTACGTGCAGGACGATGCTCCAGAAAACAGGAAGTGCAACGTGGGACAGACAGCACGGAGGATGACAGGGGATGACAGGGGACGAAATCCCACACCTGAATCAGACGACTGGCAAAACAAAACATACTTCTGAAAAAGAAACATCCCAGCTCACCTCTGTGATCTGCATGCCCCGATAAAGGAGTCTAGCTGGCTCATTTGTTAATGGTCATCAATATTACGGTACCAGGACTTCAAATGCGACATTTTCCACACAGAAACCTCTAGGGAAGGATGTATACTCACCCAGCCCAGAGCTGTTGATTGCTTTCACGGATTTCTTCATTTTGTAAAGAACCATCCGGTCCACGTCCAAAGCCTAAAATGTAGAGAATACAGTCATTAAACCGTGTCTGTGCTGAGACCACGCTAGCAGCGAGCACCACGTTGAGTGCCACTCTGATTGCCTCTGCCAGGTCCCTAGGCACCTGTTTCTGGGAGACAAGCCTCCTCTGCCAGGTCCCTCGGCACCTGTTTCTGGGAGACAAGCCCTCAGTGTGGTGTGGAAGACTGGTTTCCAAATGGCACTAAGCAGAAGTTTGTTGGCAATTACTGAAAACCAACTCCTCCTCCTGCAGCATGCAAGCTGTCTCCTGCCCACAGCACCTGCTGGACGTGAGCCCTCTGCAGCGAAGTGAATTACTCCAGCCGAACCCTCCGTTCTCCTTGGTTACCAGCAAGGCTCCAGGATGCCCCTGCCTGCCAGGGACTCCTATCGTGCCTGCACCCCTTCCCCCTATAGAGCCCTAACAAGGTGGAGGCAACCCCACTCTGGATTTGGAAAAACCCAAATATCATTAGCTTGTAAGCTGTGTTAGAAGACGGGTCCTATTGCTTCCCGAGCCTCAGATTTCTTCTCCAGAAACCAGCAGGAACAATACCCACTTTGCAGGGTTGAATAATTAGATAGAGGTACTCTCATATATAATATTCAGCAAATGTTTATAGACCAGCTACTACACGGCAGTTGTCTATGGCACTCACAATGTCCAGCACATAGGAGGCGCTCAAACAGTTATCTGTTCAACGACTAATCACACCTGGAAATTTAATTACACCTTGACTTTCACAACAGATACAAAGGTAAAAAGTCCTTTGTTCTTTTTCTTTTTTTTTTTTTTTTGAGAAGGGGTCTCGCTCTGTCACCCAGGCTAGAGTGCAGTGGCACGATCTTGGCTCACTGCAGCCTCTGCCTCCTGGGTTCAAGCAATTCTCCTGCCTCAGCCTCCCAAGTAGCTGGGATTACAGGGGTATGCCACCATGCCCAGCTAATTTTTGCATTTTTAGTAGAGACGGGGTTTCACCATGTTAGACAGGATGGTCTCAAACTCCTGACCTCAGGGGATCCACCTGCCTCAACCTCCCAACATGCTGGGTAAAAAGTCCTTTTAACCCACTTAAACAACATAGAAAAGCAAAGGGTGACTTGTGACTGGAGGGAGACAACATTTGTGAACTGGGATAGCGATGCCAATCACAGGCTATCCTATGAAAACTAAATGAAGCACCCTGCCCTACAGCTACTGGCACATAATAACTACTGCTATTGAGTGTCCATTATTACCCCATGTGAGTTTAGATCATAAAAACCTGCAACAACCTATCATCAGAAACACAGCACAGCTCCTCAGAGCAATGGATTCTGGACTTCCAGCCTTCCTGAAATCACCTTTTGAACCAGTTTTCAATAGCAGAATCGTAAGCCCTGGTTCTAATGCCACAATGATAATTTTATTGGATGCTAAAAACAGACATGATTAGTGCTGGCAATTTTAAATGGAAAAATGATCACAAGGCACCAGACATTTGACAGAGTGGCTGCAATACAAAGAGAAGTTATAATCATGTCATTATACATTTGTCCAAGCCCATGGAATGTACAAGAGTGAGCCCTAAGGTGAAGTAAAGATATAGGTGAGAGTGATGTGTCCCTGTCGGTTCACTGAGGGTCACCAGCATACCACTTGTAGTGCGGGATGTTAACAAAGGAGGAGGCTATGCATGTCAAGGGGAACGGGTATTTGGAAAGTTTCTGTATTTTCCATTCAATTTTGTTGTGAACCTAAAACTAAAAATGTTTATTTAAATAAAAAAGGCATTCTTTCCTGCCATACTAAAGAGTAGAGAGTTACCGATACAAGATAATCAAGATTTCTTATATGGAGTTAACTCGTATTTTCCCAAGTGGTTATCTCTGATCCATTCCTACCTTCCTTCAAGATACAAAAGGGGACTTGGAAACAGTAAATAACTCAGGACAATCATAATTAAATTATCTTTCTCTTGCAGTCTCATCACTTTTCCTCCCCAGTCTTCCAGCCGCAGACTCGCGGGACCTAGGCCAGGCTCAGCCAGCACCAGTGGGCAGACTGAGGTTGTGCTCAGGGCTGTGCCAGAAACACCAGTTCGCGAAGCTTAGACCACATGTCAGACAGCACAGCTCTCACACATAGAGGTGCCAGTTCACGGTGCTCCTCAGAGCTCTAAGTTCCCCATCCCAGGAGAGGGGCCATTCTTGAAAAGCACATTTGATCTGTGACCGTGCAGCCTAGCACTCTCGCAGAATCTGGGCCGGCTCCAGGCTTTGCCATTGGCTCCAGCAGGATCTGATCCACACTCATAATATTAATAAAAGCCACTCCTCTTTCTAAGCCTCCCCACAGACAGTGGAAGACACCCATGTCAGCCTGTCAGGCTCTCTGGAAGCATTAGAAGTCAGCCACCATTCTTACTAAGCACCTTCCATGGGCCAGCAAGTGTAAAGGGAGAAAACACCTCACGAATAAAGAAGAAAGAGACCATGCGCAGTGGCTCATGCCTGTAATCCCAACACTTTGAGAGGTCGAGGTGGGAGGATCACTTGAGGTCAGGAGTTCGAGGCCAGCCTAGCCAACATGGTGAAACCCTGTCTCTACTAAAAATACAAAAATTAGCCGGGCGTGTTGGTGGGTGTGCCTGTAATCCCAGCTACTCAGGAGGCTGAGGCAAAAGAATCGCTTGAACCTGGGAGGTGGAGGTTGCAGTGAGCCAAGATTGTGCCGCTACACTCCAGCCTGGGCAACAGGGTGAGACTCTGTCTCAAAAAGAAAAAAAAGAGAAAAAAAAGATGACACAGGAAGGCTTGAGGGGCAGGTCCCAGCCCAGGCACTATAAGGCTTCCTGGTGTTCTCAGAATAACATCTTTAGCAAGCTTTAAAAATCTGATCATCTGAGCTCTGCCTGCTTCTCTGGCATCAGCTCCTCATATTCTCCATCACTTTCACATGTACCCCAAGCTTCCATCATAATGAGCTACCTGTGGCTCCCCCTCCCCCTGCTGTCTTCCCAGCCCGTGCACACACTCCTCTCTCCTGAGAAGGCCTCTGATGCCTTGCCACCTCCACGATAGGGTGGCAGGTACTCATCTCAGCTTTTCCCATAATGCCCTGTGCTTAGCATTTCATTGGATAAAATGGTGTGAGCACCTTCTACCTGCAAGGTATTACTGACACAATGGTGAGGAAAACAGGACAAGGCAATGCCTGTGCCTTCTTGGAATTCACAACTCACAAAAGATAATCACCTAGAGAAACACAAATTAACGATGAAAACAGGAGCCCAGGACTTACTACGTGCACAGAACTGCTTTTTTAACTTGTCCAGCTCTGCCTCTAGGCCACAGCCATCCACTACAGCAGCTACCAGCACGTGTCTACGGAGCACCTGAAATGTGGCTAAGTGCCACGTTAAAACAATATTGTGGACATCTTAGGTTATAGAAAATATCAACAAAATTAATCGTACCGCCTCTTTTTAGTTTTTTTAATGCTTTCCTCTAAGGTCAGTCACTGATATTTGTTCATTGTATCCCCAGTGCCTACCAGAGAGCTTGCCACAGAACAGGACTCAAGAAGCAGCTCAGGAAAGGATGATGAGCCCAAAATGCAGGGGCTCAAGTGCCAGGCAACAGTGCTTCCCAGAGGGGAAACGGGAGCTGTGCTTGAAGGTTACTCAGGCCACAGGGAGGGTAATGGATCAGGGCAGGCAGGAAGTGCATTCAGGGAGAGGCTACGCAAAGAAGAGGGAACTGGCTGGAACCCATGGTTCAAAAGCCATTCAGGGCTAAAGCTGGGCAGTAGCCGTTCTGGAAAAGCCAGCCAGGGAGATCTGTGCTGTCTCTCTCAACCAGATTTCAGCCCTCCTGCCTCTGATACTCCCACAGATGACAGAGTGATCTTGTGTCTACAGGAGTTTGGGTCAACCGTGCTAAGAACACAAGGACTAGGCTGGATGCGGTAGCTCACACCTACTATAATACCAGTGCTTTGGGAGGCCAAGGTGGGAAGAATGTTTGAGACCAGGAGCTTGAGACCAGCCTGGCCAACAGTGACACCCTGTCTCTACAAAAAATAAAAATAAGTTAGCCGGGCATGGGAACATGCACCTGTAATCCCAGGCTGAGGAGGGAGGATCACTTAAATCCAGAAGTTGGAGGCTGCAGCGAACCATGATTGCGCCACTGCCCTATAGCCTGGGTGACAGACAGACCCTGTCTCTTAAAAAAAAAAAAAAAACAGACAAATGAAAAAACAAAACATGGGACTGGAAGCGGTGGTAAACTTCAATGTAAAAGGCTGCTCACAGACAACATACCTTAATAACACAATTGAACTCTGACAAATTTCCTCCCATATTATGTCATGGGACACACCCGTCCCTGATCATTTACTGCATAAAACTCTTGAAAAAATAGGTCACCATATGGAATCTTCTACCTTTGTTACCAAAGAGGAAGTAGTGCTTCCTGAACTCAGGGATGAGTGCATAAACTTGCTTTTCTACAATCTGTTAAACAGATTAGAAATAAAGGTGAGGTAGGTGGAAGAGGTAATTTTTAATTAAAATTGCAAGTGGGAAAAGCAATTACCTCCCTATTCAGAAACACACCCTTCATTATGGTGCATATTTATAGACAATTAAAATTAAACTTGGTCAGGACGAGAAGCTAGAATGATTGTTTAAGATTGAGTGTTAGGCTGGACGCGGTGGCTCATGCCTGTAATCCCAGCACTTTGGGAGGCCGAGATGGCCGGATTACTTGAAGTCAGAAGTTCCAGACCAGCCTGCACAACATGGTAAAACTCCGATTCTACTAAAAATACAAAAATTAGCTGGGCATGGTGGTGCATGCCCATAATCCCAGCTACTCAGGAGGCTGAGGCAGGAGAATCGCTTGAACCTGGGGGACAAAGGTTGCAGTGAGCGGAGATCACACCACTGTACTCCAGCTTGGGTGACAAAATGAGACTCTGTCTCAAAAAAAAAAAAAAAAAAAAAGATTGAATGCTAGAAACAGTCTTATGCCAACTATATATAAAAACAGCACTGGAAGTCCTAGCTAGAGATTAGACAAGAGAAAGAAATAAAGGGCCTCCAAATTGGAAGGATGAAGTTGAATTAGCCTTGTTTGCAGATGATGTGATCTTATATTTGGAAAAACCTAAAGATGCCATCATAAAAACTATCAGAACTGAAAAAACTACCTTTGCAAAAATTATAACTGAGATAATTATTACAGTGAAAGAGATCTGACATAACTGACTCCATCCTGTTTCTAACCTCCAAGCTGTCCTTGTTCATTCCTGGGCCTAGGCTGAACTAACTTTGGGAGGAACTTACAGTTTAGCTTTGAAACAAAGATGACAATGGCCCTTTCCCAAAATAAACCCCTCTTCCTGCCTGGGGACTAGACAGCCTTTGCAGGACTAATAAATTAGCCACAAGTTTAGAAATTATGGTTTAGGAGTCATGCAGCTGGAGGCTGCATAACATCACTATTGTAAAACATAATATCAGCACTTGAGATATTTTGCAGACCCTGTATTCACTGGATCAGCTGACACCACCCAGATCAATAAACTGGCTCATCTGGTCCTGTGGCCCCCACCCAGGAACTGACTCAACACAAAACGACAGTTTTGACTGCCTATGAGTTCATCTCCGACCCAACCAATCAGCACTCCCAACTCACTGGCCCTGACCCACCAAATTATCCTTAAAAACTCTGATCCCCGAATGCTCCAGGAGACTGATTCGAATAATAATAAAATTCCAGTTTCCTGCACAGCTGGCTCTGCGTGAATTACTCTTCCTCTACTGCAGTTCCCCTGTCTTGATAAATCAGCTTGGTCTAGGCAGCAGCGGGCAAGGTGAACCCATTGGGTGGTTACACTGATAGATAAATTCAGTAAAGTTGCAGGATACAAAATCAACATACAAAAATTAGTAGCATTTCTATATGCCAACAGTGAACAATCTGAAAAAGCAATCAAGAAAATAATCCCATTTACAATAGCTACAAATAAAATTAAATACCTAGGAATTAACCAAAGAAGTACAGGATCTCTACAGCGAAAACTATAAAACGATGATGTAAGAAATTGAAGAGGACACCAAAAAAAATGAAGATATTCCATATTTGTGGACTGGAAGAATCAATATTGTTAAAATGTCCATACTACCCAGAACGATTTACAGATTCAATGCAATCTCTATCAAAATACCAATGCTTTTCTTCACAGAAATAGAAAAAATAACCCTAAGATTTATATAGAACCACAAAAGACCCAGAATAGCCAAAGCTATTCTAAGCAAAAAGAACAAAACTGGAGGAACCACATTACCTTACTTAAATTATACTATAGAGCTATAGTAGCCAAAACAGTATGGTACTGGCATAAAAACAGACACATAGACTAATGGAATAGAGAACCCAGAAATAAATCCATACATTTACAGTGAACTCATTTTTTACAAATGTGCCAAGAACATACACTGGGGAAAGGACAATTTTTTCAATAAATTGTGCTGGGAAGACTAAATATCCATGCTCAGAAGAATAAAACTAGACCTCTATCTTTCACCATACACAAAAATCAAACCAAAATGGATTAAAGACTTAAATCTATGACCTCAAACTATGAAACTCCTATAAGAAATGGAGAAACTGCAGGACACTGGTCTGGGCAAAGAATTCTTGAGTAATGCCCCACAAGCACAGGCAACCAAAGCAAAAACAGATAAATGGGATCATATCAAGTTAAAAAGCTTCTGCACAGCAAAGGAAACAATCAACAAAGTGAAGAGACAACCCACAAAATGGGAGAAAATATTTGCAAACTATCCATCTGACAAGGAATTAATAACCAAAATATGTAAGAAGCTCAAACAACTCTATAGGAAAAAATCTAATGATCCAATTTTAAAAAGGGCAAAAGATATAAATAGACATATCTCCAAAGAAGACATACAAATGGCAAACAGGCATACAAAAAGGTGTTCAACATCATTGATCATCCGAGCAATGCAAATCAAAACTACAATGATATAATCTCACCCCAGTTAAAATGGTTTATAGGCAAAAGGCAGGCAATAACAAATGCTTGTGGGGATGTGGAGAAAAGGGAACCCCTGTACACTATTGGTGGGAATGTAAATTAGTACAACCACTATGGAGAACAGTATGGAGGTTCCTCAAAAAACTAAAAATAGAGCTATGATATGATCCAGCAATTCCACTGCTGTGTACATACCCAAAAGAAAGGAAATCAGTATACTAAAGAGGTACCTGCTCTCCCGTGTTTACTGCAGCACTGTTCACAATGGCCAAGATTTGGAAACAATCTAAGTGTCCACTAACAGAAGAATGAATAAAGAAAATGTGGTACCTATACACAATGGAGTACTATTCAGCCATAAAAAAGAATGAGATCCTGTCAGCTGCAATGATGTGGATGGAAATAGAGGTTATTATGTTAAGGGAAATAAGCCACGTACAGAAAGACAAACACTCCATGTTTTCAATTATTTGTGGGAGCTAAAAAAAAAAATTAAAACCACCCCAGTCACTGAGCCACTGCCGAGGACTCAGCAGCCTCCCCCTTGGGCCCCGTCGCTTCCCTACTTTCCGTACCCTCTGCCCGCCGTCTTCCGCAGACCATTTCCACCGAGAAAAAGAAATTGGATCGTATGTCCACTATCCAGAACCTCCACTATTTAAACTCCTTTGCTGATGCAAGTAAGGGTGATGACCTGCTTCCTGCTGGCACTGAGGATTATATCCATATAAGAATTCAACAGAGAAACGGCAGGAAGGCCCTTACTACTGTCCAAGGGATCGCTGATGATTACACCAAAAAGAAACCAGTGAAGGCGTTTAAGAAGTTTGCCTGCAATGGTACTGTAATTGAGCATCCAGAATATGGAGAAGTAATTCAGCTACAGGGTGACAGGTGCAAGAACATATATTATGCCAGTTCCTCGTAGAGCTTGGACTGGCTAAGGACGATCAGCTGAAGATTCATGGGGTTTAAATGCTTGTGGCTCACTGTAGTTTAAGTGAGGATTTCCTTGCAATGAGTAGAATTTCCCTTCTGTCCCTTGTCACAAGTTTAAAAACCTCACAGCTTGTATAATGTAACCATTTGGGGTCCGCTTTTAACTTGGACTAGTGTAACTCCTTCATGAAATAAACTGAAAAGAGCCATAAAAAAAAATGAAAACAGGGCCGGGCGCGGTGGCTCACGCCTGTAATCCCAGCACTTTGGGAGGCCGAGGCAGGTGGATCACGAGGTCACGAGATCGAGACTATCCTGGCTAACACGGTGAAACCCCGTCTCTACTAAAAATACAAAAAAATTAGCCGGGCGTAGTGGCGGGCACCTGTAGTCCCAGCTACTCGGGAGGCTGAGGCAGGAGAATGGCGTGAACCCGGGAGGCGGGGCTTGCAGTGAGCCGAGATCGCGCCACTGCACTCCAGCCTGGGCGACGGAGCGAGACTCCGTCTCAAAAAAAAAAAAAAAAAAAAAAAAATGAAAACAATTGAACTCATGGAGACTGACAGTAGAAGGATGGTTACCAGAGGCTGGGAAGGGTAGGTGGGGTGGAAGTGGGGATGGTAAATGGGTACAAAAATATAGGTGGACAGAATGAATAAGATCTAGTATTTGATAGAAACAGGGTGACAAAGGTCAACAATAATTTATTGTACATTTAAAAATAACTAAGAGAGTATAATTGAGATGTAACACAAAAGAAGGCTAAATGCTTTGAGGTGATGGAAGCCCCATTTACCCTAATGTGATTATTATGCACTGCATGCCTGTATCAAAATATCCCATGTACCCCATAAAAATATATACCACGTACCCACAATAATCAAAAATTTAAAAAAAAATACTGAAATCTTAGAGCAACAAAAAATAACAAAGCTTGAGTCTCGAGGAAGCAAAGATGTCTACCCATCAGGCTGAGAATTCTAACCAGACCCAGGCTCTCAACTACCATGCTCCCCAAACGAAAACTCCACTCCAGCTCAGAGCGGGGGAAAAGCAACTTTCACGGGAACTTATGTGTAAAAAACACAAACAAAGGCAAGAACCGAAGAGACCCCAAGACAGGAGCAGGGCCTGCACTGCAGCTGCCGCCTGGCCAGACCTCATTAATTCTCAGGGGCCAGGTGGAAGCTGACCTTCAGTTTGTCAAACAAGTTTTACAGAGTGAACTTATCACAAAAACCAGAGAGGGGGATGTGTCCCAAATATTTCTGAGGAAAACTACTGTTTCAAACCACTTTAAAAGCATCTGTTTGGAGTTCCCAAACTCTTCTATAGGTTCCTCTCAAGTTACCGAGGGGCCTCTTCCAATCTCTGCTGCTCAGCTGAGCTGGAGCCAGGACAGGGGACGGGGACAGTGTGTGGGGACAGTGGGGACGGTGCACACTGTGGGTAAGGGAAGTCCACCACAGGAGAGACCACCACAAAGCTGTTCACTCATTTTCCACACCTGTGCTGTCCAACAGGGTAGCCACAGAGGAATGTTTCTATAAAGATTCATTCAAATTTCAAATTCAGTTCCTCAGGCCTTGCCACCTTCTGCAAGAGCTACAGCCACCCAGGCAGCACAGTGGCCTCTGAATGTCCCCAACCCCATGCTTCTCTTCCTCCGTTCATGGGCCCCACTGTACCGCCTGAGGGCGGTGCCACCACCTCTGGGGTCACCCGGAGGCCCTGGCCATGGTTCCCCCGTGGGCTCAGCATCAACATCACCCCATGGCCACCCTCCTCCATGTGGGGGCTCCTCTACCTCTTCTTGGTCCCCCACAGAACCCTACAGGGCCTCCATCCTGTGTCACCACAGGCTGAATGGTGCGGGCCAAGCCCACTATCTGAGGAGATGACCTGGCTCAGGGTGGGCACACACGGCCTGCGGGACAGCTTTTATCCAACCGTGAGCTAAGGGTGTTTCCAGACGAACATTTCCAATGAATGCAAGGACAGGGTCACAGGAAAGACCAACTGAACCCAAATTAATTAAGATAAATGTTATGCGCGCCCCCTCCCCCCCGCAAAATAATTCCTCTCTTCCCCTTAGGAGACCTGCATTACCAAAAAATTGTACTCCATTATTATTTTTATATTTTGAATTTCATTAATAAAAAATTTGTAGATATTTATCACCTCTCTTATGTAAGTACCTACATACCGCCTTGAGGCCCGCCAAACCTAAAATATTTACTATCTCTGGCCCCTCACAGAAAAGGTTTGCTGAGCCCTGGCCTCAAGGATCCATGCAAAATGCCCCTCCCACAGCACCAGCGGCCCCTGCACCCCACTCCTCCCAGCCCTGACAGGGAGCCCACACTGCAGGCAGCACAGCACCGGTTTGTCCCCAGCACCCTGAGTTCTCAATGCGAACCAGCAGGGGTGGGAAGAGGCTGGCTTCCTTCTTAGAACCCGAAGATGCTGCCCTGGGGAGAGCAGAGGCCTGCAGCACTCAGGCAGCCCTAGCATGCTCCGCTCTCCCGTCCTATCTCCTCTCCCCTCGTTCCACGGACGAAAGGCCAGCCTGAGAAGAAGGGACATTTCTGAAAGACAGTAGACAAAACAAAAAACAAAACACACCCAGGTCCGTGCCCCCAGGGTGGCTTTGCCAAGAAGAGTCAGACAGACATTCAGATGGCAGCTTTGTCTCACCACGCATTCGACTCTTCAGAAAGTAACAGAGAGCATTAATGACAGTGTCAAATATTTCCAGAAGCCTTTTGGGAAGCGTAGACTTGCACTGTGACCTGTGGGCTCCGTTTAAAGCCAGAGCAATAACGAACCTCCCCCCTTGTGGGAATAAAGCCAGGCCTGAAGAATAGCAGGTGTCGCTAAGAATTAAGATCAAATAGACGTCTGAGCTAAGTCACAGCTGAGGAAAGTGTGTGCCTAAGGACAGATGAGAAGGGCGTGTTTTGGTATTATCTTAAAAAATTAAAATTACTCAGAGTAAATATACATCCACAACAGAAGACATGGACAGGCTGTCCTAACACTCCTCAAAACAGCCCCCAACTGGATAAACCGAAATGTCGATGGTAAAATGAATAAACTGATGATGGACATTCGTACAACAGAATGCTACACAGCAACGGAAGAGAACAAACTTACCCCACAACACAAGTGAACTTGACAAAAATGTTGAGCAAAAGAATACATGCAGTATAAAAAGTTCAAAAACAGGCCAAACTAAATTGTTTATGTTTAGGGATATACACCTTGTTGGCAAACTACAAACTGAGGCAAGCTGAGGGCTGCAGTCAGGGCAGGGGAAGCTTCTGAGGGCGTTACGATGGGACAGGCCTGCGGGGCGCGCTTGGAGTGCTGGCCAAAACCAGGCTTTATAATCATTCTTTTTTTTTTTTTTTTTTTTTTTTTGAGATAGAGTCTTGCTCTGTTGCTCAGGCTGGAGTACAGTGGTGCATTCTCGACTCACTACAACCTCTGCCTCCTGGGTTCAAGCGATTCTCAGGCCTCAGCCTTCTGAGTAGCTGGAACTACAGGTGTGCACTACTACGCCCAGCTAATTTCTGTATTTTTAGTAGAGACGGGGGTTTCACCATGTTAGGCAGGTTGGTCTCGAACTCCCGGCCTCAAGTGATCCACCCACCTTGACCTCCCAAAGTGCTGGGATTACAGGCATGAGAAACTGCACGTGGCCTTCATAATCATTCTTTAAATGTCATTTGTATCAATAGCAAAGACATGGAATCAACCCAGGTACCCATCAACAGTGGATTGGATAAAGAAAATGTGGTACATATACACCATGGAATATGACGCAGCCATAAAAAAGAACTAAATCATGTCCTCTGCAGCAACATGGATGCAGCTGCAGGCCCTAATCCTAAGCAAATCAACACAGGAACAAAAAAACAAACACTGCATGTTCTCACTTATAAGTGGGAGCTAAATGTTGAGTACTCATGACATAAAGAAACAAACAATAGAAACTGGGGACTACTAGAGAGCGGAGAGATGTGGAGAGAGGCTGAAAAACTAACTGTTGGGTACTATGCTCAGTACCTGGGTGATGGGATCAATCATGCCCCAAAACTCAGCATCATGCAATATATCCCACGTAGCAAACCTACACATGTACCCCCCGATCTAAAATAAAAGTTGAATTTTTTAAAAAAATCTCATTGAAAAAATTTTTAATGCTATGTGTGTGTATATATAAGATATATTATTAAGAATACAAGTAAAATTAAAGCATCTTTTAAAGAAAAGAAATTAGAGTTGGCGAAAGAACCAGAAAATGTTGCCAAAATGAAAGTGAACTTCAGGAGTAATTTATTAGCCTAGCATGTTGGTTGACCACAGGAAGCAAAAGGGACTTAGGAATCCCTTAGTACCATTTCTAAACCATCAGAGAGAAGCTAGAGACAGAGGAAACTGAATGCAGGTCGGCCAGCTCAGGCCTCGGGCTTTTCTCCCCAGCATCAGGCGCTTCCCACTAACTCTGGGAGGTGGTTTTGGGCAATCTTACTAAACTACTTACTTAATCCATCTTACAAATAACTGTTTTTCTGAGCTCCTAAAGTAGCAACTTTGACGGCAGCAAACATAAGAGAAACACTTCTTTCATTTTTCTCCTAGATGGCTTCCTTTCTGAGATTCCATTCCCATCTTGACTAGAACGGGGTGGTGGCAGAGTTCACACCTCTGCAGAGGAAGGCTAGCCTGGGTAACAAGGTGCACCCAGACCTGCAGGCCCCCCAGCAGTGAGGGAAGCTGGCCTGTGTACATGCAGACGCCCACCACCCGCACAGGAACAGCACTGAGGACAAAACACAAGTAAGGCAGCTCTGCAGAAGATGAAAAGGCAACTGGCACAGTGGCTCATGCTTGTAACCCCAACACTTTGGAAGGCTGAGGTGGGCAGACCACTTGAGCCTAAGCATTTCAGACAGGCCTAGGCAACACAGTGAGACCCCATCTCTACAAAAAGTAAAAAAATTAGCCGGGTGTGGTGGTAGGTGCCTGTGGTCCCAGTTACTGGTGAGGCTGAAGCAGGAGGATCACTTGAGTCTGGGAAGTCGAGGCTGCAGTGGGCTATGACTGTGCCACTGAACTCTAGCCTGGGCAACAGAGTGAGATCCTGTGTCCAAAAAAAAAAAAAAAAGATAAAAAGGCAATCGTTTTTATAAAAATTCCAATTTCAGAAATAGAAAATTACAAGCTTATGGGCTGGGTGTGGTGGCTCACACCTGTAATCCCAACACTTTGGGAGGCCAAGGCAGGGGGTGGGGGGGTGGATCACTTGAGGTCAGGAGTTCAAGACCAGCCTGGCTAACATGGTGAAACCCCGCTTCTACTAAAAATACAAAAAATTAGCTGGGCATGGTGGCACGCGCCTGTAATCCCAGCTACTCGGGAGGCTGAGGCAGGAGAATCACTTGAACCGGGGAGGTGGAGGTTGCAGTGAGTCAAGATCGTGCCATTGCACTCCAGCTTTGGCAACAAGAGTGAAACTCCGTCTCAAAAAAATAAATACATAAATGAAAATCACAAGCTTGTTTATTAAATCCATTACACGCACAGACACACACACACACACAAATTGTAAAAGCAAAGAAAAAAATACTTATAAAAGAGGATAGACAAGTGATATATCAAACACTTAAAACTCTGTATATAAAGATACAGAAAGAAAATAATCATTGTTGTCTTAGGAAAAGTTGGAGGAATTTTTTGTTTTCCCACTTTTAAACTATCATTAACATGAATACATTATTTGATAATTTTTTCGAATTAAAGAAAATGAAAAGTACTATCCTATACTTTGTTACCCTTTTCTCTTCTCCTCCCATCAAGCAGGGTATTGAGGTCTTTAACTCTGAGCACAAAAATGTGTCAAAGGGACAGATTAAACAATAAAACAAAAATACTCAAAACTGTAGTCCCTCGGTCTCCATGGGGGATTAATTCCGGGATTCCGTTGAATTCCAAAATCCAAGGATGCTCAATTCGTAATGTAGAATGTTGTCATATTTGCATGTAACCTACACACATCCTCCCACATGCTTTAAATCATCTCTAGATTACTTATATCTAATGCAATGTAAATGCTATGTAAACAGTTGTTACACTGTATTTTTAAAAATTTGTATTTTTCATTATTTATTTATTTTTTTGAGATAGGATCTCACTTTGTCCCCCAGGCTGAAGTGCAGTGGTGTGATCACGGCTCACTGCAGCCTCCACCTCCCGGGCTCAAGTGATCCTCTTGCCTCAGCGTCCTGAGTAGCTGGGAGCACAGGCACATGCCACCACACCCGGCTAATTTTCAAATTTTTTGCAGAGACGTCTCCCTATGTTGCCCAGGCTGGTCTCAAACTCCTGGGCTCAAGTGATTCCCCTGTCTCAGCCTCCCAAAGTGCTAGGATTAGAGGCATAAGGCATTGTGTCTGGCCAAAATTTGTATTTTTTAAATTGCTGTATTAGTTTTTATTGGATATTTTTTCTTGAATATTTTCCCCTTGAGACCCTATGTGACTGAACACGAGGATGCAAAACCCACAAGTGCAGAGGGCCAATGGTACACAGGGAGAAAAAAACTCTGGAAGAGGCAAAGGACTTAGTTATAGCGCGCACCTAGATGAGGAGAGAAGACGGTGACAGGAGACTGAGTTTTCGCTATCACCTGAAAACTTTACCACAAGGATATATTCACGTATGACTTGCATGGGAAAGATTAATAAATGATGAGCGAGAAGACAGCTCTGGGTGTACAGAGGAACAGCACATGAATACAGCCTGCTGGGCTGAATCACTGTCTCCAACACCCTGTGCATCAGCCACAGTGGCCGTCAGAGCTGGGGACTCATAATGAGAACAGCAGAGGCCCGGACACACTGGAAATGCCATCCAAGGAAGGAAGGTTCCTGATGGGGAAGGGGACAGTGGTGACGCCAGCACGGGCCCCCCCAGTCTCTGGAAGACATGCCTGCAGAAGCAAAACCTTTTCCCAAGGCCAAATACTAAAATATACCTCCCTCCTTCCCCACAAGTTGTTTCTGCAAAGAAGTTCCAGCAGTACTTGTGTTTATTATTATTATTATTATTATTATTATTTTTTTGAGACAGGGTCTCACTCACTGCCCAGGGTGGAGTGCAGTGGTGTGATCTTGGCTCACTGCAACCTCTCTTTCCAAGGCTCAAGTGATCCTCCCACCTCAGCCTTCTGAGTAGCTGGGACTACAGGTGCATACCACCATACCTGGTTAATTTTTGTATTTTTAGTAAAGATGAGGTTTCCTTAGGTTGGCCAGGCTGGTATTGAACTCCTGACCTCAACTGATCCGCCCGCCTTGGCCTCCTAAAGTGCTGGGATTACAGGTGTGAGACACGGCACCTGGCCTTCTAGCAGTACTTTTAAAAGGGAAAAAAATGGAGAAAAAAATACTTAACCTATTATAGAAGAACCAGGCAAACTGTGCCCTCAGCTGATGACCTCCAGACGGCCGTCAACTGTGCCTGAAGTGGACGGTGTCATGCGGTATGAACAGATAAGTGAGAAAAGAACCCATGTAGCTCTAAACCCACACACACTATGAAAAAACGACGCATGAACAACGAGAGGCTGCAGCCTCCTGCAGTTTAAGGAAGCAGCGCCCACAGGCACTCCCGGGAGGTCTGTGCCTCGGAGGCTTCGGTGGGAGCGCCCCATGGCTTTCATGGGCTTCGCCAGGATCCCTATCTTAGAGAAACGGAAACAGATGACAGTAAACTCCAATTCTGTCAAAAGGCTTCACATCCTGACTTTTATTTAGGGGGAAGAAAAGTCCTAGAGACTTTTCTGGGAGCTCTGGGGGAGTGAGAAAGGAAAAGCCACATTTTGGCAAGATCACCACTGCACAGCAGCAGCACAAACACGGCAGCGTGGGGCAGCTCTGGGCAGGACCCCCCCAGCCAGCCTGGTGCCCTGCTTTGGGGAGAGCCACAGTGGCACAAGGGGGCCTGGCCTGGGGTTCCCTGACACCCACATTACTGAGCTGTGGCCCCTGGGAATGGCAGGAGAGCAGACTCGAGGTAGAAAATGGACTAGCTCAGGAAAAGAATCACAAACAAGAGGGGACATGACACCAGAAGGTGCTGGGCACATTACTGACAGGCAGCAGGGACACCGAGACAGTGGAAAGCCAGCATGCAGCCACGGCCTGGGCCAGGCCCTCCAGCCGTGGCGATGCAGAAGGCAGCCGAGCTCAGAGTCTGGGAAGGTGACCTTCAGCTGGGCGTGAGGTCAGCCTTCCACATCTTCCCAGTCCCAGAAGACAATGGAATCCTAAGCCAGGCTGATTTCCCCAGGAAACGAGGCTCAAGCCACATGAACTTCACTTTAGTCAAATAAACAGGGGAGAGGAGATGTAAGATAGCCGAGTTTTCTTTCTGAACCCCGCGTGAAAGAGACTGAGGACTTTGATTCCTGAGGCCATGGAGGTCAGCCTGGAGACGCCATCATCACACCGTGTGCTGGGGCTTCTGTCCCAGTCGGCATGCCAGGCTCTGCCATCCAACTGGGCTGCCACTGCTGTCCACTAGCGGTCACATTTGTGTGCTGTGTTCCTTTAAAAAGTACACCTTGTGACTGTGAACAGAGGCTTTAAGGAATGGATGCATTAAAAATGAGAAAACCCAGTGCTGGATCCCTTTGGAGACAAGTGCATCAGTTACAAATCACTGGTTCTGGATTCTGGAATGAGACTGACTTGGTTCTAAACCAGGCTCCAATTACTAGCCGCGTGACCTCAAAAACGGACTCCACCTCACTGACTTCTGTTTCTTCATCTATAAATTGGGAATAACAATACCTGCCTCACAGGAGATCACCAATGCTTATGTGTCTGCCATACAGTCAGCACTCAATATCTAATAGTGATTACCAGTGTCCTCCAGTTCTCGGAGAGGCTAGGTGTAAACTACGCCAATTAAAGTGGCCGTTAAGAAGACGCTGTTACCCCAGGACCGTCTCAGTCATTACGACAAATACTTTTCAGGTCTGATAATGTTTAGAATGAGAAAAAAATCTCTAAGAACAAAAAGACTTTACAGCTTATACCAGCCTTTCATTTCCACTAATACATTTTTTTTTCCATCAACATTTAAATTTTTCAAAACTTCATACAGGCATGATGGCACGCGCCTATCATTCCCAGCTACTGAGGAGGCTGAGGCAGGAGGATCGCTTGAGCCCAGGAGTTTGAGTCCAGCCTGGGCAACGTAGCAACACCCTGTCTCTAAAAACATTGTTTTTCAAAACTTTTCCTGGTGTGCTCAGGTGTTTCTGACTCCCCACGGGGAGGGGCACATGGCAAATGGTGGGGTGAGGCGCTCTGGTCCAACTGGCCTCTCTCTTGAACACTGAGGGTTAAAGGAGCAGGGCATGAAACCCCAGGTCTTAAGTGCAGGGGTGAGTAGGAGTGGCCACCGGGGTGTCCACCCATCCCCTCCTCACCTACCCTGACTGAGGTAACCCCAGGTCTGCCCCTCTCCCACCTGGGACACCACCAGCGGGGCCTCTCCCCTGCATGTGGCAGTCCAGCCAGAAGGAACTCTGCCCCCTCCCTCCTACACTCGGCCACACTGTTAAAGGTTGGGGGCAGCACTGGGCAACCTCCAAAGCTCCCAAAGTGCTCCCAGGGAAAGAAAGGCCTACTGTGCCACTCAGCTCAGCTCACTAGCATTTGAGATAAATACTTTTAAGTTACCAAGGCAGCAGTAGGTGTGTACTCTAAAATCACACCTAGGGCCCAACTCCAACTACCATACAGCAATTTACACTCCACAGAGCACTTTTACTTCCATTATCTTTACTGCAATATTTACAACCACTTGTGAAATCACCACCTCTTTCCCCAGCTTAAAGGAGAAGAAACTGACTCAAAGAGTTTAAGTGACTTGTCCAAAATCATGTGTTTGGCTTTGAACCGATGAAATGCTGGGAGAGCTCCAGCCAATGGAGGGAGGACGGAAGGCAGCTTCCAGAGCTGTGCTCCCCCTCCCACTTCCCAACAGCCTCACTTCCAGAGCCAGAAGCGCTGGCTTTCTCTAACATTTGGGGAAAATAACCACCCGGCATTACCCCTGCTTTCTCTAAACCCTGTTCCACTAACCCCAGCCCAGCTACAGGCAAGGGGGCTGCTACTTCCACACCAAGAGTGCTGTCCACCCCTTCACCAAGAAAGCTGCCAGTGGCTCTCCTCCACACAAGCCAGCTCCTGCCACCCCAAGGGGCTGTCATACGGCTCCCAGCACACTAGCATTTGAAGTTCACCAGGGGCACAAGAATCTAAAGTTCACCAGGGACACAGGCACAACCCCCCTAACCACCCTGGGTAACCAATTCCTTGTTTCAGAATCTTCTGAAGGGCCAGGGTGGCGGAGAAGCAGATAGAGTAGGGGCAGGGTCATCATTTGCATGTGTCCAGGTTACACAATCCGGGGCTCTTCCTGGGCTTTTCAGAGGGAAAATTAAAACCCTGCTATCTTTAGTCTTTCATTTCTCCATCTTCAACTTCTCAGTTCCTGTTTCCCATCCAAAAGACTTGACCCCATTCCCCTATGGTAGAATGGGAAGCAGGGAGGAGAAAAACCCAGAATAGGGAAGGGAGAAGAAAGGCAGGAAGGAACCACCAGGATTGCTGGGGCCCTGCACAAAGCCAACCTCTGTATGCAGCAGAGATTGTTTTCTAAAAAAGGAGTGTGACGATGCAAACAAGGTCATGTGCCTTTTAGAGCCTGGCCAGCCCCGTGCCCCTCTCCAGCTTCTCCCACACAGAGGTCATGGGCCCCGCTCCACCCGCAGCTCCTACCCCAAAATTGGTCATCTCTAGGCATGAACCTTTCATTTTTCTACAATCCAAGCAGTGAGGTGATGGGAGAGGGGGAATGAGCTGAGGGAGGGCCCGAAGGTGCACAGGGATCAGCCAGGCATCCTTCCCGCCCCCAGCAGCAGATTCTGGATCCCACCTCATCCTCATGACCCAGGCTTACTGCGGGAGTCACTGCTACAGATGAAGACCATGAGCTTTCATTCCCACATCTCCACACACAAATTACTTGATCACCTGGGCCTCAGTGTTCCTATCCTTAAAATGCGGGCAGTAATAGCTACTCAATACAGTGATTGTTGCCTTGACAGTTGGAGAGTCCCCAGGTTGGTGGAGGACCTTTCCCCTCCCACCTCCATAGCAGAGCCATCAGGCCATCAGACTGGTGCCTGACTCGGGGAGAGGCCAGCCTGCCTGGGGCCTTGTAAGTGGGGTTCCTCAACCACAGAGTTTCCCAGATAGGGGAGGGGGCGATGCGCAGACACTGGACAGCCATTCCCAATTTTAGACCTGGGTTCCATACTCGGCTCCACTTAGCCCAAGGACTATGCAGGACACTGCAGGGGCTCATCAGGGTGCAAGGGAGCTGAGGAGACATGGGGGGCATTTAGCATCGGCCTCCATCCCTGGCCCCAGATGTGCAGGGCTACTTTGCCTGTCGGCCTCAGATGAGTTCATCTGAAGATCTCTGCGCTAAAACACACACACAAGGCTGGGTTCTGCTGCCCTCAATGGAAAGCAGTCCACCCACTGGTGCCACACTCCCAACAGCGGTCCAGCCTCGGGGCAGGGGGCCTGAGAGCGCCAAGGAGCAAGGTGGAGACAGAGGCGAGGGCCAAAGAGATGCAGATGGTGCTGTTCATTTTTGTTCCTTAAGGTTTTGGGCTGAAAACTGTGCCCTCTGATAGCATCCACCTACCAGGGAGCAGGAGTACAAGAGGAGGACTTGAGAGGTACAAGCCAGGCTGAGGGGTGGGAGCCTGCAGAGAGGGGCACCCCAGCCTGGGCAGCCTGGCAGGAGAGCAGGGCGCAGGAAGCGGGGGCAGACGCAAGGAAGGGCAGGGTCCCTGCCACTGCAGGATGGCGCAGAAGGGAGGGGAAGTGCAGCAACAGGCAGGGATGGCGGCCCTTGGCTGTGCTGCTAGGGTCAGCAAAGGCCATTTATTCTCAGCGTTGAGGGATGAATGTTTCTCCCCAAGGAAGGGCTTCAGCCCATTAGTTTTACTTTCTTTGTTTGTTTTCCATCCAAAGAAAAGAAAATTTGAAACCCCAGCTAACAGAACAAGAGAGGAAGCGAGGGGAAGGGCTCCCTGGGCAGCAGCAAGTAAGGGGAAGAGGCTGAACCTCCGTCCCACGGGCTGGACCACGGCCCAGAGCAATTCCCTTCCCTGCTAAGGGGACAGTCAGGCCTGCAGACACCACAGAGAAAGGCCGAAGAGCAGGCCCAGGGTCCTGGTCTGGCCCCGCGAAACTGGCTGCAATCCGAGGAATATCACTGGAGGGCTGCAGACCCCAGTCTGTAATCAGGAGCATGGACCTACAGACTCTAAAATGCTGAGTCCTAAAAGCAAAGACTACATGTAATGCTGCTATGTTTAGTTTGAGAAGTGAAGAGGAGAGAGAGCGAGAGAAATAAATAAGTAAAAGTGAAGATCATCTGTTTCTCAGCCAGAATGCTGTCTGCTCTGAAGCTGATCTGTGGAATATTTACTGTTCCTCAAGAGATCTAAAGAAGTTGCAACAGCCACAAGAGAGTCAGCAGCTTCCGGGGGTTTCGCCTGCTCAAGCCACACTGCCCCAGGACCCGGGAAGGTTTGCATTTGTTGTGGGGACTGAAAATCATGCATTGTGCAAAATGAGAAGATGAGTGTGGCGGCGGGGGCACCATGGAGACTGTCACCTACTCGGATTGGGGCCTTAGGTGAGCCACTTCTCCTCTGAGCTTCTAGATACAAAATTCTATGAAAGTACCACCTTTAAAACAGCTTGCATTTTAGTTATCTTTCCAAGAAGGAAATCTTACAATTACATTCAAACATATGTGAGGTATTTTTTAAAGGAAAGTAAGACTCCTGACCAAAAGTCTCAAAAAAAAAAAAAAAAAACAACTACTGATTACTATCAATACTGTGAATAGCATTTATTTCAACTTTACAAATAAATAGCTGGTAATCATAGAAATTTTTTTTTTTTTTTGAGATGAAGTATCGCTCTGTCACCCAGCCAGGCGTGAGCCCCCACACCTGGCCAAAGGTAATTTTTAATGAAGAATTCCACTGCATTTCCCTGGCTTAGATTTCTCAAAATAGATGGAAAGAAATGAAATGTGTATGTCCGTATATCCTACCCCAAAGTCAGGGTACAAATGTGATGATACCAGCACTGGTTGTGGGGGTAGCAGTAATAACAGGCTTCCAACTGCACAGCACTTCTAAAAGTGCTTTCACACAGATTATGGCACATGACTCTCCAACCTGGGCAGTTGGTAACACAGGCAATATTATTGCAACAACATAGAAAGTAACACTCACAAAGGTATTTTTCCAAGGCCACATAGGTAAGGATAAACCAAAATGCCACCTTTGTATTCTCTTTTTTTGCTTAAAAACCACTTTCAGGCCAGGCACCGTGGCTCACATCTGTAATCCCAGCACTTTGGGAGGCCGAGGCGGGCGGATCACTTGAGGTCACAAGGAGATCAAGACCAGCCTAGCCAACGTGGTGAAACCCCATCTCTACCAAAAATACAAAAAAATTAGCCGGGCATGGTGGCGTGAGTTTGTACTCCCAGCTACTCGGGAGGCTGAGGCAGGAGAATAGCTTGAACCTGGGAAACGAAGGTTGACGTGAATGGAGATCGTGCCACTGCACTCCAGCCTGAGTGACAGAGAGAAACCTTGTCTCAAAAACAAAACAAAACAACCACACTTTCACATTCTCCTAGCCTGTTCTTTCCGACATCATGTACTGGTTCATTAGTTTGTTCAAGGTAATCTCCTGTTAAAAAGTTAAGAAACAATAAACCAAGAAAATAAAGCTATTTTAATTTTGCAGGGAAAAGTTTTAGGCACCTATGGTCATTCCATAATGCTTACTAAGTAGGTATATCCTTCCTACCACTGTTTGAGACTACTATAAAACAGTCCCTGCTTTCAGACTTCAAATTTCCCAAGGCAATTGAGACTTTTCATTAGCTGAACCCTAAGGAACAAGGACAAACTGTCACTCCTTCAGGATGGGGGCCCGCACCTTCTGATTTTTGAATCTCCAGCACCAGTGGAATGCCCGACACGTGTAAACACTCCACGAACATGGAATGAATGAAACCATCCTCTGCTGCTCTTTAGTTTCTACCAAACGCCCTGTGACAGGCTGTTAGGGAAAGACACCCTGGAGCAGGTAACACAGGCACATCCTGAAGAAAGTGACAGGCTGTTAGCAGGCAGGAGGCACTCCAGCCAAGGACTTGGAATGAGTCCATCAGCTGTGCTGCCCCCTCCCAGCCCTTGGCTGCAGCAGGAGGATCAGGAAGGAGAGGAACAAGGACTGAGGGTGGACAGGACAAGCGGCTAAGAGACAGTCATACTGACTCTCGGTCAGTGCTTTTTTAAAACCCAACTCCTCTGTCACACAGAGGAAATGGATTAAAAAGGTCTCTTGCTGGAATACAAATTGCTCAAATGCATACCATCACATCCCCAAAATGGAATCAATGAGAACACTGAGGCTGTTTTCATTCATTTGAAATTGGCAGTTGGATGCCAGTGGCCTGCACTTTCATTTCAATACTCTTCCAGTTACACAAGACAGAGACAATTCTGATTTGCACATGTAAATAGAAACAGATGGCCACATTCTTTTTTAAAAACAAAATCCAAAAGCTTTGGAATAGTAAGAAATTTGTTTCAACTCTCTACCACTAACAACATCTAATATCTCCTTGCAGTCCTTATCTCAGATATGTTAGACAAGAAGCATCTGAAACATATATTGACTGCTCAGCCCATGGACAGCATCATCATTGGCACAGCATGTTAAACGCTAATTTCTTTATGTACAGTTGACACTGCCGCTTTGCCTGACATTTAAGTGAAGGCAGCACATGCATATACACCCTCGTGCTAAACTCCAACTTTTAACATCCTGGCGCCCACTGACATGCTAATTTTTTATCTTCATCACCCCAAGCTGGCACATGGTTGGCACTCAATAAATATTCATTAAATGAATTAATTGGGCTGCCAGAATTACTTGCTTTCTTTTTTTTTTTTTTTTTTTGCAGGGGACCCTAGAATAGTTTTTCTCCTGCCATTTCTATGAATGTCTGAACGTGCAAATATGTCAATGACTAGGGAAAATATAGTGACGCACTGGTCATTCTACAACTTTAAGTCTACACAGGTTCCTTCATCAAAACAGGGCATTAAAAACAACTAAGCTATAGAGCCAGATCACTGGAGGTACTGTAGTTTATAACCTGCTTATAAACCCCAGTTCTTAAGTCCCTCAATGCCTAGCATGCTACCTACCAATACGCATACAAATAAATCAGACGATCTTGTGCCCCCCAGCCCAATGTTTACCAAGACTTCAAAATGTTCTGGTGAGATCACCTCCCTGCTATGTGATGCAAACATCAGAGTATAAATCTTTTCAGAAAACTTTTTAACAACTGTTGGAAATTTTAAAGATAAAAGCAATACAGGTCAAGCAGACCCCTGAAGAACCTCTGGAGCACCACATGGTGCTGGCACCAGCTCTGCCCCCGACTCCCTTCATCAACTCAGGCACCTCCCTTCACCTCTGTAAAGCTAGGTGGCTTGAACTCCATAATCTCTGACGACACCATCTGCCGAATCCACGGCAAGGACACACAGAACCAGAGAGGCTACTTCATTAAGCTGCAGTGTGCATTTACATCAAATCAACCATTCCATAGTAACAAGGCAATATGAGGCCATCTTTTTAAAATTCCATAGGAGAATTTAAGTAAATTGCTAGATCCTTCCAGTTTTTTCTGTGTGAATGATTTATCCCAGCTTCTAGGAATATGTGCAATATTATTCCACAGAGCACATCTTTCAGAATCTTGTTTCAGATTATTGTTACTTAAATAGTCCATTTCTCCTGAACAGCCCTTCAGGTAAGAGACATTCAATACTCATTAGAATCTCTACTCTCATGATGCATTGTATGATCTGAGAACCAACTTACATGGTACAAGTATAGACACATAACATCAAAGAAGATACACAATGGCCAAGATTCTGGTTTCATTAGTTACCAGGGAAATATAAATTAAACCACAATAAGATTCCATTACACACCCAGTAAAATGGCTGATAATGCCAAGCACCGATGAGGAAGTGAAGGAACTGGAACTCTCATACGTGGTTAGTGGAAATGAAAAATGATGCAGCCACTTTGGAAAATGGGATGGCAGCATTTGATAAAGTTAAACACACACTTAGCACACAACACGGCAATTGCACTCTCAGGTATTTCCCGAAGTCAAAATATAAAACGTGTCTACCTACACAAAGACTTGTAGTCAAATGTTCATAGAAGCTTTATCCATAATAGCCAAAAACTGGAAAGAACCCAAATGCCCATCACTTGGTGAACTGATAACAAGTAGTACCGCTTATCTTCAGGGAATACATTCCAAGACTCCCAGTGGATGCCTGAAACCAGACAGTACCAAATCCTGTATATACTGGGTTTTTTTTTTCTATACACACATACCTCTGATAAAGTTTAGTTTATAGGCCGGGGACGGTGGCTCAAACCTGTAATCCCAGCACTTTGGGAGGCTGAGGTGGGTAGATCACTTGGGGTCAGGAGTTCGAGACCAGCCTGACCAACATGGTAAAACCCCGTCTCTACTAAAAAAAAAAAAAAAAAAAAAAAAAATCCAAAAATTAGCTGGGGGTAGTGGTGCATGCCTGTAATCCCAGCTACTTGGGAGGCTGAGGCAGGAGAATTGCTTGAACCCGGGAGACAGAGGTTGCAATGAGCTGGGATGATGCCACTGCACTCCAGCCTAGGCAACAGAGTAAGACTCTGCCTCCAAAAAAAAAAAAAAAAGTTTAGTTTATAAATTAGGCACATTAATTAGGATTAACAACAATGACTAATAGAATAATTATAACAATATACTATATATATGCATACACACACACGTGTATATATATATATATATATTTTTTTTTTTTTTTTTTTTTTTTTTTTTGAGACAGTCTCCCTCTGTTCCCCAGGCTGGAGTGCAGTGCAGTGGTGCAATCTCTGCTCACTGCAGCCTCTGCCTCCTGGCTTCAAGCAATTCTCCTGCCTCAGCCTCCTGAGTAACTGGGACTACAGGAACGTGCCACCACGCCCGGCTAATTTTTGTATTTTTAGTAGAGACGGGGTTTCACTATATTGGCCAGGCTGGTCTCGAACTCCCAACCTTGTGATCCACCCACCTCGCCCTCCCAAAGTGCTGGGATTACAGACATGAGCCACCGTGCCCGGCCAACAATATACTGTAATAAAAGTTATGTGAATGTGGTCTCTTTCTCAAAATATCTCGTTGTATGTACTATTTTCGGACCTGGGATGACTTCAGGTAACTGAAACCTTGGAGAGTAAAATGCAGCTAAGGGGGAACTTACTCTGTATCCATACAACAGAACATTATTCAGCAATGCAAAGGAGTGGTCTAAAGATACATGTAACATTGTAATCTCCAGGGCACTAGGTCAAGCAAAAGCAATCATACACAAAAGGTTACATACCCTATCATTCCATTTATACGGAATTCTAAGAAAGGCAAAATTGTAAGGACAGAAAGCAGCGCAGAGATGACAGGAGGCAGGAATGGGGGAACCAACTGAAGAGGGGAGTTCTGCGTGACGGCACTCTGCTACGTTACATCTGTAGGGTGCTTAGACGATTTCACAAAACCCACTAAACTGCACATTTAAAACGTGAATTTTGGCCGGGCACAGTGGTTCATGCCTGTAATCCTAGCACTTTGGGAAGCCAACGCGGGCGGATCACCTGAGGTCAGGAGTTGGAGACCAGCCTGGCCAACATGGTGAATCTCTGTCTCTACTAAAAATACAAAAATTAGCCAGGTGTGGTGGCGGGCACCTGTAATCCCAGCTACTCAGGAGGCTGACGCACGAGAATCGCTTGAACCCAGGAAGCAGAGGTTGCAGTGAGCCAATATCGCGCCATTGCACTCCAGCCTGGGTGACAAGAGTGAAACTGTTTAAAAAAACAGAAACAAAAACAAAAACTGGTGAATTTTATTGTTTGCAGAGTAGACCTCAATTCAGCTGACTTTAAAAACTTTTTAAAAAACAACAAAAAACGACTTTCGTTTCTTTGTTGCCTCGGGATTGGCTTGGGCTTAGGGATGCACGGGCAGCTTTTGAGGGCTGCAGTGAACAACTAAATAGTCAAGATGCTTGGTGTAGGACCAGTGATTGGGCCCACGCACTATCTGCTTGTGTTCCTAAATTCTTTTTTTTTTTTTTTTTGAGACGGAGTCTCGCTTTGTCGCGAGGCTGGAGTGCAGTGGCGCGATCTCGGCTCACTGCAAGCTCCGCCTCCTGGGTTCATGCCATTCTCCTGCCTCAGCCTCCCGAGTAGCTGGGATTACAGGCGCCCGCCACCACGCCTGGCTAATTTTTTTGTATTTTTAGTAGAGACAGGGTTTCACCGTGTTAGCCAGGATGGTCTCGATCTCCTGACCTCGTGATCTGCCCGCCTCAACCTCCCTAAGTGCTGGGATTACAGGCGTGAGCCACTGCACCCGGCCGTGTTCCTAAATTCTTTAACTGTCTTCCGAAGGCTTTTTTTGGGGGGCGGGGGTGTTAGGGGAATAGGGTCTCACTTTGTCGCCCAGGCTGGAATGCAGTGGTGTGATCTCAGCACACTGCAACCTCCACCTCCTGGGTTTAAGCGATTCTCCTGCCGTAGCCTCCTGAGTAGCTGGGCGTGTGCCACCATGCCCAGCTAATTTTCTGTATTTTTAGTAAAGATGGGGTTTTGCTATGTTGCCCAGCCTGGTCTTGAACTCCTGGCCAAAAGTGATCCACCCATCTCGACCTCTCAAAGTGCTGGGATTACAGGCAAGAGCCACTGCGCACAGCCCCAAAGGCCTTATTTAAAATGACTCTTCCTACAGTCCCTGGTTCATCAATTACTCTCAGTTGTCATCTGCTCTTTGACCTTCAAGGCTGAGTGGCCTCACTCCAATGCAGTCCTAGCAGCTGGTGTCAGGCACGCCTGCCCTCCCTGGCCTGAGTGACCTCTCTCCAAGGCACCTCACAGTGTGTGTTAACGGCTTTTGTGACACGAAGGCTCTCCTTCCAGCATTTCCCAGAGGGAAGGTTTTGTACAGGCTAACACTCTAACACCTACTGGCCAGTACTTCCCAAGTACATCTGATTTATTTCAAATAACTGATGAACTAAATTCAATGAGCTACAGATGATAATTAAAAAAAAAAAATTAAGGAAAGAAAAAAAAAAGCAATGTGGGCACAGGCTTCTCATTCCTAAAGCTCCCTGTCAGTGGCCTCAGGCCCATCTCTGCTCCATCCATCACTGCCAGAAAACTCACATTCAGTCTTCCTTCCTGGCAGCTGTTCCTCACCCTCAGCCACAGCCACCTTCCCCTTGCGTCATTCCTGAAGGCATTCCATTTGCCACGCTGATGTCCTCCAGCCACTCCACTTCCTCATCACAAAACCGAAGGTCCCCAGGAAAGACCCCATGAATTCAACAAGGTGCGCCCCCCAGCTGCTCCCTTCCCCTTCTCCCAAGGGTCACTGAGTCCCCAACTCACCAGCTGGGATGGAGGGAAAAGGAAAGTCAGATGAGGTAATGCGTTTTAGTAAAGTGTAAAATGCACGTTATCTTTACTTATTAAGCATACAAAACCCACCCGACGGACATCAGGGATTAGCTGTTCTGCTTCGAGCTTCTCAATTTCTCCACATGCTTTGCGCCCAGACCCACTGAGCAGCCAGACTCAACCAGATTCCCCAGGTCTGGGCCCCCACAGGGAGGGCAGGTCCCCTAAGGCTGTTACACGTGAGTACCAAGCAGATGGAGCCCAGAAGATGGGAAGGAGTGGGACGAAGTCAAATGCCAGCCCCACCCTCACAACCTCAGTCCCCTTCTCTGTAAGACAAGTGACTAGAGGGAAAGCCACAGGGCCCACCTCTACTTGCGGACTAAACTCCTGATGTGACAACGCTCTGGCCACGTTCCTCCTTTCAAAATCTCCTTCGCGATCTGTTTACCAGCCCTCCACGCTCCACTCCCGTCCACTTATTCCCTGAAGAACCTGTGGGTTTCCACACCTCAGTGTGTTTTCTCACCTCTAATCTGTCTCCAATTCAAACTCTACAGACCTTTCAAGATCCACCCAAATGCCACCTCCTTGGTGAGCCTGCCCACTCCGGGTTCCCATCTTATCTCTGTAAGAAATTGACTTTCACCACGCCTCGTTTCATAGTTCACTGTTTTAAGTTCCCCGGGAGCAAGCCCCGAGTCTTGTCTATTTCTGTATTTCCACCATGGTGGGCTCAGCACTTTGCTCACAGATGGCCCATGGTGGCCTGTGCTGAATCACATCCCTAGGACCCCGCAGGTATAGCTTAATTCCACAAGGCAGATTAACAGGAAGACTGCAACATCTCAGGGGCTGAGACACCTCCGCTCCACCCTGGCTCTGATTCAGAGCTCCTGAGCTCCACAGCCTACTCCTGTTCCTCTCTGGGTGCTCACTGCTTTCTGCTTCCAACCTTGTCCGATAGTTACTTGTGGCCTCGGCTTAAATGAAAGAGCACACCACACTGCATTTGCCCTGGGGGCCGTGCAATGTGCCCTGTATCCTTTTGTACCCTCTGTGGAATGGGAAAACACTTTTACACCTCCCAAGGCTTAAGTGATTAAAGATCTGGGGTCCCAATTCCCACCCAAGGGCCACATGTCTGGCATCCTGCATCCCCACTCCCATCTTTAAAGTCATGCATGGCACCTGGGGCACCGCGAGAACTCCAGGAGCCCTAGGGACAGCTGTGTATTCACATGTCGTGTTCTTTCCCCTCTTTCCCTGGTGCCTAGGCAGGAAGTCTGTGGTTAAATACCATTTGCTGAATTATTAGTAATAATTACCATGTGTGTAACATTCCTTACAGTTTGTGGAGTTTTATCCAACAAATGTTACATGACCACTTTGTGTCAGGCAGCGTGTTAAATGCTAAAAATGATCCTGGCAGTTTCTGCCCCCAAGGAGATCATGGGTATTATTTTAGCTTTATGAAACCCTACAAAGCAATTGAGGTAGGTATTATTTTCCTCATGTTACAGATGATAAAACTGAAACTCAAGTGAGTAAGTAAATATTCCAAGTAAGAAAATGGAAAGAAGGGAAGAGTTGTATACCCAGATTTGACCCCAAGCCCTGCCTTCCTTCCACATGGCATGTAGCCTTTTGATGGGCAGGAGACGGTGGCCCAATGTTCCTACATACTTCTCACAGATCCTGAGCAGGACCAGCCCAAAACAAAAATCTGGAAGCCTAGCAGAGTGTTTTCAGGGTAGCCTCTCTCTAATCATGCCCCTCGGTCATCCTCTGCAGTATCCCCACACGGCCCTGCCCTCCTCTGGGGGTGGCAGTGCATGCAGCTCCCCCGCCAGCCCGGGCATGCCTGCCTGCAGCTCCAGGAGACCCGTGCCAGCAATCTCAGCCCAGCGCCCAGTCTCACTCAGGCTGTGAACTTTCTGTCCACACGACAGTGTGGGTGCTCCACCCTGCTAAGTCATGGCTATGCAGTCTATGTGATGGGTCAGCCTGGCATTTCCTTCCCAGGAATTATTCACAGGACATCAGCAATTCCTCCTACAGGGCAATCTTTGCAAGCTCCTAGGGGTTGTCTGGAGCAGGCATGGCGTCATGAGAGTCCCTCAAATTACTCCCCATCAGAGCAAAGAACAAGCCCAAGTGAGGGGCTCAAGTTCATCAGAATGAAACCCATTAGACACTACAATCATCAGAGAAATGAACATATATGGGGAAGGCATTGCTGTCCTCTCTAGAGACGTGAGGGCAGAATGGGGCAGACAGACAGGCCACGGGCAGGCTGAGCCACAGACAAAGTTCACTCCAAGTTCACTCCACATTCAAGGTGGAGTTTGAGGCTAAAGCTCGCAGCAGGAAGAACAAGACATGAGGCCATTGCTGTCTGACAGAGGAAAGAAACTGGAGCTAAGGAGGCCCCAAGAGGGCCAGCCTAGCTCCACCACAGACTGGCTGTGTGGCCTCAGCCACAAGACAGCCTCTCAGCCCCTACATGCCCAGCCCAGCCACAAAACATGCAATTTGTCCAGGAGAATGCTAAAATAAAATCTCCTCTAGACCTAAAATTCTAGCATCCTATGTATTCGGGTTGGGAGGAATTTACGCAAGTTAAAGGACAGCATTATTTTACACAAATTACCTCCTTCTGGATTTGGGGACATGGAGAGCTTCCATGACAGGTAGACACAGAGCCAGCCTCGTTGCCACCTAACACTGAGCTCACATCAGAGTCGACATCAGGAAGACTTCAGAGACACTAAAAAACTAGGTTCAGGGACAGGGTCCCTGGCCATAAAGAACTGCCATCTAATTGAAATATACAACCTACATGTCAAATGGTGTAAGGAAATTTACCAAATGGCTGGTAGATAGGAGTGAAAGTTACAAGCAGAGTAAACAGTAGAAGCAGTGAATTCCCATGCCCAGCCAGGGCCTGGGTATCTAAGACCTCACCGTCAGCGTCTTGCCTAGTTCTAGGTGTGTTTATTCTGAACACACCTCTGAGGTTTTACAGAGGAAGAAACCGAGACCCAAAACGCTGACTCTCACTGGGGTCAACTAGCAAGGAGGTGGCAGAATAAACAAGAGGCACACCCTGGACTGCGACTCCAAAGCCCGTGTTCTATCCTCTCTACGCTGGCATTTTCCCCATGCTTGAAAAATAAAGAGCTACACATACACTAATTACCCAGAAGAAAAAAAAAAATGACACCAAGATACCAAAGGGTTTTCTAAAAACCATCTTGGTTATAAAACAGATTTTGTATTTTCCTCTTTTATTAACAAATGCTGAATATAATTTGGCTTAAATACTCAGTATTGTTGGGAGCACCAAAGATTCCCACTCGGAACACAGGCCTGCGTGGCCTCCGTGGTTAGCGTGGGATGCAGAACTGCTGGCCACCACACTGATGGCCCTGCTCTGCTGAGTTCGTCTTCTGGGTCACCTGCCATCTCTTGCTGCTGTCAGCCGCCCCCCTTCCATCAGCCACCCCTTCTCCACCTAGCGTCTGTCCCAGACTCGAGGACAGCTGAGCTCCAAGGCCTTTTCTGTTGACTTCCAGTTCCTGGACATGTTCCAGATGGCAGAGGTTGCTAAAAGTCTGACCTCTGGATAAGTGGAGCATAATTATGCCTGAGAGCTGGGAGGATACATCATAAAGAGGTTATCAGTGTGGGGGGCAGAGGAGGAGAGCGGGAAATAGGGCCAAAAAGTGGCAGTTTCCTGGATCAGCTGAGTTTAGCAGCAGATTTTAAACCCGAGGCACATGAAGTTTAAAGACAGAGACTATCTAAGGATAGGAACTGTTAGCAAGTGCAAAAAATAACAGAAATAGCTTCTGCATTCACTGAACACCTACTCCGCGTCTGGCACCAGCCTAGGCGCTTTCTAAACGCTGTTTCACTTAATTAATGACTGAGTATCATTCCCAAATTTCAGAATGAGGAATCTGAGGACCAAAGACATCTGAGCTAGTGAGCAGCAGAGGTAGGATCTGAACCCTGGAACCCACTGCCCATCCACATGGCTGCCTTAAAAACCCTTCTATAATAACAGACGCAGCGAGCAAATCCACAGAAGCACTCAAATCAAAAAGCTAGACGATGGACCGAAAGCAGCGCATGAGGTAATAAGGTCCATGAGGGCAATATCCTATTAGGCAGGCAAATTGCTAAACTGATTCGCCTCGTGCAAATGAGGACCGGGGACCGTCTGGGACTCCCTAGGCATCTGCGGACTGGGAGCAGTTCCAAGACAGCAGCCTCTGGTGAAGGGCAAGTCAGTCTCCTTAATTGAGGAGCGAAGAGTTCATCCTCATTAGGATTTCCAGCTGCTGCCACCCCAATACCAGATCCATGCAGCTTGTGCCGTCAAAACTCACGAGCAGACAGACTGCTGTCAGGAAGAAGACCTTTCTCCTCAATTAAAAATATTACTGGACAGGCTGGCCACAGTGGCTCACACCTATAATCCCAGCATTTTAGAGGCTAAGGCAGGCAGACTGCATGAGCCCAGGAGTTCAAGGCCATCCTGGACAACACAGACCCCATCTCTACAAAAACATTAAAAAATCAGCTGGGTGTGGTAGTATATACCGTGGCCCCAGCTACATGGGAGGCTGAAGTAGGAGGATAGCTTGAGTCCAGGAGGTCAAGGCTGCAGTGAGCCAAGATCATGCCACTGCACTCCAGCCTGATGATGGAGCAAGACTCTGTCTCAAACAAAACAAAAAACCTGGACAATTTCTCCACATGCAGCAGTACACAGGCTTGTGTAGAAGCCAGGAGTATCCCAGGAATGAGCCTCTCCCACATCGAGCCACAATGGATTAAACCATTTAGATGTGACAAGAAAGATCAAGAGCATTAAGGAAAAAAGGAAAGAAAGTTGTAGTAAAGATGACTAAATTGAAGACCTCTCACGGTTCTCTTTATTCTGAATGCAGGATGCAACTTTATGCACAGGTGAATGATTACAATTTTCACACAGGTGGGGCTGGGCGTGGTGGCTCATGCCTGTAATCCTGGCATGGGAGGCCAAGGCTGATTGTTTGAGCCCAGGAGTTCAAAACCAGTCTGGGCAATATGGTGATACTCCGTCTCTACAAAAAATTGTTTTAAAAAATTAGCCAGGCATGTTAGCGCACACCTGTAGCTCCAGCTACTTGGGAGAACAAGGCAGGAGGATCACTGAGTCCAGGAGGTCGAGGCTGCAGTGGGCCATGATCTGCACTCCAGTCTAGGTAACAGAGCAAGACCCTGTCTGTAAAAAATTTAAAAATAAAATAAAATTTTCACACTAGTTTGCTCAGTGTAATAAGTGGTTACTGAGAAGTCAGGTGAAATGAAAAGTTGGTTCCGTCCACCTGTTTTAAATGTCTAAGGAGTACGGGTTTGGAGAAACCATACAGAGAATCCCCATTCATTTTTTCACTCAAATGTAAAGAGTTGCCTGAAGTCAAGCAGCTGATCAGGGATAAAGCCAACACTCCCAAACCAGGGCTCCTGCCAGTCAACACAGAGCTCCTTCCCCCAACGGGGTCACACCACCCTCCTGTCCTTTTCACAGAACCTTCTAAACTTAGATAGCCATCCCCATCGTATGCTTGTTTTTAAGGTTTTAATTATTATATAATCAAATGTGGGGCTCACTCCTCTTGCATCCAAGCCCCACAACAACAATAACAAACTATTTATTGAGAACAAGTTCTGTCCCAGGCACTGCTCTGGGCACTGGGGATCTGGTGGCGAAGAAAACAAAGGCTCTGTCCCCCAGGAGCATCCATGACACTCTAGTGGAGGCAGACGACGAACCGACTAATGCATGGCACACAGCGTCAGACTGCAGAGACGGGAGGAAGGAAAGCAAGCAGAATCCTGCAAGCGCCCCCAGGCCCAGATTTCTGTGTGCTCTGTTCACAAACGCAGCACCAGCACCCAGTAGGTATTTTCTGACTGAAGAAACAAAGAGAAAGAGTGGTGCTCTTTTAGATTCAGAAGTCAGGAAGATGTATAGTGATATTCGAGCAACACACACCAAAAAGACTCAGAAACTAAGTGTAGGTTACAGAAGGTAACGTCATCACTTTGAGAAATGACCAACAGTAAATGTATGACTAATCTTTTAGGGTTTGTTTTTATAGAACCCTCCACACCTAGCACAGTGAATGCCCCCAAGTAAGCACAGAGCCGAAGAAGTGGCCAGGCAGGCTGGCTCCGTGTCAGGCAGCCCCCACCCACCCCAGGTGTCTCCAGAGCCCATTCAAATGCAACAGCCACGGCAGCAACACACTGGCACTGACAATTCGATAGTCACACCAACACCCTCCTCAACAAAGCCATTGCTAGCTGTGGTTCTCAAACCAGAAGCTCCTGTGTGGGAGGAGCCCAGCTCTCTGCATCCAAAATCAAGCTACAAGTTCCTGGAATCTCTATTAATAACAATATTATTCTTACCGCAGTCCTACAAAGTGGGTATCAAAGTGACTTGCCCAAGGCCACACTACCAGTAAGAGGTAAAAGTTCACAACCAAACCTAGGCCTGCATGATTCAGACTTTTACCTTTTATATGACGGGAGGACTTCAAGTAGTGCTGGCTAAAAGCAACTGAGCTCACACACCATCGTGTCACCCTGTCAAATAAGCAATTATTCTCCGCAGAAAGGCTAAGTAACTAAGTTTTCTTAGACTCAAATCATAAAAACCATAAAACCATGATTTTTATGATGCCTCAGAAAGGATCTAATGAAAAGGGTTTGCCTTCACATCATGTATTCTCATATACTGTAAATAAATCCACATTAAATCCATCTCCTGTTCTTCCTACAAACACTTCTGGGTACCTGGGAAGGTGCTCAGGGAAGAGTCCCTAAGTGTCACTGGCACTGGGCTGCAATGGTAGTAAAAGCCCAGGTTAGTGATTCTGTCCTTCAGTCCAGTAAGTGCCAGGCCACTGAGGCACAGGAGCTTAATGCGAAGTGCTTCTGAACTAAGTTTGGTATTTAAGTTTGTGTCAAGCTCTTCCCGTGGACATTAACTGTGTCGCACACTCTGTGCTAGGAGCTACGCATGTGTTCTCATCAAGGGTTCTCTGTTCTGTTCACACCGTGAAACTCAAAAACTTCTTTCAGGGTTTTACAGAATCCACTTTGCTTAGATTAACATCCACTTAATCTTCCAAAGACAAGCATTTTAACTTATTCCTAATCTCAGTGTACCTTGCTAAGGTACTGTATGGTGGAAAGTCTGAACATATTCAAATTCTTTTTATTGTTGTTGTTTTGAGACAGGGTCTCACTCTGTCACATAGGCTGGAGTGCAGTGGCGCGATCTTGGCTCACTGCAACCTCCACCTCCCGGGTTCAAGTGATTATTTCACCTCAGCCTCCCCAGTAGCTCAGACCACAGGTGCGTGCCACCAAATTTTTGTGGGGTTTTTTTGGTAGAGAAGGGGTTTCACCATGTTGCCCAGACTGGTCTCCCAAAGTGCTAGGATTATAGGCCGCCCACCTCGGCCTCCCAAAGTGCTGGGATTATCGTTATGAGCCAACGTGCCCAGCTGATATTCAAATTATTTTAATGATGAGTTTATATACATATCATGTTCCCACTAATTCCCAAAAGAAAACTTCATATACATATTTCATAAAAACTAACACACACACAGCACATTTATTCTGGGGAGGGAACAAAAATTGCTGGCTATTTTTACTACACTATTTCCTAATTACTTATATCGGTCCCTCACAACTAAACTGTGAGTCCTGGAAGGCCCATATTTAGAATCCTCAGCAACTAGCATAGTAAATAAGCAAAGTGCTACTGAATAAATGAGCAGATGAATGAGTGACTACGTACCAGAATGCCCTGGTTATACATGCATTCTGCCTCAACTTAATCTAGGTAAGATAAAACAAGCTTCTGTAAGTGGAAACGCTATCTCATTCTCCAATCTCCCTGCAAATACAGTTATATCTTTGGTTTCCACCAAACTAGACCTAGGAAGTATTTTAATACAATTCATCTGCCTGACGTACAGAAAGCAGATATTGTAAGCAAAGTTGTATTTTAACAGTTACTTCTCTGACTCAGTCACATTTTCCGTCTGAGTTCCTAAACAACAGTGATTGTAATCTATGGACAAAAATGCACATTATAAAAAAAATCTTTAGGCCGGGCACGGTGGCTCATGCCTGTAATCCCAGCACTTTGCGAGGCCGAGGTGGGTGGATCACGAGGTCAGGAGATCGAGACCATCCTGGCTAACACAGTGAAACCCCATCTCTACTAAAAATACAAAAAATTAGCTGGGCGTGGTGGCGGGTGCCTGTAGTCCCAGCTACTTGGGAGGCTGAGGCAGGAGAATGGCGTGAACCCGGGAGGCGGAGCTTGCAGTGAGCTGAGGTTGTGCCACTGCACTCCAGCCTGGGCGACAGAGCAAGACTCCGTCTCAAAAAAACAAAACAAAACAAAACAAAAAATCTTCAAGGCTCACTAGGGCAAAACATTCCTGTTCTTGGAAAGTGAAGTACACATCTTTGTTAATCCGTATGCTTCTTCTCCCGATAATACTTAAAGCCATCATGCAGGGTAGGCCAAAATAAAGAAAGCACACAACGCTGCTTATGCCTCTTTTTTTGAGCAAAAATTTGTTGTTACTGGGCCTCAGTTATATCAAAGCAGGAGCTAATGTGCACCAATGTCTTACACCCAATGGTCTGAACACGTGTAATAGTCTCACCTGACAATCATCGGACAATCAAAACCTACTTCCCCAGCATCATGCTTCCCCAGACGGCAATTTTCCTCCATAAAGGAGGTGAGAAAAGAAAGAAAAGTTGGAACAGTAAAGGAAACAGAAAAAATGGGATAAAATGATGATCAGCTGAGGATTCTCTCCTTGAATCCATCCTGAGGAAGCAAAGGCCTCTGGACTGCGTTCCTTTGAAAGGTGATCCCGCGACCAGCTATCAGCCCCAGCAGTTTCAGGATGAAGACTCAGGGAACAGAGCCCACACACCGCCCAATACAAGATGTCAACTTCAAGCCAGGCTGAGGGCACCGCAAGTGCCCATCCCTGTCAAGCTAGACACAGCAGCTAGAGTATGGTACTGGGTCTATCACAGTTTGTAGCATCCAATTCCTCTAGGTGTGACCCTACCAGAAGAAAAGGCTTCTAGAAGCAGATCACTAGAGGTTACAGTGAAACCTTAGTGCACTTATTCAACAAACATTTACCAAGCACCACCAGTGTGCTGGCACAAGGCTAGGTGATGGAAGAGCTCCTGACAGTGTCAGCAAGGAACTGAATCTGCACTTCCCATGGACCAGGTCAGATCTCTATCTGTAAACCGCCAAAGCATGCGCCCCTAAGATCACGGTCCAAAGAATGCCTACCATCACTGTCTGGCCAAATAAAAAAAAAGTTTCATTCCAGCACAGAGCACAGACCTCCCCCCTCTCTTCCAAGATAGCAAACACAACGAACGCCTGTGAGGTACATGTTATGCCTTCTCCTCCTTGCTTCACATGAGGAAACTAGTGCTCGAAGAAGCTAACCAACTTGCCCAGAAGTACAGTTACCAAGTAGTAAAACCAGGTGTGAAATTCACATGTGTCCGCCTGATAACAAAGTTCTTAATCTGTCTAACATGCTCCCCTAAACTTATTGGGACCCTAACATGTGCAACCATGTAATCCTCCACCTGCCAGGTCCTGAGTTCTCTTCTCACTTATTAGATTCAACCTTTCAGGTCCAGATCAAAATGCCATCCCTTTCCTTCTCCTCGCTTTCCTTGACTTAGCACAGTGTCTGGCATATACTCACTAATGTTGGAGGAGTTGAAAATATACATATCCACAATAGGAAAATTACAGTACATATCTTTGGTGAGGCATGAACATTTACTTAAAGCAATTAGTTTTTTGTTGTTGTTTGAGCCTGGTTTGAGACTCCAGGCTGGAGTGCAGTGGTGCGATCACGGCGCCACCATGCCTGGGTAAAAGATGGGGTTTCGCCATGTTTCCCAGGCTGGTCTCGAACTCCTGGGCTCAAGTGATCCTCCTGCTTCTTTGGCCTCCCAGTGTGCTGGGATTATAGGCATGAGCCACCACACCCAGCCAGTTTGATTTTCATGTATGTATGTACATCCCCAACCCTGATATGGATAAGGAACTCATAATCGCACCAGTTTAGCATGCAAAGTGGTAATAGGACAATGACTTCCCAGAAAACCTCTCACCAAAAACTATCAGGAAAACAAAGAATTAATGTTCTACATGCACAACAGTTCAACCAAAATTCTGCAGCATTACTTAATACTGACAAAATATCTTCCAGCACACATGCTAAATTAAGAAAGATTGTATCCTAAAAGATAAATATGTGAGCTAATAATATTTCATCTTAGAATGTGTTTTTGGACTCATCCAGATACAGTACTACCCTCTTATCCACAGTTTCATTTTCCACAGTTTCCACTAACCACAGTCCAAAAATATTCCACAGAAAAGTCCAGAAATAAGCAATTCATAACTTTTAAATTGCTTGCTGTTCTATGTCAAGAGATGAAATCTCACACCGTCCTGCCTCCCACGCGGGACGTGACTCCTCCCTTTGTCTGGCAGAACCACAAGGTCCATGCTACCTGCCCATGAGTCACCTAGTAGCTGCCTAGGTTATGAGATGATTGTCCCAGTATTGCAGAGCCTGTGTTCAAGTAACCCTTATTTTTTACATAATAATGGTCCCAGAGCACAAGAACCCTAGATGCTGGTAATGCAGATATGCCAAGGAGAAATCATACAGCACTTCCTTTAAGTAAAAAGATGAAACTCCTTGACTTAAGGAAAAATTCCTATGCTGAGGTTGCTAAGATCTAAGGGAAAAGTGGGTCTTCTATTCATGAAATGGTAAAGAAGAAAAAAATAAACTCATGCTAGCTTTGCCTTCACATCTCAAACTGCAAAAGCTACGGCCGTGGTGCGTGGCAAGTGCTTAGTTATGATGGAAAAATCATTAACTTTTGGGAGGGGCTGGGCACGGTGGCTCACACCTGAAACCTCAGCACTCTGGGAGGCCAAGGCAGGTGAATCGCTCCAGTCCAGGAGTTTGAGACCAGCCTGGGAAACATGGAGAAACCCCATCTCTACAAAAAATTAGCTTGGCATGGTGGTGCATGCCTGTGATCCCAGCTACCGGGGAGGTGGATGTGGGAGGATCACCTGGGCCCAGGAAATGGTGGCTGCAGTGAGCCGTGATGGCGCCACTGCACTCCAGCCTGGGTGACAGAGTGAGACCCTGTCTCAAATAAAAAAAAAAAAAAAAAAAAAATTATGGGAGGAAGACATGACATGAACAGAGACATGTCGTGATTGAAGGCAAACTAGTTCAATATTAGCTGGCTGCAGGCATCCACCGAGGGTCTTGGAACATACCCCCCAGGGATAATGGGGCTTCAGTATTTAGATAAGTCTGTGAAGATCAACTGTGAAAATCTTATCTACATTGCTCTAAGAAGTTGACTAGTTTTTTCACCCTGACTTAATTTCTTTCCATAAACCACCCCAAAAGTAGCAGGACAGGGAAAAGAATTCAACTTAGAAACAGAAGACCTCCTTCTTACCAGCTACAAGGCCTTGGGAAAGTCACTTAAACATGACAAAAACTCATCTCTACAAAAAAATTACTGGGGCATGGTGGTGTGCACCTGGAGTCCAAGCTACTCAAGAGGCTGAGGTGGGTGGATCACTTGAGCCCAGAAAGGCCAAGGCTGCAGTGAGCCGTGACCACTCCACTGACCAGCCTGGGCGACACAGTGAGGCCTCATCTAAAACAAAAAAAAAAAGATGCTGCCATTACAGTGGTTTCAACAACAACGACAACAACAAAAAACAATGGTTTTGTGCCCCTTAGATGGGTCCAAATGGCCGGCACATAAATGGTGCTCGGTTAATATTAGGGGAAATGGGACTCATTTCTCTTACCTTCCAAGAAGCTGGACCTCAATTTTCTCATTCATAAAATAAAGAAAATGGTACCTACACCTATGGGTTATAAGAAGTAATGAGTTCAGGCTACAGAAGAGTTTGTTATTATCTCCCCCCACCACCACCCCTCCATCACCACACACATGATTTCATTCTACCCAAAATATAATGAAAGAGTAAAAAGGTCAACAATCATAATTAAACAAATCAGCCCCACAGGAGTGACTACACAGCCTAGCTGCTGTCAATAACTGAATGTACTATATCCTTATGAAGTGCAGAACAGCTAATCCTCAAATCCCAACATGATGACACCAAATCTGTGCTTACCCCACACATAAGGCTTCCACACCAAAGAGTAGTTGCAGTGTTAAAAATGTAATTCACCACACTAACAAGCTAAAAAAGGGAAACCATATGGTCATCTCAGTCAGTGCGGAAAAAGCATCTGATGAAATTAAACACCCATTCATGACAAAAAAACCAGCAAACTAGGAACAGAAGGCAACCCACTAACAGGCAGCTACAAAGCGCTTGCTGCTAACGCCACGGGACAGAGAGGGGCTGGGAGGGATGGGCAGGAGGCCACTCTTTCTCTACCCCTCCAGGCTGCGGGAGGCCCAGGGAACACAGTACAGCAAGAGAAAGCAGGAGCAGGCAAACAGATCAGGAAGGAAGGAGGCAAACAGCGTTCACAGAAGACAAAATCATCTATGTAGAAATGCCAGGCAATCTACAAAAAAGCCACCAGAACCACCAAGTCAGTCAGGTTAGCAAGAGGGAAGCTTTCGGGGTGTTTTAGGTCATAATGGTGGGGATTACACAACTGTACATTTGTAAGATTCATCAAAGTGTACTCTTAGGGTAAATTTCATTGTATGTAAATTATGCCACCAAAAAAAAACTGGCCAAAAAGGGAAACAAACACCTTATTACTCCTGAACTCACAGGCTGTTGCCTCAGCCTCTCCTCCCCATGCAAACAAAACACTGTACTTAAACCAGTGCTATGGTTTTCCATCTCCAGGGAGACCTGTACACCAGAAAAGACCCTTGAGAAAGACATTTCCAGTAAGACAAGGGATGGAGCAGCCCCCATGGGAAGGTGGATGAAAGTGATCTGGATTCTGCACAGGCTGGTAAGACAATGCTTTTTCAAGCGGATGTGGCTGTAGCTCAGCAAAGCTGTGGACAATTTGTTTACAAAAGCCTGGAGTATTGTCAAATATCAAGCGGTTCCCCTAAGTCCAGCTCTCTGGTGTTACAGATGGGGAAACTGAGGCTCCAGAAAGAGGAACTAAGTTGCCCAAGATATAACATAAGAGTGTCTACCAAAGACTAGAGGAGCTGAGGTTTTAAAAACAGAACAAATACAAGGAACCAGCATACAATCTAAACCTGTCATCTGTGTGCACCATCAATAAGCTCATCCGTGTGAAGATCAGTAGGTAGCGGGTCAGCTAACAGTGTTAGTAAGTGCTCACCCTAAATTCAAACCCCAGCAGTCGGAGGCCAGAGCCATGGCTCCTCCCACACACTGACCACCTCCCTGTGGAAGAGGGAAACCCCAGTCCACACATGTGAGACACGCCAGCCCACGGATCCACACACTGGAGCCACAGGTCAGACACAGAATGCCACTCACCTCTAACATCTTTACCTCACCTCAGGGCTCTTCTGAATTGGGACAGAGATCATACTCTCAAAATCATGGGAAGAGATGGGATCATCTCACTGGTTTTCCTCAAGACAACTGCTCTGCAAATCAAAAGAAGAAACATGGGCACCTACTGTATACAATGTACTCCACCAGGTGAGCAAGAAAAGACTCAGTCTCCTGGTCGCTCAGAATCTAGCCTTCAACCAGAGCAGGCCAGGCACGGTGGCTCATGCCTGTAATCCCAGCACTTTGAGGGGCCGAGGCAGGAGGATCTCTTGAGCCCAGGAGTTTGAGACCAGCCTGGGCAACATACTGAGACCCTCATCTCTACAAAAAATAAAAATAAAAGTAATTAGCCAGGCATGGTGGCATGTACCTGTAGTCCCAGCTACTTGGGAGGCTAAGATGGGAAGATTGCTGGAGCCTAGGAGGTCGAGGCTGCAGCGAGCTGAGATCATGCCACTGCATCCCAGCCTGGGCAACAAAGCAAGAATCTGTCAAAAAAAAAAAAAAAAAGACCAAAAGACCCAGTGGGTGCTTCCTAAATTTCAGAAAATAGGCAGAACCATCTTAATCTTTTCAAAGGTATCAATTATGTTTTCATCTAAAAGTCACAATGTAAATGAGAAATGTCCTAATCCAGCCTCAGGAGTTGAGGCCCTGTTAAACTTTTCCATTTTCACTTTTTGAAAAGCAAAAGTCAGAAAGCAACATTAACCATCAAAATGTGTACAAAACAGGGCTTTTTTTTTTAACTCTCTTTTTTTAAAAAAGCTTCCACTCACTCAAGCCAGAAACCAGTGTTTTCCTGGATTCCCAGCCCGCACAGCCAAGAGGTCAGAGACTTGTCCCTCTTGCCTATTTCTCCAAGCTGTTCCTGCCTTCCCCTCCCCTTGGCCATGGCCTCAACTTGGACCTCGTCCTGCCTTCACTAGCCCCTGCCTGGTCCGCCTGCCCGTCTCCGTACCCCAGCCCTGCCTGGTACCCACACCAGCCTCGGGGGGGATCTTTCTGACACTCAGATATTGCCCTGTCCTTGTCCCATTCACTCAAAAAAGAAACCTGAAGTAGACAACACACAGCACCTTTGCTCCAACACAGGAAAGGAGAAAGAGAAAGAAAAGCAAGAAAAAAAAAATTTAACTGTGCTGACAAATAATTATAGTTCCAAATTTAAAGGCAGGATCTTTAAAAAACAAAAAAGTAAAATGCACTGTCTGTGTCTCTCATACATACACACAACCACCTACACATACATACATACAATAACAGATAACAGTTGCTTTTAATTTTTTAAATTTTATCAAGTTTTTATTTCCCTTTGCCTCTCCGGTAAAAAATCCTCTTTAGACATTAAGAATGTTTATACAGACAATTATAAAACTAAATTAAGTTCAAGCTCTTTACATCAGTACAGAGACAATTTTAATTTTATTAATCTTCATAAAAGTAAGATATCAAAATATACACCCTAAAAAGTTCATCTGGCATACTGCACAACACAGGTTAAAAAACAGAAAAAAATAATACAGGCAAGGATAAGAATATGTCAGGAATATAAGAGGATCAGCATTTCAATCTAACTCTTTGAAGATGTCGACGAACTTAATATATTCAAGTGGCCCGAAATGATCTTTACTTCGTGGCACTTGATTACCTACAAGCCTCTGCTTATGAAACATCCAGGTCAACTTCATACTGCAAAACTTACAGAGAGACTCAGGCCCACCAAGAGCAGGAAACAGGGGCCCCAAAGCAGTCCAGGTGCCAAGGACATCCCTTTGTCCCTCCCTGACCGGCCCTCCAAGTCCACCATCACCTGAAGCCTTTTGACCCAGCGTTTCTCAACATCAGGCCCGGACACACTTGGGACAAGGTACTTCTTTGTGGTGGGTGCAGTCCTGGGCACTGTGGGATGTGTAGTAGCATCCTGGCCTCCACCCACCAGATGCCACCAGCACCCCAGTCCCCAGTCCTGGCAGATCAAACATGACTCCGGACCTTGCCAGAAGTCCCCTGGGAGGCTAAACTGCCAGGTGGAGCAGCTCCATCTGCCTAAGCCCACTGCCCTTGCCATTCATGGGAAGGCATTGCCGGCTGCATCCACCAACCAAGTTCTCCGAGTTCTACCCTCAGGGTTCAGACATCTAAAACAACAGCAGCCTGACCACTTCTTACATGTTCCCATCACAGCTGCCAGGCCATGCGGCTCACTCTGCCCTACCCAGCCCGACACCTCAGCTGTCAGCCACTCCTGGCCCCGAGACGTGGTCTGAACTCCCCTGCCTCCCGCACGCTACCACAGCAGCTCACGTGCCCCAGCTCCAGTTCTCCCTCCTCCATTTCTCTTTACTTCACTCCCTTCACTCCCTAATGTACTGGGCTTTCCAATCAGCCCACCAAGGAGCCTCCGGCCATACAAGACAGAACTGCTGCAGGATGATTTACACATCCGGCCTCTGCTGGAATGAACAACATCTGAACTCTGCGAGTGAAATAACAGCAAGCCATGAGGAAAATCAGAGCCCTGGAAAGGGAAGGGCTGGGGTGCCACCCACCAGGGCTGGGTCCTGAGAGGCAAGGCTGCCTTGGCTACCTCTTAAAAAGAAAACAACTCTGCCCGGGGCAGCTGGCACAAGCTCCATCCCTGCCACACTGGTGCACAGGACGACCAGCCATCTGTGTGGTCCAAAAGGTCATCTAACTCATCAGGTTCAAAACTACAGGCCCCATCTCTAACTCGATTAATTCTACCATTAGTCACTCTGTAGCCACACACAGATCCCCGCCTACAACAGGACAGGAAAAGCTCCAGTTGGCATATGTCGGGCGGGGACAGTGAAACACGGCACTTGGAGAAATTCAGCTCGTCTGGAGACACAGGTGAGAGGCAGAGCAAGCAGAAGGCTGGGCCGTCTACTCCTTGCACCAGTCATCATTAGGAGTCAACTCCATGCCATTCTCAAATTCCTCTCTTATCACTTCCCCAAACAGGATGTGTTCAATTGGTGAGTCATGAAAAATAGGGTATTTCTAGAAATCCACTGGAAGGAAGGTGTGGGAGAACATTTCTAAAGAGTGAGAACAAAGAGACAATATGCAAAGCCACTGAAGCATTCGCAAGGCCGGAAGTGGGCTCCAGGCTGGGCCCCTGTGCATCGGCCCCAGAGTGGCTGACCAGACTTTATTCCACCTGCCCCCAGCTCAATTCAACAGTCCAACCAACTGAACCCTGAGTAAATCCATCTTCCTTCACCTTGGCTCTACCTACTCATTTTAACTGATTAGAAACAGCCCAGCTTCTGGATCCACACAATGGGGATAGTGCCCACTTCCCCAGGTGGCTGTGAAGTCCCAGATGTCCCATCTGTCCCCTCCCTGGTCTTTCATGACAATGTCCCAGCTGCCCCAGCAGGAAGTGATCTCTCCCTGCTTCTGAGCTCCTCCTATTATCAAGGCCCCTGCAAGGCCACGCGCCGCCATTACCTTGTTCTGGTGCAATCTGTGTGCTGTCTCCTCTCCCTCCACTAGCCAGAGCCCCAGCCATGCGACAGGCTCTGGCTAAATGTTCTCCCCGGGTTTTCTCACTGAATTCTCACACCAGCCTGTCTCTAGGCAGTCTGGTTATTGCTGCCTCCCATTTTACAGTTTAGGAAGCTCAAGCTTAGGAAGCTGAGAGGCAGCACAAATAGCGTCAAGAAGAAAAATGAACTCGAGCCAGAGTGCCCAGGCTTTGTGACTTCTCTGCTCAGTGACCCAGGGAACATTGCTTCACCTCTGTGAACCACTCCCCTCTTCCTTTTTTTTTTTTTTTTTTTTTGAGACATAGCTTCGCTCTGTCACCCAGGCTGGAGTGCAGTGGTGCGATCTTGACTCACTGCAACCTCCGCCTCCCGGGTTCAAGCAATTCTCATGCCTCAGCCTCCCGAGTAGCTGGGATTACAGGTGCCTGTCACCACGACCAGCTAATTTTTATATTTTTAGTAAAGATGGGGTTTCACCGTGTTGGCCAAGCTGGTCTCAAACTCCTGACCTCAGGTGATCCACCCACCCCAGCCTCCCAAAGTGCTGGGATTACAGGCGTGAGCCACCATGCCCAGCCCACTCCCCTCTTCTTTAAACATGGGGATGATGACAGTACCTAGCCACAGGGTTGTTGTAAGGATTAAATCCATTTAACATGTGTTAAGCACTTACTGCCTGGCACACAGTAAGTGCAATATAAGTGTTTGTTAAACACAAATGAGTAAATGAGCATATTTGCCCATGGCCACACAGGTATCAATTAGCAAAACCTATATCTGAGTCCAGGTCCAGCTGGCTTCAAAGCAGATGCTCTAATCACTACATAGGCTAAGCTATAACGAGAGGTCCTGAAGGGAATGAACCATTTCTTATCCATCTCTGCATTTCCTGCAAAGTGTATTGGTCCCAAGCCACCATACAACTTTTGTAAGTGTTACTTAAAAAGTAAAATCTGAAGAATTTACAAAAAGCTTTCTCTGAAAAGAGATTATAAAACACTAAAGAACTACCAGAGCCCATAAAGGAAAATAGCACAAAAAGCATAAAGGCCTCTCATCAAGGTAACCTTCTCATCTGGACCTTCCATTCTGAGGATGTTTATTCTGGAGACCTCAACATAGTACGGCTTCGCAATTCCTTCACTATCTGATAGACTCTTCAAAGTCCCGGCATAATACCAGCCTTCATTATAATTGTCACACAGACATCGATCACTATCACCAAAGCAACCACCAGGGTTAACCTCCCAGCCCTCCTGGACAGTAATTAGATGACTCAAACTGTCTCAAAGCCGTATCTCTGTATCTCTCTACCACAAAACTACTTTGGTCCCACTGAGCAAAAAAAACACAGAGCACAGACTGGCAGCATTCTCCATTCCTAAGAGGCAGCAATTTGGAAATAATAAAGGAAATCCTTGGATTCCTGCTGGCAATAGATACAGAACAAAACTGCAGCTGGGAACACGTCTAACGTGGAATTCCTTCTTCCAGAAGGGCAAGGCAGCCCCTCTGTACAAGGGCACAAACATATTTTTACTTTTTTAAGGATTTACACTCACTAATTCAACTTTCGAACCATTACCCTCTAAGAATCAAGTCCCCATGGCCAGAGAAACAAGCTTTCTATGAACCAATGACACCAGAGCTCCGGCAACAGCATGTCTCACTCCCTGCAATCTAAGCTGTAGTTGCCTGTCAGTTTTATTCATTCAACAAACACATATTAAACATATATGATGTGTCCAGTGCAATTCTGGGTGCTGAGGATGCATCACTAAGTAAGAGTCAAAAATCCCTGCCCCCAGGAAGCTTATGATCTAATGGGGAGAAGGGGAGATAGAAAATAAATTAAAAATATGACAAGTTATGTGCTAAGTGAGGTGGTTAAACAAATCAGACAAGTTCTCTGCACTTCCAAGATCATAGTTTGTCAAAGACAGACAGTAAATAACAGATACAGACAGTATAATGTGGACAGTCAGCTGCGAAAGGGGTACGGGGGCACAAAGCCAGCAGAGGAGGGCCCTCTAATGTGGCCTCCAAGGAAGGGGCACTGGGCTGAACTTCACAGAACAGGCAGGGAGATACGAAGAGCAGGGCGACTCTACAAACAGAGGGACCACCTGTGTAAAAGGATCGGGCGCAGGGCAGTGAGGCGTGTTGACACAGAGGACAGGCATGGATGAGATGGGGTGGGAGGGAGGCAGGGGCCAGGTCAACAAAGGAGAAGGACCCAGAGTCTGGTTACTTTCCAAAAGGTCAGGGAAGCCACCAACGTGTCTTCAGCTGAGAAGCTAAAGAGCAAATCTTTAAGACAATCACCATGACCTCAGTGGGAGCAGAGGCTGTTGAATGCTCTGGCTGACAAATGACAGGGGCACCCACTGCAGCTGGAGGAATGGAGAGAAGGGGCCAGATCAAGAGAGATGGAAGCAGGAGCTTCACTCACAGGACAAGATGGGCAACTGGAGCAAGCCAGGCAGACTTATGGTTGCCACTTCCCAAAGTGTCCGCTGGGTCAAGTGGGTGGGAGGGGCACAGCCCAGCTCTCAGTCCTCACCTGCTGCAGGGAAGGGCCAGGCTGCCAGGTGACAGAGCTAAAACCTCAAGGATGGCATGCGAGACGGCACAGAGAGGAGAGTCTCCAAAGGAAGGCATGGCACAAGGGCTCCAACTAGCAGAAGGACCATGGGAACACAGCATGCAGATGCCAGGGACACCCAAGGGCCAGGCAGACAGACAGGCCCGCTGCTGTGCAGGAGTCTATGAGCAAGAACAGGGCCCTCTGACAGGAGGAAGAACAGGCAGGCGCAGGCTAGGGGTGTGGCGGCACCCGGGCATCTCAATGGGCATGCACACACAACAGAGCTGGCCTCCGGGAGGTGGCAGCTATGTAACATGACCAGCGACTGCTCACTGGCATCTCAGCGAACGGGTAGCAGGTACCGAGTCATGACGCAAACCCAAGTCTGTCAAAGCCCAGGCTGTTGCCTCCATACCAGATGCTAAAACTGGGTCTTAAAGTTAGATGTGACCTGACTTAAGCCCTAGAGCAAGTTCCTCCTGGCTGAGGTCAGAGGCAAGCTTGGCTGGGGAGAGGAAGAGGGCAGAGCCTGAAAACCTGGTGAGGAGTCAAGGAAACTGTCACCTGCTCCCTGGAGGTGACAAGGTCCTGGCTACAGGAGGGAGTGAAGGGAAAGGATTCACCCCAGCAAACCCTTCCAGCAGAGAGAAACACCCAGCCACTGCCTTTCCCCCATCCATCCTGCTGGCAGGAAGCACAAATTCCTCTTGCCCAGGCTGGCATAAGAAGAAAAAGGAAGGAAGTGGCCTGGGGAAAGTGACCGACATAGAACCGCAAAGCAGCCGAGCCTGGGCAGCATCTCCCCGCCAGAAACAGGCAGGGGTTTGTGCTGCCAGGAAGCAAGAAGCTGGACTGTGCCCTGCCATGGAACCAGCCCAGGGCCTCCCTCACACACCTCCAAGGTCACACAGGACCCCCTGGCCCATGCTCCTGTGCAGGCAGACCCCATCTCTGGGCTTTGTTGCTATTAAAGACATTGCTGCTCCCAAACCACTGTTTTCATCAAAACCCTTATAAATCTGGTCTGCTTAAAAGGGCTTCTCCAGTGATTAGAAAATGCAGGCGTTTTCCTAACAACCTTCCTTCAAAAGGTGAAACAACGTCCTTGCCTTGCACATATCTGCTCTTACTCCCAGCTGTGATGGAAAACATGGACCGTCCTCCTCGCCAAGCAGCTCAGGGGATGCAGGCACCTCATCCAGCATCTCAGTTCTGGGGGAACCCAGGTCTGCACACAGATACTGCTCCTTCCCTCCCACACCCCTCCTGCAGGAGGCTGAGTCTGCCCAGGGAAAGCAGCTTGCAGTCCAGCTGTGGGGCTGACCACTGGGGAATCAGTCTCAGCACAGTTTTTGCCTGCAGGTTCCAGGCCCTGGGCTCAGGCTGTGGCTTCCAGAAACCTCGGCTTGGGAAACTCGCCTGCCAGAGTCACGGCTGCACTGCTCAGTCTTGTAACACAGGCTCGCAGTGGCAGCAGGCCCACGCAGCCCCTCTGGGTCCCCAACACTGGTCCTCTGGGTCCCTGGCCAGACCCTGAGCAAACAAGCCCTGTTCACTCCTGAAGGTTATGACTGATTTGGTGTTGCCAATAGCAACTGCCTCTGTATCCTGACACATTTATCACACCATATGGTAATCAGCTGTTTACATATGTGTTTATTCTGAAACTGTGAGTGCCTAGAAATCCAGGACTCCCTCTTTACTGACATCAGCAAATGCCCCAGTGTCTGGGACCTTTAATGCAGTATGTAAAAGAAGCAAACATCATCATCTCTTCTTGCAGAATTCATGAAGCTGTTCTCAACCAGCAGCTTCTTTACCTCTTGAGCAAGGCTAGGACCTTCCTTGCTCCATACACAAACACACATCTCTACCCCAGCCCACACTGACAACCGCCAGGGCTGCAGAAATCAGCATCACTCCAGGCCCACAAATGCCCCCAACAGCCTGGCCCACCCACAATTTACAGGGGACAGGAGGGGCACACACCTCCAGGGCCAGGCACTTGCTTCATGTTCTCCAGACAGCCTGTCTCCCCCTCTTAGGCTCAGGCACTTTGTCCCCCTGCAGAATGCTCTCTCCAGTCTCCCTTTGCTATCAACTACTCCATCACTTACTCAACCAATTCCCTCCAGTGCTCTGTGTGCCCAGCCCCGTGCCTAACGCAGGCAATCCTGGCTCCCTAACACCTGCATGTCCTTCCAGGCTCGACTGAGATTCAGGCTCCTACAGAAAAGCAGCCAGCTCAATGCTGGCCACAACCGCTCCGCTCCTCCCTAGACACATGCTGGGCCTCTCCTGCCAGGCCAGCAGTGCCCAAGGGGGACGGCTATTTCTCCTGTCTCCTTTGTAGCTGCCCCTGGTTCCCAGCTCAGTGAGAGGCTGGATGCACAGTACTCAGGTTGGTTCATCGACAGGGGAAATCCCTCAGTCCAGGCTCAAGTGAGGTCAAAGGGTGAAGACAACAGAGGTGGGGCTGAGGCTCACTGTGGCGGGCACCACTGAGCAAAGTCCAGTCCAGGGGTCAGCATCCCCAGGGCAACTGCGAAGTCCACCATGGAAGCAGCACCGGCCACCTGCCCCGCCACCAGCCCTGCAGGTATGCCCTACTATCTTTAAATCTGTTGGGTTTCTTTGTTCCTGAAGTTAAGTGTGATGATGCGGGGGGGGCTCCACATCTGTACAGATGTTTAGTACATCTGTACTAAAACTCCGCTTCTCTGCCGAGTCCTGTCTCTATCCTGATTGTCCACTTTCCGCCCCTAGCCTTCAACTGCCAGATCCCTACGTGGTAACAAGGCAGGTGTGGCTTTCGGAATGGAGCCCGGCAGCACTCCCTCCTGAGATACCGGATCTTCCACCTCTGGGGAGTTGGCCCGTGAGGGGTGCTTGAAGCTGCTGGAAATGTCACAGAAATTTGACAGGAAATAGGACTATCAACACACTTCACTATTGTGACAATAAAACTAAAATTTCAGTTATATAGCATTATTTAGGAAGAGTGCCGTTCATAATTTCTTGGCCAACTGAGCAGCATACATTTACATATATTAGGTATCACCAGAAATAATTTGCATTTGGGTATGCCAGTTCACATACGCATTCTGCTGTCCCTTGAGAGTCTGAGAAATTCAATGATCCAGAGGCACCACAGTTTCTTGCCTCTGTGACGGCCAGATGGAAAGAGACCATTCATTTGTATATCACACATGAACTCTGCTCAGGAAGATGGGGGCCGCTCACTCTGCCAAGCATAACAAAAATACATCAACTATCAGCTCCCAAATGGGTTTACTCCTCCTGTGGCCACCCAATCACTCTTCCCCAAAGAAAGAGACCAAAGACCAAATACCAAAACATAGCAACCAAAAGGAATGCGAAAAAACAGGGAATGTGATTATAGACTCAAAGACTGGGAACCACTTAGCCATCATCTCAAATCTTTCTCTTCTCAAGGATAACACCAAGTGAGTAGGCAGGATGTGAAAAAAAGAAATATGCATTGTAACTGGAATACTCACCATGACAGATGACATAAGTATATTTTTAACACTGAAGGAAGATATGATTCTCTCAAAAGGATGATTCATTCCAATGATAAATAATTCAAGATTATTACTTCTTCAAGGTTATATGGCCAAAGAGTATGTCCCTATCAACCATACACCATGAATTATGTCTCACACTAAAATTCCAGAATTCTTAAAACCTCATATTAAAAGATTCACCCCCATTCCATTTCAATTATAATTATAGATACACTCATAATGTTATCTAGACTATCCTCTCCGATCTCGCTGCTATTATCTGGTTATTATAAATAAGCAGTACCTTTTGCTGGAACAGCTAATACCACTAGTATTAACAGTAACCAGTACTATTAACTCTCTTCTGATGTAACATGCAAATATTTCTAAGTTATCTGTCCTCACTAGTCATTTCCAAAGAAAGTAACATGCAACAAACAATGCATATATGAACCTTGAAATCCCTTTTCAAATGAAGAGGCTGGTCAAAGAAGTTTCTAAGCACATAGAATCTTTGTATATGCACGTGTACTCACAAATACCTTACCCACATATTTTTTTAACTCAATAAAACGGTTACTGAGGACCTCCCAAATACTCAGCTGGTTCTGGGTTACAGAAAGATCATTCATTGAACAAGAGCTGTAAGATCCTGGTTAAAGTCTCAGGGCTACTACTTACCAATTATCTTATTTTACAGAGCCGTTAAACCTCTGTGATGCTGTTTCTCAGCTGTAAAATGTGCATGAGCCCTGTCCCACCCGAATAGCGTTTGAAAATAGCCAAGTATAAATACAAATGAGAGCTTATTTTAAAAAAAGAAAAAAGAGATCCTGCCCTCAGGAGTTTGCAGTTCGGTTTTAGGAAATAAGAACACAAACACAGGAAACAAGTCCACCGTGTAAATGGTGAACTTGCTTTAGAGGAGGCTCACTGCTGAACGACACTGAGGGAGGGTCAGCACAACACTCATGCGTCAGGCACTGCAGGGCACAGGGGCGCACAACCCCAAGTCCCCCACTTCACAGAGCACATGCCCTTAGGATTGGGGGCTGAGGGTACAGCAGAGGCCAAGTGCCCTGAAAATGTAGGAAGTGGGGATAATGGAGGAAGTGGAGATAATGGAGGCTGCTAGTGAGAAATGAAGACTTCTCAAGCACAGCAGGGCTGGAGACGCCGGATGGCAGATGAGCAGGATTCCAGAGCCACAGGAGAGGAGGATCTGAAATACTCTCTCACACATACTTCCTTCTCGCCAGGGAGCAGGACCCGAACACCTGGACTGGATCTGAGCTCCCTTACCCTTCTGGCTGGGCGACACCTCTGCTCCACTGACAACAGCCTATCCCAGGCCCATGGTGCACCCCTCCAGCATGCAGGAGAAGGGAATGCCTCCTGACTGACCAAGGAAGCCACCTGCAATCTCTCTCCAGACCTCCCGCCTTTCTGGTCCCTGGGTGAGTGCTGGGAGAGAGATCACACACCGATGATGTTAGGCCAGGGAAGAGCACACCGTTTGCTAGATTGCCAATGTTTTGAGTGGACGGACGGCGTGTTCTTTGTTTTTCCAGGCTCCCTGTGACCTGTTTCCCAAGTCCTCCCCTCCAGGGCTTAAGAGGGAAGAAGAAGTGACATAGGACAGTCCTCCCCACGGCAGCCTGAAAGGACCTTTGTGCAGAGGCCAGCATCCAGAGCAGGACAACCTCAGTGAGGCTTCCTCCCAACTCCCCCTTTACCACAAAGCCCTTCAGCAAGCTGGACTTTAAAATTACAGAATCCCCAAGCTGGAAGGTGCCCTTGAAGTCATTATGGAACATCCTCAGATCAAGAAATGAGGCAAAGGTATTTGGGGAAATAAAAGCTCAAGAGGGGCGGAAAGTAGACCCATGCCGAGTTCTGCATGGCCTCAGGGAGGTGACCCCGCTCCCTGCAATAGGCATTTTGGCAATTACTGTGCATAAGGGTACACAGCCATACAGTGTGCTTTACAGAAAACAGACACTGAATGAATAAATAAGTGGGTGATCTTTTATTTGTAAATGGTAGGTTCCTTAAAAGTAGAGATAAGATTGGATTTTTAAGAGTTTTATTATAATGTTGATTTCTGGTGTACAGCATTATCGTCTACGTGGCCAGCCAGCTGTGGGACTTCAAACAACTGACCTTCTGAGCCCCTCTTACGTGCCCCAGGGTGAGACTAGCTCGCATGAGGCAGCACACAGGACACAACCTCCGCCTTCAAGGAGCTTATCCAATGTCATCTCCTCCCTGGCAGAACCATTGTTTCTCCTTTCCTCCAGCTCATGGGCGCCTTCCAGGCAGGAACTCCGCAGAACCCACGGCCTGGTATGGAGCAGTTGCTCTATGAAAGGAGGAAGGGAAGGGGGAAGGCCGGCCTGAGTGTGCCAGCCACACACCAACCAACCCTGGTGACAGCACAAACTAGAAGATGAGGAGTTGCCACTTAACTTCCCTGGAATACGTCCCTTCCTTTGTATTCCCTATGCCCTAATCCAGACCCCTACAACCACTTCCCACGGCAGTGGCCAATGCTTCCTATTGGTCTCCCTGCCCCTAACCTTTCCAGCCTGCTCCATCTCCCCCAGGATCCCAAACCATGCCAGGCCAGACTTCCTAAGCCCAGCTATGCTCATGTCACTCCCCTACGCAAAAGCCCTTAATATTTCCCCACAACCTTCTGAATCAATTTCCAACTGACATGCTCAGCCCTCCATAATCCAGCTCTGACCCACCTGTCACCTGGACTTACTCATGACCTCAGAGGTAAAATCGGGACCACAGAGGAAAAGGTGAAAGTACTTGCTTTCATTTAGTATACATTTCCTGGGGAAGAAAAGGCTGCTTCTACCAGCAGCAGGTCCCTGGGTCACCATACCAAGCAGAATGTCTAAACAGGGCCATGCGTCCTACAGACCACTAGACAAGTGTCTTTAAGGTTCCTCACAACTCAGTATTCTGGCCTAGCTGAGACAGACTCTGGGACAGAGTAGATCTGTGAGACAGATCTACCCACACTCACTCAGAGCTCTAACCAGGCTTGGGACAACTTTTTCTATAAAGGAGCAGATGATAAATATTTTAGACTTTGCAGGTTGCATATACACGGTCTCTGTTGCATCTTCTTCTGGGATTTTGTTTACAACCCCTAAAAACCATAAACACCATTTTTAGCTTACACTTTTTGCATACAAAAACAGGCTGGAGCTTTGCTGACCCTGCCCTGACCAAACAGGGACAACCCTGGGTACCCTGAACCCCATCTGCAATGTTCCAACTTACGCACCTTGACTCAAGCTAGCCCTCCCATGCCCTCCTTTGGTGAGACTCCCACTCTACAGAAGACAAGAGAAGCCAGGACCACAGCCCAGCATGCAAGGAGCCTGACAGCTGTGGGCACGACCACTGTGCTTCCCAGATGTAGAGCACTCTGCTTCTGAGCACAGACATCCCAGGTCTGTCCCAAAGATGGATCAATGGATGGACAGAGACAGATAAATGGACAGATGGATGGATAAAAAAGGACACATAAAGTGAGTCAAAAACTAATTGCTTCAAGAATTCAGAAATTTGTTCTGATAAATGAGGAGTGTTAGGGAAGGTTCTACAGAAGAAAGGATATGATTATGTTTTTCAAAGAAGAAATCAGATATTAATTGGGATGGTTTATAGAGTGGAGATTTCGATCATCCTTAGAAGATTTTCCTGCTTCTCTAATTGTTTCAAAGGATGACACGACAACCTTGATTTTGCAAACCAAAATGGATTTATTTCCAGGCATACAGCAATCCTTTGAAAGAAAAAGGTATGAAATCACAAATCAACAAGATTAGCTGGACCTTGACAATCAACAAACATTTTCTGAGAATTATGTATGCTAGGCATCATGTTGGGATTCAAAGAGAAGTAATACCTAGTCCCAACCCTAGGCACACTCAGTCTGGTGTGGGGGTTTCAGAGGAAAACTAAGAACTGCAAACAGGGGGATCTCTGGATTTGGAAGCTTCCTGACCCCAAAAAGGAAGCGCCAGAGTATTCAGAGGTCAAGCAGGAAGCCTCTTGCTCGGCACCAGTCACTCACTAGGCAATCCTCCCTTCCCTCGCACTGCTCAGCAATGGTTGTCCTCACATTAGGCTACGTGTCCCAGAAAATTCCACCAAGGCCCAAATTCCATACTAAATGCTTCATTTGGGCCAACATTAAATGAAGGAATTGTTCTACAGAAATTAATTTTCTCAGTGAACTCAAGCTCATCAAAATTTATAAAGCAAAGTTCAAAAACTATTTTCATGGATACTATCCTCAGTGGATTACGTGCATCCCAGCGCACCAAATCAGAGGACGCTGATTTTGACTATTCTTAATGACCAACCTAACATCAATAAACATGCTCTGCTGTGGCTTAGTGAGACCTGCAAGGATTCCAGAGTAGAAGGGGGCCCCCACCCTTCTAAGCTGGTCTAACTCCTCTCTTCCCCTCCCTCCCATTGGCCTTAGCTGTAGGGCACTGGGTCTCTGTTGTTCCTATTTCACAACATGGTCTTTTCTGGAAGCCTGAGGATGACATGGCCCTGACCTACAGGGAAACAAAATGGGCTATAATTTATAGTAGCTTACTTTCTACTTCATTGGGGGTCATTTTGTTTACTTCCAGGTCTAATGTACGCCCTATGGCTGCCAGGTTATTCCAGCTAATAGTACATTTTCCTTTGGAAAAAAAAATTAACAAATTTCTGAAATACACATTTGCTGACACTGTTACTCCCTAATTTACACCAAAATCTAACAAAGCATCAGAACCCTATAGCATTTCATGGCATATTAGGGGCAAAAATGAAGCCTGCATGTTCCAGATAAGGCCTTACTGGCTTAGTATACAGATGCTTGAAGGATCCAAGAAGGTTCATAAATTAAAAGAGCAAATAAAACAGGGCCCTTAAGAGATTTCCTATCAGCTATGACTAAAGCAATTTTGTCATAAGATCAATCAAATCTCCTTTACTTCGCTTTGACCATAAAGAGAACTGTGCACTTCCAAAATTAAGCTCCTTCCAACATTGCTATAGAAGATAATAAATCAATTTTAAAATATAGAACAATAAACCCAGTTCTAGAAAATTGAGGGGAGTCAGAGTGGTAGGAAAGGAGGCCAACTTTAAATGTCATCACCAAAGCAGTCGCTTGCAAGTGTGACTTGAGAGATGCAGGAAGGCCTCTGCCTAAAATCCCAAATTAAAGTGGGACTCTTGAGTCTCCTCTGGATGGAACAGGATCTTTTAAAGAGAAAACACAGGCCTTGGAGGGTCTGGAAATAGACCAAGGCAATGAAAGTCAAGAGAAAACAAAGAGGAAAAAAGTGAGGAGGAGAGGAGAATTTTAAGCTTTGGACACTGATTAGGTTCCAGCATAAGCATCCCAGTCCCCAAGGAAAAGGTGGGACCAGGAGTGTAGACAATGGAAGGAAGGAAGATGGGAAAAGGTGAACGGCCATTTCTCCTACCCATGATTTTTACTGTGGGTGATTCCTGCTAGCGAACACACCCACCGGCACCTCTTCCAAATCAAAAGTATGCAACCTGGCAGGCTGCGACCAAGGCAAACCAAAGCTACGGGTTCTGACAGCCCGATGCTCCAGTAGTAAACACACCTCATTCCTATTTGCCAAAAAACAAAAACAAGAGAATTTACAAGGTGAGAAGAAAACCAGGAATCTCAATAATTACCTTTTGTCAAGAAGTGAGCAGTCTCCTGTGGGGACCAAATCAAGGCAATGTTGATAGAAAGCAACCAAAACACCAGCCACACTCACCAGCAGAAACAGCAGCTTGGAAAGGGTTTGCGGTTGCAGAGAACACACGAGGCCTGGCTCTAAGCCTCCTGAGTGACTACCAAGCACCGTGGCCAGACAAGGCAAATATCTAAAACCCATTTACAAATGCAAAAACATTTCCACTAACTTCCTTTGCAACTAAAGACCAAGCAAGCAAATCTTCCTATTTTCTCAACATGCCCAGAGGCCAAATAAAGAATAAAACAAATTAAATACAAGAAACTGCAGCTTACATAAAAACTGATTTTTAATACCGAAGTTCATCAATAAAGTTACTGAGCACCTATTCTGTGCAAATCATTGGGAATTTAAAGATGATTAAGAACTGATCCAGCAATCAGATAAGAAAAAGCAATAGGCCAGCGCGGTGGCTCACGCCTCTAATCCCAGCACTTTGGGAGGCCGAGGCGGGCAGATCACGAGATCAGGAGATCAAGACCATGGTGAAACCCCATCTCTGCTAAAAATACAAAAAAAAAAAAATTAGCCAGGCGTGGTGGCGGGCACCTGTAGTCCCAGCTACTCGGGAGGCTGAGGCAGGAGAATGGCGTGAACCTGGGAGGCAGAGCTTGCAGTGAGCCGAGATGGCGCCATGCACTCCAGCCTGGGCGACAGAGCGAGACTCCGTCTCAAAAAAACAAAAAAAAGAAATAAAAGGTGCTCAGCTTATTAAAGAATAAACAAAACTGTCTCTATTTGCAGATGATATTTTGCATATTAAAAATCCTAAGGAATACACATACAAATACACAAAACTATAAAAGCCAATAAACAAATTCAGCAAATTGTAGGCCATAAGATCAATATACAAAAAGTAACCATATTTCTATACACTAGCAATGAATAATCCAGAAATGAAATTAAGAAAACAATTCCACTCACATCAAAAAGAATAAAGTACTTAGGAATAAATTTAACAGAAGAAGTGTAAGATTTGTACATTGAAAACTACAAAACATTACTGAAAGAAATTAAAGACAAGAAAATGAGGCCAGGTGCAGTGGCTCATGCCTGCAATCCCAGCACTTTGGGAGGCCAATGTTGCAGTGAGCCAAGATTGCACCATTGCACTCCAGCCTGGGCAACAGAGGAAAATTCCGTCTCAAAAAAAAAAAAAAAAGAAAAGAAAAGAAAATGAAAAAAACTTCCAAGTTCATAGATAGAAGAGGTTATGATAGATTGTTAAGATGTCTATACTCCCCAAATTGAACTACAGTGTCAACATAACCTCAATGAAAATCTCAGCTGGCTTTTTTGCAGGAATTGAAAAGTTGATCCTAAAATTCATATGGAAATGCAAGGGAGCCTCAATAGCCAAAACAATCTTGGGAAAAAAAAACAAAGTTGAAAGACTCACACTTCCTGATTTCCAAACATACCATAAGGCCTACAGTTAATTAAGGCTTTATGGTACTAGCATAAAGGATAGGCATAAAGATCAATGGAACAGAACTGAGGGTCCAGAAATAAACTCATATATCAGAAGTAAATCAACTTTTAAAAAGGATGCCAAGAGAATTCAAGAAGAAAAGTCTTCCCAAGAAATGGTGCCAGGACAACTAGATATATCCATATGCAAAAGAATGAAGTTGGACCCCTACCTCACATCATATACAAATATTAACTCAAAATGGATCAAAGACCTAAATGTAAGAACTGAAACTATAAAACAGAATATAGGTGTAAATCTTTGTGACTGTATTATGCAACCAAAGGAAAAATGACTATTCTGGATGTCATCAAAATTAAAAAATTTGTCCTTTGAAGGACACCATCAAATGAGTGAAAAAACAATCTACAAAATGGAAATTATTACTTGCAAATTATATATCTGATCTGGGTCTAATGTTCAGATTACAACTCAACAATAAAAAGACAAATAATCCAATATAAACATGGCAAAGGATTTGAATAGATAGTTCTCCAAAGAAGATACACACAGCCATGGGCATATAAAACAACACTCAAAATCATTAGTCATCCATCAGAGAAACACAAATCAAACCCACCACTTCACACCCACTAAGATGGGTGTAATAAAAAAGACAAACATAACAAGTGTTGTCAAGGATGTGGAGAAATCAGAACCCTTACACATGGCTGGTAAGAATGTCAAGTGGTGCAGCCTCTTTGGCAAACAGTTTGGCAGCTCCTCAAAAAGTTAAACTGACTTTAAAAAGTTTAAGTTTAAAAAGTTAAAGTGACTTAGCAATTCCACTCCTAGGTATATACCCAAGAGAAGTGAAAACATATGTCTACACAAAAATTTATACAAGAATATTCACAGGATTATTCATAATAGCCTAAAAGTGGAGGCAACCCAAATGTCCATCAACTGATGAATGAATAAACAAAATGTATCATACACATTTGATAGAATATTATTCAGCCATAAAAAGAAATAAAGTACAAATCCATGTTATGATTTGGATGAATCTTAAAAACATTAGGCTACATAAAGGAAGCCAGACACAAAAGGCCACATATTGTTTGATTCCATATATGAAACAACCAGAATAGGCAAATCCATAGAGACAGAAAGTAGATGAGTGACTGCCAAGGACTCGGGTACAGGTGACTAGGGAATGACTCCTAATGGGTATGGGGTTTCTTTTTGGTGATGAAAATGATCTGGAATTAAATAGTGGTGATGGCTACACAACTTTGTGAGTACACTAAAAACCTCTTAGTTGGACACTTTAAAATGGTGAATTTTATGGTAAGTGAATTCTATGGTATGTGAATTCTATCTCAATTTTTTTTTAAAAAAGCAACAACAATAAGAAATAAGTTTCTCAGGATGCTATAGAAAGGTTTTTTCAAAAATAAATAATTCAACTTGAAGATATGATTCAGCAATGATGTTGTCTTTTCAGGACTATCAACTAGCCATTCCTGGCTGATTTTTGTTCCTGTAATTTATTCCAGGGACTTTTCACATCCAGTATATATGAATACAAAGAACTATGGAATTTTTAGGTCAGGGAGGATGGTCAGAGAACATCTAGTCCAAATCTCTCATGTTACAGACCAGATACACAGTTAACTGGCTCAAGGTCACAATAAGGTTGACCTTACAACTCCAATCCCGCTCTCCTAACTCCCTGGCTAGGTCTTTCTGCTCCACAACATAAACACAACCGAATCACAGGGCAAATGTGAAAATCACTGCTTCACACTAGAGAGCACATCTTCCAATGATGAGAACACTGGTTCCCCACAAAATCTAGGAAGCTCGCTGGATATAAGAAAATCAGTATTTTCTTGAAGTTCAACAGTCCACATTACTCAATGACCACAAAACCCCATGATCATCACTAACACAACCTGCTTTTCACCAGAGAAGCAAAGCACAACAAAGTTTTAATTAAGAGACCAACGAAAGCAGCAAAGACTGCAAAAAATACTGCTCTGAGGCAAGACAGATGGCAAACAACACGGCCTCATTCGGCCCAATCTCAAACCAGCAAGGCACCCATTGGGATTCCAGCTCAAGTACCAACCACCACATCAACTCCAGTGATATCTCCAAGGAGGGAATCTTTAAAGAAGGGGATGAAAGAGGTAACGTTCACTCTTAGCTCTAACTTCTTGAAAAGTATAAATATAAATAGTCAAGATAAAGAAAAAAACAGAGACGACAGCCAAAAAAAGCAAGGGTGGCAAGAGGCAGGGGAAGTGTTGCAGACAGCAGCAGACATGGAAGGTCAAGAGCTGGAAAGACTGGACTCATCGCATCCAACCCTCCATGTTACAAATGACGCAACTGAGGCAGGACCAGTGAAGTCACCTGCTCCAAGGTCCAAGAGCTGACAACAGATTCAGGCTATCAGGGGAATACAGTACAAGGCCTCAACATTCTCCCTTCCTTTCAAAACCTCTCCAAAGTCCTCTGTTAACAGGGAGCTGACTCCTCTCCACCCAAGTCTGCCTAGACACGCCACATCCATGATTCACCCTTCAGTGGCAGCCTCAAAATACAGATTTGCTGAAACGAAGGGAATACTCTATGGGTCTGGGTGGCTCCTAGTCCTTGTCACACAGTGACAGTGTTCTTGGCCCCTCAGCTCTAAGGAGGCCAATTGGTCAAGGTCAAGTTAATAAACACTTCTGATGTTAAGTGCCTCCCCAGGAGTTAGTGTCTGATGACCTCCAGGCAATCACATTCAGTGACAATGGGGACTGCAGGTGATCAACAACCATCATTAACCTGCACTAAGGAAACTCACAGGAACACCTACAGAGAAATCTTCCCAGGCAACAGAGAGCCCAGCAGGAGACTGACAGGTGGGGCATTAAAAGATCAAGAAGAGTAGGACCTCCTCCACAGCACTGGGATTCTTACTCTATCAAATGCTGGTTGTGGGATGTGGAACCTGGAGGCATGTCACTATAGGACTAACCTCAGGACTGTTGAGGGGATCAAATCATCAATTTAAAACACAGCACAGTCCTTAATACAGAATTAAAGCTCAGAGAAATGAAATTAAAGCATTGTCATCATTATTTTTTCATGTAAAAAAAAAAAAAAGCCAGGCGTGGTGGCTCACACCTGTAATCCCAGCACTTTGGGAAGCCGAGGTGGGTGCCTCACGAGGTCAGGAGATCAAGACCATCCTGGCTAACACAGTGAAACCCCGTCTCTACTAAAAATACCAAAAATTAGCCGGGCGTGGTGGCAGGCGCCTGTAGTCCCAGCTACTCGGGAGGCGGAGACAGAAGAATGGCGTGAACCCAGGAGGCGGAGCTTGCAGTGAGCCGAGATTGTGCCACCGCACTCCAGCCTGGGTGGCAGAGCGAAGACTCCGTCTCAAAAAAAAAAACAAAAAACAAAAACATACCTCTAAGAAGAACATGATTTCTTCTGAGAAGCTGGGGAAAGAGGTCCCGACAATCCTGACTGCCTGGCTAGAATCCTAAAAGACAAGTGAATTCATCATGAGAGGGAACTGTCTTCATCAACTGCCTGATTTTATTGACAAAGCCATCTTCAGCATGGAGTGGAAAAATGACATCGTTATTAACACTGTTAGCAGGGAAGGCCTCCTGCCAGGGTGTGAGCAATGCCCCTGGCCACTCTGCTCCGTGGGGCTGGGCATGTCAGCAGAGCAGTGAGGAGAGGAAAGAAGAACAATTTCTGCAGCAAGGAGGACAGATGAGGCAAACAGGAAACGAGAAGCAACAAGGATTTGCCAGAAGCACCCACTCGAGCAATGCAATAGCTGCAACTTTCTAACACTAACAGCAAGGGAGGGCATGCTGGCCACAGAGGCTGCAACACCAAGGGCCTTGGTGGGCACGGGCTCTACAGAGGCTGTTGGCTGCTAAAAGAAATAGCAGACTCTGGTGTCAAAATGCTTGATTTGAATGAATCCTGGCTTCATCACCTCCAAGCTCCATGAACTTGGTACCGTGGCCTAATTTTGCTGGCCCCTATAGCATTTTGATAATAACTAAATGAGTTAATAATTGATATATGTAAAGAATTTAAAGCATATCTGGCACATAATAAGTGCCCCATAAATGTTAGAAAAGACAAGGGGGAGGCTGGGCACGGTGGTTCACGCCTATAATACCAGCACTTTGGGAGGGCAAGGCAGGAGGATCACTTGAGTCCAGGAGTTCAAGACCAGCCATGACATGGTGAAACCTTCTCTACAAAAAAATACAAAAATTAATCAGGGACCGGGCATGGTGGCTCACACTTGCAATCCCAGCACTTTGGGAGGCCAAGGTGGGTGGATCACTTGAGGTCAGGAGTTCGAGACCAGCCTGCCCAACATGGCAAAACCCCGTCTCTACTAAAAATACAAAAATTAGCTGGGTGTGGTGGTTGGCACCTGTAATCCCAGCTACTCAGGAGGCTGAGGCACAAGAATCACTTGAACCTGGGAGGCAGAGATTGCAGTGAGCTGAGATGGCACCACTGCAGTCCAGCCTGGGTGACAGAGTGAGACACCGTCTCAAAAAAAAAAAAAAAAAAAAAAAAATTAAACAGGCATGGTGGGGCACACCTGTAGTCCCAGCTACACAGGAGGCTGAGGCAGGAGGATCGCTTGAGCCCAGGAGGTCAAGGCTGTGGTGAGCCAAGATCACACCACTGCACTCAAGCCTGGGCAACAGAGCCAGACCCTGTCTCAGAAAAAAAAAAAAAAAAAAAATATGAACTGACATTGACTTCACCCACACTCTGGATATCCCCAACACACTCTTGCAACAGCAGCAGCATTTCAAATCCATACCCTCACTGAAAATAACACACACTGCAAAGTCTCCCTTAAAATTCTGGGTAGGTGGTGCCCATGAATCTTCTGGTGCTTCACAATGGAACTTGCCCTGCAGAGTCAAAGGCAGTACATGCCGTGTGACACAAACAAGAAAGGCACAAATAGGAGAGCTGGGTTGTAGGACCTACCCAGCTCAGAATCCTAATTACAGGACTCAGAAGGTCCAATGTGCAGCTCTGCTGAACTCTTGAGGCATGCACAAGTATATGAACTGACCTGTGGGATCAGATGAGAAGCTGCCAAGCCATAACCCTGAAAGAACAGAGGGCACCCCACGGATGTAAAACCACAGTGGATGGCTCCCCGCCAAGAGCGCTTCTAAACACCTTTAGCGCCTCATAATTCTAACACTGGCCTAGGGTGCAACTCTTCTCAGCTAGACTCTTAGAACCAATTCATGGCAAGGACAGTATAATAATTATGAAATATAATAATTATATTTAACAAACAGAGTGGTTAAAGAATCCATCACTCCAAAAAAAAAAAAAAAACTAGCTAAACAAATCTTACCATCAAGCCTGGAATTCTCTGTCTGAATCCAGGGGGTCCATAAACTTGGATTGGAAAAAAAAAATTATCTGTATTTTCATTAGGGTCTAACTGAAATTTATCGTATCTTTCAATTACAAATGTAAGCAACACATGGTAATATTATCAATACTTGCAATAAAAGATATGAACATTACATTATCTTTATTAGAAATATCTCGTATTGTTTATATTCATCAATACCTCAAAATTAAGGTATTTGTTAGACCCACCAGTAAATCTTGTTATTAAATGCTTTAGTAAAGAAGCATTATGAGCATGGTAAAAATTTTTAAAATATTCTCCTAACTGAATTTCAATATACAGTCGTGCTCCACATAGTGACATTTCAGTCAACAATGAACCACACAGACGACCTCTCATAAGATTATAAGAGGGATTTTTACTGTCTTTTCTATGTTTAGATACACAAATACCACACATAAATACTGTAACTGTGTCGCAGTTACCACGGTATTCAACACAGTGGCATGCTGTAAGGTTTGCAGCCTAGGAGCAATAGGCTCTTAATATATAGCCTAGGTGCCTGCATGCCATCTGGGTGTGTGTAAGTGCACTCTAGGATGTTCGCACAATGAAGAAATCTTAACGATGCATGTTCGTCATTAAGCAATGCATGACTGTGATTAGTTTCCTTCGGAATCTTATTTTGTTCTCTGCATTAAAACATTTTTCTGAAGAGGCAGATCACCTTCGCCAGAGTGTCAAAGGGAGCCATGGCACAAACAAGGTTAAAAGGATGAAACAGAACTGCACATAAAACATGAGACTATTAAGTGCTTTCTAAGGAAGGAGCTAGTCCTGTTCACTTTTTTTTTTTTTTTTTTTTTAGACGTCCAGGCCATCCTGTCCACTTTTACATCCCTGGCACCTGGCAGTGACAACATACGGTAGGGGCCCAATATACATTTATGAGTGAAGAAACTAAATCAGTCAAATCCCTTCATAGAAATGACCATCATCATAAAAATACAGCCCAAGTATTCCAGCTCGGGTTGGTAGTCTGTTTATTCCAAGACATTGTTGACATGATAAAAACGATAATGGTATAAAAGCACCTGGAAAGGCAGCCGGGCGCAGCGGCTCACGCCTATAATCCCAGCACTTTGTGAGGCCGAGGTGGGCGGATCACCTGAGGTCAGGAGTTCAAGACCAGCCTGGCCAACATGGTGAAACCCCATCTCTACTAGTAATACAAAAATCAGCCGGGCATGGTGGCAGTCACCTGTAATCCCAGCTGCTCAGGAGGCTGAGGCAGGAGAATCCCCCTTGAACTCGAGAGGCAGAGGTTGCAGTGAACCGAGATCGCACCACTGCACTCCAGCCTGGGTAACCGAGCAAGACTCCACCTCAAACAAAATAAAAAAGAAAAAGAAAAGAAAAAAAGTACCTGGAAGGGCCCTAGCAATCCACTTGGAGGCCACATTACACAGAAAAGGCGTAAGCAAAGGAGGTAGGTTCATATCACGGAACGTCACCTCTCTTTAGTAGGGAAAGAAAGAGGAGTGTTTGGGGAGCTGAAATGGGGATAGCATCCCAGGCATCTGACAATGCCCATAAGTATCACCTGCTGTAGTCTGCATAGAAACAGCAGAGGGTCGCATGAGCAGATCCCTCAGTCTCAGTCTATGCAGCCATGCTTCTCTCTTTCCCTGGGCCCCAGTCTATGCAGCTATGCTTCAATCTTTCCTTGATTGACCCTGGAACTGGTCCCAACACAAGTCCTATAACCAGTCACATCAAGCAGCACAGAGCTGGCCTGGATTCTGACACTAAGTAGCTCTAGACAGCAACAGCTTCACCATGGGGATGCTGGAAGGTCTGTTCAGGGGGCTTGGATGAACTGAGCTTGGCTGTTGCCCTGTTTGGGGCAGGAGTTCTATTGGGTCTACCTCTATGCCACTAGCACACAATAATGACAATCCATCAGTAGGTTTGGACCCCTCTTCTTGTACAATGGACCTCAATCAGGCCACTTACCACCACCCCCCCTGCTACCTCCTCATCCAAGACCTCTTGCCTAGATGACTGCAATAGCCCCTCACCCCACAACTGGTCTCCCTCTTTCCTTTCATGCCCTGCTAGTCTGTTTTCCCTAGAACCACAGTGAAGTCTTTAAAATGGATATCGGACCATGTTATTCCCTGCTCAAAACCCTTCAACAGCTTCCCATCACACTAGAACAAAATCCAAATTCCTTCCCCAAGATGGACAAGGCCCTCTGTGACCTGGCACTGCCCACCCCTCTGCCCGTCTCTCATCCTTCTCTTCCTCGCCCACTCCTCCCCACACACCCTGACCTTCCTTCAGTCCTTCCATGATCCCGCCCATTGGCATTTCAGGGCCTTTTCCCAAGCTGTTCTATTCCCACATCTTCTGTGGCTGGCTTCCTCTCTGCATTCCAGCCTGCTCAAATGTCACCTCTGCAGAGAGGCTTTTCCTGATTTCGGTTTCCTGATCTCCAGAACCACTTTCTATCCCCATGTTATGCATGACTTTCCTTTACAGCACGTATCAACTGCCTAAGGTTGTTACGTAACTGTCTGTTTATCAGTGATTATCAACCCTATTTGGGAGGAGGCTTTAAAAAATGCCAAGGCTCGAAGCCCCACCCAGACTAATTTAAGTCAGAATTTTAGGGAGTGGAGCCAGGCAGCTCTGCTTCACAAACGCCCAAGCAACTCCAGTGTGCAGCCGGGGTTCCGTCTCGAACAGTGCTTCGCAAGCTCTCACGTGCCTGTGGTGTACGTGGAGATGCTGTAAAAATTGTCCTGGGTGGAACCCGGGGCTCTGCATTTCAGCAAGTTTCCAGGTGATGGCTCTCCCGGTGGTTGCTGAGCCAATATGGTAGCCACCAGCCACGTGTGGCTACTGAGTACTTGCAATGTGGCGGCTGAGAGCTGGATTTGTCTTAGGCTGCCTCATCAGACAGTGCGGGCCTGGAATGCATGTATATGCTCCACAAAGGAAGGCACCGGTGCCTGGAAACGTGGGGTGCATGGGAAGAATTGAGGATCACCCCAAATTCTTGGTCTGAGCAGCCCTCTAGAGACCAGGTGACTGTGAAAATCCTACCGCAGACGCCGAGCTGGCCACCACCTCAGGAGTAGATCAATATTTACCTAAGGCAGGGAGGCAGGTACAGAAGACCAGAATGAACCAGCTTAGTGCCTTAGCATTTGGTAACCCACAGGTAACTGCCTGGACTTCAAGACTCAACGGTACGACATCATATAAGGCCCTCCCTCACCACAGCCCCACGCCCTGGGACCACCTGCACCCTTGCACATCCACAGGACTCCAAGCATTCCTACAGATGTGGTCCTCAGATTTTACTGCACTGATTTGTTTACAGGATTCTGTTCCTCTTGCTGGACTGTAGGTCCCTCCAAAGAGAGGACATATTCTTCTTGGTGTTCTATTCCTGCCACCTCACACACAGCCCAGCACACTGAAGGACTCAGGAATCCTGAGTGCATGGCAGGACCTGGAACCCGTGAGGAGTGGCATCAGTACTTCTACTCTTGAGCCTAAGAAAGAAACTGAATTCAGCATTCACCAGGGGGCAGGGAGGAAGGCTCACATATGAAGAGAAAATGGCTGCTTCCTTAAGTGATTCAAAATTTTCTGAAATTCAAATTTCAGAACACAGTTTAAAAGGTGGCCCTGTTTGACCCATCAAGGCTCACTTCCAAAAACATGAATGCTCTGGGCAAGAAGGTGATGTCCTTCTGAAGACAGCAATAATCTGTTCTGGGGACTTGGAGGAACTGTTTTTCAAACAAGTCACAAAGGGCTAACATTCAGAATCACATTCTTGCCAAAAAGCACGTAGCCCTGGTTCCCACTGTTGCTGCTAGGAGGGGTCTGGTCCCATGGACGGCAGGGCCCCTGGGAGCCTGCAGGCCCAGATGCTCACCCCACCCCTGCAGTTAGAACCCTGTGCTTATGACAGCAATGGGATTGCCAAGGTAACCAAGGACAACAAAGTAGAGAATTATGGCCCCGGAAGGAAGTAGATTAAATTTTAATACTTACAAGTCAACATCAAATTTATTTTTAAAACTACATCAATGCCAAATACGTAAGGCAGAATGGATGGTGCTATAAAGGAGGGTCTAACTAAAAACATGAATATTCCAAATATGTATACAATTTTTCCCTATTTTGAGAATATTTCAAAGTGCCCAGAGGCTCGAAGAAACGAAAAAAAAAGAAGAAAAAAAAGGAACAAAAAACCCTTACTTTTCAAATTTCTGCCACAACTGCTTATTTTTTCCATTATTTCCAAAAGCACAGGGCAGACTCTGGTTGCAGCACCAGACTTTGCTAAGTTTGCTAAAATTGTACAAAATGATGACTTGAACCAGAGAAGGTGGTCAAGTGAAAAATTATAAAATACAGGTATGCTCTCACCAGCTGCCAGGACAACAAACTTTTTTTTTTTTTTTTGAGACGCAGTTTCACTCTTGTTGCCCAGGCTGGAGTGCAATGGCACGATCTCGACTCACCGCAACCTCTACCTCTTGGGTTCAAGTGATTCTCCTGCCTCAGCCTCCCAAGTAGCTGGGATTACAGGCATGCGCCACCACACCCAGCTAATTTTGTATTTTTAGTAGAGACAGGGTTTCTCCATGTTGGTCAGGCTGGTTTCGAACTCCTGACCCCAAGTGATCTGCCCGCCTTGGCCTCCCAAACTGCTGGGATTACAGGCGTGAGCCACCGCACCTGGCCTGACAACAAACTTTTAAAAAATACACATGGGTCACCTGTAATCCCAGCACTTTGGGAGGCCAAGGCGGGCGGATCACAAGGTCAGGAGATCTAGACCATCGACCATCCTGGCTAACACGGTGAAACCCCATCTCTACTAAAAATACAGAAAATTAGCCGGGCATGGTGGCGGGCACCTGTAGTCCCAGCTACTCGGGAGGCTGAGGCAGGAGAATGGCATGAACCTGGGAGGCGGGGCTTGCAGTGAGTGGGGATCGAGCCACTGCACTCCAGCCTGGGCGACAGAGCGAGACTCCATCTCAAAAAAAAAAACACATGGGTTAACAGATACACGGTAGTGTTTCATTCACTCACCCATTCAGCCATTCATCCATTTCCCTGACACTTCCCCCCATGTAAATCCCATCCTCACTCCAAAAGCCCTCACTGGGGCCTGTGGACTCACTAACTATATAATCTGGTAACTAATTGTCTGGCAGCTTCTGTGCTATGTACTATCTTCCTAAACCCTCACCACAATCCTCTGAAGTTGATAGGTATTATTAACCAGACTTTAAAGCTGAGGAAAATAAGAAAATGTTAGGCATCTCACTCAAGTTCACTCAGCTGGCAAGCTGTAGAGCCTGAACTTGAACCCAGGTCAATCTGACAAAGGAGTAATTTAGAGAATTCGGCATTAAGAAAAGTAACAGGAAGCAGCATGGTTTCTGAAAACAGCAGGAGCCAAGTTCAAAGTCCACTTCAGAGCTCTATAACCTTTGGCAAATTACTTAACCTCTCTGAGCCTCAATTTCCTCGCCTATAAAGCAGAGATAAGGACTGAATTCAATACCTGTGAGTTTCATAGTACAGGATAAGGGCCCAACAGTTACTATAATAATATTCCAGCAACAAGTATGCAAATCAAAACAGCACATTTTAATTGTAAAATGATTCTTTGGCAGATAGAACCTACATTGGAAATAACAGATTCAAAAAGGTTAATCAGTTTAAAATTAGTTTGCTGGCCGGGTGTGGTGGCTCACGCCTGTAATCCCAGCACTGTGGGAGGCTGAGGCAGGTGGATCACCTGAGGTCAGGAGTTCGAGACCAGCCTGACCAACATGGTGAAACCCCATCTCTACTAAATACAAAAAATTAGCTGTGCATGGTGGCGCATGCCTGTAATCCCAGCTACTTGGGAGGCTGAGGCAGGAGAATCGCTTGAACCTGGGAGGCAGAGGATGCAGTGAGCCAAGATTGTGCCATTGCACTCCAGCCTGGGCAACAAGAGCAAAACTCCGTAACAAATAAATAAATAAATATAAAATTAGTTTGCTAGTTCCGTGATTCATTTGTTTAAACATAAGACCAAGAGCTTGCAAATTTTATTTATTTGTTAAATGAGTAACTTTATGTCATGATACCCTCTCATGTTTCGTCTCAGTATGAGAAGATTTTTGTTTAAAACCAAAATACTGTACACATCAATTGTTATTAAACCATACATAGAACAAGTTTTGGTAATAGACACGAACATTAGACACCTGGGAAAGAGCATTATTTAAAGAAATCCACATTGATTTACCTCAGAAAGTGAACAACTTTCAAATTTAGTTATAAAACCAAGCTCACACATACCATCATCATAGCATGTATGTAGATTTGCTTAAAGTGAAATAAACCTGAAATGATTTTAATTTTTCCATTTTGAGACTTGAACCAATTCTTGGGCTTAGACGGCAGCATGAAGCAAGCTTGCAATTTAATGAAATGACCAAATCCAGTCTCTTTGTAATCTGCTCAGTAACTGAGCTCTAGGGTAATCTCCTGCACAGCATACAAAAAGAGCTTTGGAATTATACACTGTAAACTAAAATTAATCAGAGAAAGGTATGCCAATTTTAATAGCAATTCTTGTTTGCTTGGCTTTCCAACATCTGCCAGTGTTAATAATATTTAACTGACAAACTGCAGTGGGGAAAAGCAACAGAACTTTAAACATAATCAAGCTTTCTAAAGAAAGACATCATGCACAATGCTTCCTTCCCTTAAGAAATATTCAGCTACCTTTTTGGTTGCAATCATTCCATAAACATTATTAATGGTGTATTCTCAAAACACCGTGCTTTTTAACTGGCACTTAGGAAAAAATTTCATTCACCCATCCCCATCTGCCTCATTTGAAGGCATCATCTGTAAGCCTTGCTGCTAAAAGTAGAATTAAGTGATCTGGGGAATCACCGAATTCATAGGAAAGGTTTACATGCAGCTCTCTTCCGCCAAATTAAATGGAGAGAAGGAAGGCTACCCAAGTTATATTAACAGGATTCAGAATGCTGAATGTTACTTTTGACTCCCTTTTATTGACTGTTTACAGCTACAAAGAAAAAATTTTTCCATTAAGGGAAAACATTCTGGATTTTTTTTCAAGCAATTCCTAATAGCAGATGCTTTGTTCAAATGGGAAAAAAAAAAAAAAACCAGAAAAAAAAAATAACGCCATTGCTTCATTTAAAGCTCTTTGGTGACACCCACCCCCCCACCCACACACACACTCCTGCTAGCCCAGGCGTCTTCTGCTAAAACACCTGCAATACCCAATTTTAAAACTGTAACCTGACATCCTGGCCCAGAGACATTTAATCACAGATTCACTATTGCCACACGTGTGACTTGTAAACCTATTCTGAGCCGAGCAGAGTGCTAAGCACTTCACACAGTCTCTGATCCTGGAAAGGATGCATTACTAATCCCGTTTGATGGGTAAGGAAAAGGAGGACTGCAGGTGAGGATGTGCCTCAAACCACAGCCAACGGTGGCCCCTGGACTCACAGACTCTGCCCCTTTCCCCACGGCTTTAATTTTCAACCAAGCTTCTTCGTTCCTACGTGTTCCTCTCCCCAGGACCTGGAGAGCGTACTGCTTAGCAGCTAGGCGTGATGACTTTGCACCTTGAGAGCACTTTACTAAAACCAGGCCTTTTCCAGGTTGAGGGGGAAGGGCGGCATTCCGGGTTCAAGCAGGTGAGACCCAGGTAACCGGGGAGCGGCTCCTGGAGGCTTCTTGGACCCAGAAGCGCCGACTCTCACACACCTTGCCCGCAGTTCCTTCTCCGGGCACGGGTGGAGCGCAGCCAGGCCGCCCTGGCTGAGGCGGGCACGCCTTCCCGGGCAGCCCGGGATGCCCCGGACCCGCGGACCCGAGGGTGGGGGCCCTGCGGCGCTCGGGGGCTGCGGCGGGGAGCTCGGAGCGCGGAGCTGCCCCCGCCGGTCCACTTCAAGAACAAGTTGATAAGGTCCGCACCGGGTACCAAAGACCCCGGGCGGCGGCGGGCGGCGGCGGGCAGCGGGATCCCCCGCTCGCCGCGGACCCCGACTCTGGACAAAGTTGGCCGCGCTGCGGGGAAAAGACCAGGCCGCGGAACCCCGCGAGGGCCACGAGGCCGAGAGAGGGGAGGTCTTAAAGAGGCCCAAGGTGGCCATCACCCATCTCCTCCGAGCCACCTAGGCGGGAACAAAGGGCTTCTGTCTCGGGCAGGGTTGGCCCGGCCGCGTCCGGCTTCGGAGCAAAGAAAGTTTTCTCGGGATGCGGATGCGGGAGCGGCGGGCGGGGCTGGGGCGCGGGATACCTGCGGCCGGAGCCGCCGCGCAGGCCGCCTCACCTCCTCGATGGCCGCCACAGTGTTCCGGCACTGCGCCGTGCGGGTGGTGAAGCTGGAGGCCGTGGGCGCCTTGTAGTCCTCATGGGTCTCGGCCACGAATTCCGACACGGAGATCTGGTCCGGCATCGCCTCGGCGCGAGGGCGCTGGCGCACAGCCGCAGGGGCGCCGCCGCCTCAACTGCCGCAGCAGGCTCCGACCGCCGCTCGGACACCGCCGCTGCCGCCGCCGCTCCGGCCCGCGGACAAAGGGGAGCGCCGGGCGCGGGAGCCGCGCGGGGCCTGGCGGCGGAGCAGGGGCGGCGCGCAGCCCCGCGCAGCTCGGCCGGTCCGCCCGCCTGCGCGCCGAGGGCTCCGAGTCCGCTGCCGCCGCGTCCTCTCAGAGCGAGCCCCGAGGCGGGCGCGCACAGCCGGCGGGAACTACCCGCCACCCAGCCGCGGGCCCCGACGCCTCCCGCGGAGAGGGGCGGGTCCGGGCCGGGGGCGGCGGCCGGCCGGGCGTGGGGCGGGGCGGCGGGAGGACCGGGCCGCCAATCGGCGCGCTCGCCGCTGCCGCGCCGCCGGGAAGCGGATCCCGCAGGAAGGAAGGCGGCGCGCGCCCCGGCCCGCCGAGCCGTTCCTGGCCGCCGCGCGCCGCATTGTCTCGGCGTTCCGGGCCCCGCGCGCCGCGCCCATGCCCCGCCCCCAGCCGGCCCGAGGCCCCGACTCCGACCCGCTGCCCGCGAGGGTGCGTGTGGAGGTGCGCCCCGCCGGAGTCCGGCCTTGTGCGCGCCAACCGCCCCCCGCCCACGGCGCGGAGCACCTCTGGGCTCCCCACTTGAACGGCGGGCCGCGCCGGCCCATGAGGAAAGCGGGGTGCGGAGCTCGCCCCCTGCCGGAGGATGCGCTCCGCCGGCGGGCACCCTGCGGGGACCACAGCCGGACGCCAGAAGTGACCTGACCGTGAATGTGCGCTTTGCGTGCAGTCATTGCATCGTCGCAGGCCTAGGAGACAGATGAAGAGATGGGTGCTTATTTTATATAGGGGACACAGTGTGCCCAAGAGCACAAGATAAACGGCCGGGTGGGGATTCAAACCCATGTTCCCTGACTCAAGTGTGAGTGCTTCAGAGCGGTGAGGGGCCCCTACTAAAAGTCCCAGTCGCGTTTCCTAGGCTGCCCAATGATAGGTATTCTCGGTTATAGTTTTAGGGTACTAGGCCAGGACCCACCCTGGGAAGGCTGCTGAACGCCCTGAAGTGGTATTCCCGCAGGCAGAGGAGGGAACCGAGGGGGTGCAGGAGGAGGAGGAGGGGGAGAACGTGCTACAGCAGCCAGCCAACCTCACACAAAACCGGGCCAGTAAAGGGTTCGAACTGGTACCGATTTTTATTTACAGCTCTTAAGGAAATTCTCGGTTATACTGAAAAATCCAGAAGCTCTGAAGATACCAGTCAAATAAAATCACACCCTATAACTCTACACCAGACTTGTGGCATGGTTTCTGTAGCTGCCAGCGGTAAAACCAAGAGAAACTTTACAAAAACCTTTTGTGCATCTGAAAAGGAGGAAGTGTGAGAGACACTGGAAATTCAATATGTCAGACAAAGCCGTCTCCTGACACTGCAGGACAGTAGACCAGTCAAACAATCTTTTTAAAGCCCCCATGTAAGAAGTTGCTATATGAGGTGGCAGCTTGGGTCAGACATTATGTATGGCCTTTGGTATTTTAGTAGCACTGCATGTAAAATTTAACTTTCTAAAATCGCTGTATTCGTGGATAGCTTTTATCATTGCACTAGACAACAAGTTACAATTTAAAAATTGTATCTGTTTCTTTTTATGTTTTTTGATCCTTTTGGTGTCTGAAGTTTTCCTCTATTTGCAACCTTCTACAATTCATGTTTTGTGTTTATTATTTATATTAATACATCCTCTCCAACACCAGGCAGATTCTGTTCCCGCCTACCTAGTTTCCCAGCTACAGTTTTTGACATGAGGGAATATGCTGAATAACTTTTCAAGTCTTGATTTGTAGAGGGCTGGTCTCTATGAGGCTATGAGGGATCTAAGAAAGAAAGTCGGGTTTTTCCTTGATGTCTAGTACAGCATTAACCAGACTAATCAATACTTCTACAAGGACAAAGTTAAGCTTGGTATTCTCTGTTCTCTCTTTATATACAACTCCGGTTCTTGTTTCTTTTAGTTTAATTTTGCAGATACAGGAAGCTTTAGTAGCCTCAAAAAAATAAAATTGCAAAGCTGTGTTGCATTGCAAGGCTGGTGGAAAACAACAATTAGTTACCAAGTTCATTGGTGGCCTAAAGAGGATACCAAATTGGTAGAATGCTAGAGCCATTTATTCCTCCATCATCCCTTAGAAATCTAACTTGCCTACTGCATAAGCCTAGAATTAAAGCAAGACCAGAGCAAAACATAGCTAATGCCTTTCTGAGATTAATATAAGAATGAGTAGCTTCCAATAAATAACAATAAAATTAAAGTTCAACATGGATCAAGGAAACACTCTACACATACTCATTTTTTTAAATGCATCAAGAGAAGAAGAGTATGCTGGTAATGTCCTTACAGGCCTATACTTCCTTAACCAGAATTACTAAAAATCCCTGAAAATGTAGCTTTACAAATAGTTCTTAATAGTAAAATTCATCTGAAATGAACTGATGTGAGGCTATGTGTGGTCTTGTTTATCCTACCTCATGTGAATATGTATGTTTTGCTGCAAAATATAAACATGGTTGATTATGAAGTATTGCCCCAGACCCTACTGGGGGTAATTAGGAATATGTTATTATATGCAATGTGTTACCTTTCTAAAATCCGAAAATTTCTGAATCCACACATATCTGGCCCTTGGGGTTTCAGTAAGAGATTGTAGGCCTGTATTATTTTTTTTTAAAAAAAAAGGCGAAGAAAAAGGAGGAAGGAAGAAGGAGAAGGAAAGGAAGAGGAAAAGGAGAGAACGAAAACGTGATGTTAAAGACATCGTTTCCAGAGAAGAGACTCTCCTCCCAAAAATGAAATTTTTAGCGGCCCAGTGAGATTGGCCAACAGCCCATTTTCCAAAGGAATCTTCTGCCTCTAGTAGTTCACAAGAACCTGGGATTTATCACTCTCAGATCAAGGTGTAAAATATGTTCTTGACTCTGAAATTTGCTTGAGGGTTGGCTGGTTTACACAAGACTTGTCCAGTTCACTTGCTATTAACTTGTAAATGATTACTCTTGGAATGGGCAAATATGTGCTTTGAAAGAACTATGGTAAGAAATAGTAACAACAACCTAAAAACCCTGGTGATGTGAACATGGAAGTATAACTGAAAGTTTCTTTTCGTAACTTAATAATACTCTGCCCAAAATCGTGTTGCTGAAGGGACCCATTTATCCCCAAAGTGAGAGAAGATTGAGTACATTTACCACAGTTATCTCACTTTAGCACCCAGAAACTATTTTACAAATGAAAACTTGGGTTTTGGTAATAAATTGCTTCTCTGTGATAAGTAAGCTAGCCTCCCTAGGCCGGGCGCAGTGGCTCACTCCTGTAATCCCAGCACTTTGGGAGGCCGAGGCGGGCGGATCACGAGGTCAGGAGATCGAGACCATCCTGGCTAACACGGTGAAACCCCGTCTCTACTAAAAATCCAAAAAATTAGCCGGGCTTGGTGGTGGGCACCTGTAGTCCCAGCTACTCAGGAGGCTGAGGCAGGAGAATGGCCTAAACCCAGGAGGCGGAGCTTGCAGTGAGCTGAGATCCGGCCACTGCACTCCAACCTGGGCGACAGAGCGAGACTCTGTCTCAAAAAAAAAAAAAAAGAAAAAGAAATAAAGCTAGCCTCCCTAAAGAGTGTAGCTTGGACTAGCTAATTTCTAAGGCGCCTCCCCGTCCTGGTGTCCTGGTGTTCGTGCTGCCATTTTCTGTGTTTTATGTTAGTTTAGACACAAGAGAGAAAAATGCCACAAAGCATTGCTAAACATTAGTACTGAGACTCTAATTATTGTCCTAGACTTTTGAGAATGAGGCATGTTTTAGATGCCATTGGGAGCTAAATTTTTGAGAAAGTGGTCATTTTGTTAAGATGGTAGATTTAGATAACAAGCAGATTTATTCATTGCTAACTTTACAGATAACTTGAGGCCTGTTCATTTTTTTATTTTAACAAAGCAGTTTGAATAGATGACACACTCATTGCTGAACTGGAAAGAGAGTAATAGGTAAATTAAATATGATCAGTCATATACGGGAGTCACTTGTGCTGGCTCCAGAGACCTGATTCTTCAATTTTCAGGAATTTTGCAAGTTGGTTGTATCTCTTCTCTATGGTAGAAATATTATATCATGGTGTGCTAGTGAACATCTCTTCCCAACTCCATGTTCTGGTAGTTTGAGATTGTCCATGGTAGAGTATTTACAGCAGGAAAATTGGCAAATGATAAAAATCAAGGCCTGATTTATTGTTTTGTTGATTGTCTAACTTAATAAACTTAATGCAGTTATAGAGAAAGTATCATTCATGCGGATTAGACTTAAAGGTGTGTCAGGTCTACAGCCATCGCATTGTAAATAATGAAATTTTTGAGGAAATACCCTTCTAATATTTACAAACTAGTACATGATTGAGTAAAAAGGTCACTCATGTCATTGACAGATGAATAAAGTTATAGCATGCATCTTCACTGTTTCAGTTTTGTCTTATTAACATAAACAAAAAAGTCAACTAAATTCAGGTTGGAACTACACTCATTTGTTTTTTTTTTTTTTTTTTTTTTGAGACGGAGTCTCGCTCTGTTGCCCAGGCCGGACTGCGGACTGCAGTGGCGCAATCTCGGCTCACTGCAAGCTCCGCTTCCCGGGTTCACGCCATTCTCCTGCCTCAGCCTCCCGAGTAGCTGGGACTACAGGCGCCGCCACCGCGCCCGGCTAATTTTTTGTATTTTTAGTAGAGACGGGGTTTCACCTTGTTAGCCAGGATGGTCTCGATCTCCTGACCTCGTGATCCACCCGCCTCGGCCTCCCAAAGTGCTGGGATTACAGGCGTGAGCCACCGCGCCCGGCCTACACTCATTTGTTAATGACATGAGCAACTTTGCTGAGCTGGGCAATAATCAAGCATTTATTTATAGTCTTATTTTGTCAAATTGTGGTTGAATTGCAGACACAGATTGGCTATGAATGAAAGCATTTGGCCAAAATCAATGAAACCATTCTGTGAGAATCAATTAACTATATGGAATTTACACTAAAGAGTAGTGTGTAATTTGTAATTACTCATAAATTGTGTGCTACACATTTTTTAAATCAGTAAAAGTTAAAATAAACGTATTTACTTATGTTCACACATACACCTTTTCAGAGAGTAGATTGTTGAACATTGACCAGCCCACTTCTGAGTATAATTGTATCATCCTTGTCCAGAGTCAGGGCATTGGAACTTCCAGCTCTGAGTCACTCTTATGGACTTAAAACACATACAGGATAAAATCTCAGTAAATTGGACTATATGAGCAAAGGAACTTGTGTTAATAAAAAGTATTTGTCTTTGAGTTATTAAGAAAATGCCATGTGTTGTTTTCAAGTACTCAGAACAACACAACCCAGTACCGACAGAGGGTGTGGTTTGTTTTAATGAAAGAGCAAAAAAGAGTTTAATAAGCACTCTGTATGTAAATAAGTTTCTCTAAAGCTTTTAAAGTGCATGCAATAATTTATCTTCTTGAGTCAACTCAGTCTCTTCCGCCTCCACGAAGACCCATTCTTAATTTTGCAAGGCCCCCTCTTAGTTGGTGCAGAAGTCCACTTGTGTCTTATCTGGATATGTTCTCCCTGGGCTAAAGAATGTCCAGTGGTTTCCGTTTGGCCCCTAGATAAGGTTTAAACTCCTTCGTCACAGTTTGTTCCAGCCTTTTCCCCAACTTCCTTGACCCTGGCCCTCCCCACACCATATTTTGACCCAGGGATCTGCAAACTGTGGCCCAGGGGCCAAATATAGTTCACAACCTGTTTTTGTAGTGTTTGTGAGCTGAGAATGGTTTTGACACTGTTTAATGGTTGAAGAAAATGAGAAGAAGAAGAATATTTCATGACGTGTGAAAATTACATGGAACTCAAATTTGAGTGATTATAAAGTTTCGGCAGCACCACACCATTCTTTTACCTCTTATCCACGGCAGCGGAGTTGAGTAGTTTCGACAGACGTCAAATGGCCCCCACACCTAAAATATTTGCAATACTATATGGCTCTTCATAGAAAAAGTTTGCCAGCCCCACTTTCACCACACCAAGCTTGCCATGTTTCCCAGCTCACAGTGCCCTTGCGTGCCATTAAGTTGAATGCAGTCTCCCTGCCTTTCATCTGTTTCCCAGAGGGCAAGTTAACTCACCATTCACTGAGCACATTATGGATTTCCTTGTCCGTGACCCCTCATGGGGACTCCTCTGCCTGGAGCACTCTTCCTCTTGTCCATCTGGCAAACTTCTGGTCCTCTTTCAGGATCGAACCCAAATCTCCCCTCCAGACATCATTTCTGAAGTCTCTGGGTAAAACTCTGAGTTCCCCCTGCTTCCACAGTGCTTTACACATAGCCTAGCGCTGTTGTGAGGGGATAGAGTCAGGAGCACGCTGTGAAGTGCCACCCCTGCCCTTCCTCCCTGCCTGTGCACATCAGCATCCTCTCTATTCTCATTGGCATGTGAAGTAATTGTTGTAGCCAATTAATGATTCAGACGAGATGGGCGCATTCATTTCATTGAACTGGTAAGTCTCAACTTCACTCTGGAAATACAATGCTTCTCTTGCCCCAGAGCACTGGATGCTTGCATTATACAAATGTTCACATTAGATCATGACTAAAACATCTGTTTTCTCAGCTCACTGCAGTCACTAGGCTCCTGGGAGAAGGGGAGGTGTTTTATTTATCTTTGTATCTCTAGCTCCAAAACAGAGCAGGCAGGCACACAGTAGGTGCTCCATAAATGTTCATATAATTGAATTGCAGGGAGGTGCTAATCCTTCAGCATACAAAATGAGAGAAGACATGTTAATTCAGCATAAGGAAAAGCCATTGGTTTAAGATATGTGAAGGCACAGTGGTTTCTTTTCCCCCCATGATGGGGGTCTTCTCTCCACTCAAGTATTCTGTTAAAAATATGTTTATAGACAGAATGCAAGCAGTGGTTGGGAGGGCAGTGGTGATTGGATTGGGTCCCTTGCCCCACTACAGACTGAAATCTTTTTCCCTCTACATCAGGAGCCTCAGTTCGGTTCCAGTTTCAGTATGGTGGTGGCGTGACACCGTCACATATGAGCTAAGGACTCCTGTCGCCTCAACCCTTGCTACTTGAAGTGTGGTCCCCAGATCAGCTGCACTGGCATCACCTGGGAGCCAGGTAGAAGTGCAGAACCTTGGACCTGCTGAATCAGAGCCTGATCTTCAGCAAGATCCTCAGGCAATGTGTTTGCACTTTACAATTTGAGAAGCATTGTTCTAGTATACGTATGGATACAGCATAAGCGAGGAGTTGATATTCCCACTTGTCAGAAGCAGTGTTCCAAGTTAGGTAAACTATACTGATAGGACTCAATAAAACCTGAAGGGTTAAGGTTTTTTCTGGTCCTAAGATTTAGGAAAGTTCCTTTCATTTCTGAAGTGCCATGTTGTAATATACTCTGTCTAGCTGTACTGCGTTTCTCATTAATTCAACTAATATTTACTAAATACCTAGTATATGCCAAGCGCTGTCCTCGAAACTAGGATGTAGTAATTGAACAAGCCAGAGAAGGTGGTAGGTGCTTTAGAACTTAGATCTAGCAGGGGAAGGCAGGTAGTAAGTAAATACACAACTAAAATAATGTCACATAAGTCCTATTGAGGGAAATGAAGCAGAAGGATGGAATAAAGAATATCCTGGTAGGGTAAAGTAGCTACATCCAAGAGGACAATCAGGAAAGGCTTCTGGGAGGAAGTGACATTTGAGCTGAGTCCAGAATGAGGAGGAGCAGCTGAGTGCAAATCAGAGAGGAGAGTGTTACAAAGCAACAGCAAATGCAAAGTCTCTGAAGCAGGAGTTAAGTAGACCTTGTGAGAAGAAGGTCAGAGCAGTGGGAGCTCTGGGAGCAAGGGAGCAATGGCTGTGGCCGGGAGCTGATGCTGAAGAGGTGGACAGGACCCAGAGGGTGCAGAATCTCAAAATCTTCTTGGGTGTGTTGTTTGGTTTGTTTGTTTGTTTGTTTGTTTGTCTGTTTTTAGAGACAGGGTCTCGCTCTGTCTCCCAGGCTGGAGTGCAGTGGCGCGATCACGCCTCACTGCCGCCTCGACCTCCTTCTCGATCTCCTCCTTGGATGTGTTTTTTACAAGCAGAGGGCCAGCATGATTTGTTTCACACTTTATAAAAGGTCATGTTGGCTGCACCTGGAGAAATGATTATAGAGGGGCAAGTGTAAAGGCAAAACAGTAAAATAAAATACTAATTCACAATAGATAAATTGGACTTCAAAAATAACACTTTTGTCCTACAAAGGACACATCAAGGAAGTGGAAAAAAAACACTCACAGATTTTAAAGAAATATTTTTTGGGTTTTCTTTGGTTTTTTCTTTTTGGGTTTTGTTTGTTTGTTTGTTTTTTTTTTTTTTGAGACAGGGTCTCGCCCTGTTGCCCAGGCTGGAGTGCAGTGGTGCAATCATGGCTCACTGCAGCCTCGACCTCCCTGGGCTCAGGTGATCCTCCCACCTCAGCCTCCCAAGTAGCTGGGACTACAGGCATACGCCACCATGCCTGGCTAATTTGTTTTATACTTTTTAGAGAGACAGGAGTTATACCATGTTGTCCAGGCTGGTCTCAAACTCCTGGGCTCAAGCAATCCTCCTGCCTCGACCTCCCAAAGTGCTGGGATTACAGGCATGAGCCACTGTGCCAGGCCATAATGAAATATTTGTAAATAAGATATCTGATAAGGGACTTGTATCTAGAATAAAGAACGCTTACAACTCAATAATAAAAGGCTACTCAATTTTAAAATGGGCAAATAATTCAAATAGACGTTTCTCCAAAGATGATATACAAATCGCTAGGCACACGAAAAGATGCCCAACATCATTAGTCATCAGGGAAAGGCAAATCCAAACCACAATGTGATACCATGTCACACCCACTAGGATGGTGATATGGTTTGGCTGTGTCCCCACCCAAATCTCATCTTGAATTGTAGCTCCCATAATTCCCATGTGTCGTGGGAGGGACCCAGTGGGAGATAATTTAATCATGGAGGAGGTTTCCCCTATACTGTTCTCATGGTAGTGAATAATGGTTTTTTGGGGTTTTTTTGTTTTTGTTTTTGGGATGGAGTCTCACTCTGTTGCTAGTTTGGAGTGCAATGGTGTGATCTTGGTTCACTGCAACTTCTGACTCTCTGTTTCTAGCCATTCTCCTGCCTCAGCCTCCTGAGGAGCTGGGATTACAGGCGCCCACCACCATGCCCAGCTAATTTTTCTATTTTTAGTAGAGACAGCGTTTCACCATGTTGGCCAGGATGGTCTTGATCTCCTGACCTGGTGATCAGCCTGCCTCAGCCTCCCAAACTGCTGGGATTATAGGCATGAGCCACTGCCCCCGGCTGAGATCTGATGGTTTTACATGGGGAAACCCCCTTCGCGTGGGTCTCCTTCTCGCTTGCCTGCTGCCGTGTAAGATGTGCCTTTTGCCTTCCACCATGATTGCGAGGCCTCCCCAGCTACATGGAACTGTGAGTCCATTAAACCTCTTTTTCTTTATAAATTACCCAGTCTCGGGTATGTCTTTATCAGCACCGTAAAAACAGACTAATACAGACGACTAGAATAAAACAGACAATAACAAGTGTTGCTGAAGATGCAGAGAAACTGGTATCCTCACATGCTGCCAGTGGGAGTGCACAATGGTGCAGCCACTTTGGAAAACAGTCTGAGACTTGCTCAAACGTTTAAACATAGAGTTATTGTATGACTTAGCGTTTCACTGCTAGGTATATACCAAGAGAAATGAGAACACATGTTACCACAACAACTTGTTCACGAATGTCAACAGCAGCATTATTCATAATAGCCCAACAGTGGAAACAACCCAAATGATCATGAACTGATGAATGGGTGAACAAAATGTGGTATAGTTTCCTGGGGACCATAACAAACCACTAGAAACTGGGGGCTTAAACAGCCTGCATTTATTGTCTCCGTACTGGAAGCTGAGAGTGAGAGACCAAGGTGTAGACAGAGTCAGTTCCTCCAGAGGCTGCGAAGGAGGCTCTGTTCCAGGCCCCTGTCCCAGCTTCTGGTGTTTTTCTGGCCATCTTTGTCATTCTTCAGCTTGTAGACTTATCACCCAGAGCCTGCCTTCATCTGCACTTGGCATGCTCGCTGTGTGCATGTCTGTGTCCAAATTTCCCCTTTTTATAAGGACACCAGTCATGTTGGATTAGGGACTCACTCTTCCAGTATGACATCATCTTAACTAATTACATCTGCAACTATTTCCAAATAAAGTCACAGTCTGAGGCATTAGGCATTAGAATTTCAACATATGAGTTGGGGGGCATAATTCAACCCATAAAATAATGGAATATTATATGGCTATTAAAGGGAATGAAGTACTGATACAAGGATGAACTTTGAAAACATTGTATTCAGTGAAAGAAGCCAGTCACAGAATATCACATACTATATGACTCCATTTATATTAAGTGTCTAGAATAAGCAAATCTGTAGAGACAGAAAGTAGATTAGTGGTTGCTCAGGGCAGGGAAGGGGATGGAGGAATAACAGGGTAAGAGATAAAGGGTTTTTTGGGTGACGAAAATCTTCTAAAATTGATTGCAGTAATGGTTTTACAATTCTGTGAATATGTTGAAAACCCTTAAGTTGCACACTTTTTTATTTTATATTATTTTACCTTTGAGACAGGGTCTTGCTCTGTCACCGAGGCAGGAGTGCAGTGGCACAGTCATGGCTCACTGCAGCCTCTACCCCCATGAGCACACGGGATCCTTCCCCCCGAGTCTCCCAAAGTGCTGGACTACAAGGGCGCGCCACCACACTTGGACAATTTTTAAAACTTTTCGTACAGATAGGGTCTCACTGTGTTGCTCAGGCTAGTCTTGAACTCCTGGGCTCAAGAGATCCTCCCACCTCAGCATCCCAAAGTGCTGAGATTACAGGCATGAGCCACTGTGCCCAGCCAAGTTGTACACTTTAAATGGTGGAATTACATGGTGTATGAATTATATCTCAATAAAGCTGAGATAAACAAAAAAAAAACTCTACAAATTAGTGTTTAAAAAAGTGTTAAGGACTAAAAAAGTAAAAAACAAATGTATGGACTCAGAGTTTGGAGCTCGAGTTCAAATCATGGCCCTGCCACCTTCTCTTACCTTGAGTGAGTTGCTCTGGGAGGCTTCACTTCTTCATTGGAAAGATGGAATGAGAGAAGAAAGGTACTATCACATATCTAGCAGGGTTCATAAAGGAATTAGAGATTATCTAAGTAAGATAAGAGTTACTTATTTTAGAATTAGAGATTGTCTAAGTAAAAATGCCTGACACATAATAGTTGCTCAAAAAATATATTATTAATCATACATTTTATATTCCCACTCTTGAAAACATAGTGGATTCTCTGGGCACAGTGGCTCTCACCTGTAATCTCAGCACTTTGGGAGGCCGAGGCGGGTGGATCACTTGAGTTCAGGAGTTCCAGATCAGCCGGACCAACATGGTGAAACTCCATCTCTACTAAAAAAAATACTAAATTAGCCTGGCCTGGTGGTACGTGCCTGTAATCCCAGCTACTTGAGAGGCTGAGGCAGGAGAATTGCCTGAACCCAGGAGGTGCAGTTTTCAGTGAGCCGAGATCCTGCCATTGCACTCCAGCCTGGGCAACAAGAGCGAAATTCCATCTCAAACAAAACAAAACAAAACAAAACCCCCCCAAAAAAAAACAAAACAACACAACACATAGTGTGAATCTATAACTAATAAATCTTTATTTGGTCATAAAAAAAAAAAAGATCAGCCAGACATGGTGGCTCACACTTGTAATCCCAGCACTTTGGGAGGCCAAGGTGGGCAGATCACCTGAGGTCAGGAGTTGGAGACCAGCCTACTAACATGGAGAAGCCCCGTCTCTACTAAAAATACAAAATTACCAGGGCGTGATGGCACATCTCTGTAACCCCAGCTACTAGGGAGGCTAGGGCAGGAGAATCACTTGAACCTGAGAGGCAGAGGTTGCAATGAGCCGAGATTGTGCCATTGCACTCCAGCCTGGGCAACAAGAGCAAAACTCCATCTCAAAAAAAAAAAAAAAAAAAAAAAAAAAAAAGTCAAGAAATAGCAGATGCTGGTGAGGCTGTGGAGAAATAAGAACACTTTCACACTGTTGGTGGGAATGTAAATTAGCTCAACCACTGTGGAAGAGAGTGTGGGAATTCCTCAAACACCTAGAACCAGAAATGTTATTTGACCCAGCAATGCTATTACTGGGTATATACCCAAAAAAATATAAATTATTCTGTTATAAAGATACATGCACATGTATGTTCATTGCAGCACTGTTCACAGCAGCAAAGACATAGAATCACCCCAAATGCCTATGAATGATACACTGGATAAAGAAAATGTGGTATAGATACACCACAGAATACTATGCAGCCATAAAAAGGAAAAAGATCATGTCCTTTGCAGGGACATGGATGGAGCTTGAAGCCATTATTCTTAAGAAATTACCACAGGAACAGAAAACCAAATACCATGTGTTCTCACTTATTAGTGGGAGCTGAACAATGAGAATACATGGACATGGGGAGGGGAACAACACACACTTGGACCTGTTGGGTGGGGTGGGGGTGGGAGGAGGGAGAGCATCAGGATAAGTAGCTAATGCATGTGGGGCTTAATTCCTAGGTGATGTGTTGATAGGTGCAGCAAACCACCATGACACACGTTTACCTATGTAACAAACCTGCATGTCCTGTATATATATCCCAGAACTTAAATTAAAAAAAAAAAATAAGGCTCTTTTAATACCTCTCAGAAAGCAAACTCCCAAAATGGAGCTAAACCATAGAGGAAAAACATATTCCCTGGCATTATTCATGCCACAGGAGGACCCAGCTCTGCTACTTTTCCACCTCTGACGTCTCTTCTCCCGACTTTTGTTTTTATTCCTTGAGCTGGTAATTGAAGCTGTCAGAGAAGGCTCATGCCAGTCAGTATTTCGTTGATGAATTCCAGCTGGGACTAAAGAGTGCTGCTGAGTTGGAGGGAGGGAGAGAGAGAGAGAGAGAGAGAGAGAGAGAGAAAGAGAGAGAGAGAGAGAGAGAGAGAGAGAGAGAGAGAAGGCCCCTTGGGAATGAGCCCACGCTCTGAGGCAGTGGGATGTGAGTATCCAGCCCATTCGGTGATTAACTCTGTGTCCAGCAAGGTTTTCCTGCCCATCCATTTGAGGTGCTGGCCTGAGTCAGCATGTGCCTGAAGAGTGGAGTGAAGACAGAAAGCCGCCTGGAGAATACGTAGCTGAAATGAGGTTGGGATACACGGAGATTCCTGCCACAGGGCTAAGCATATCCTGGTGCTTTGAGGAGGAAATTAGAAAGAAATATTGCGCTGGTCACAGGTCTCTTAGGAGAGTCCATTTGGACATCTCCATCACAAAGCCTGGAGCCCTACAGTCGAATAATATACAGGAACCCAATTCAAAGCTGTCATTCAGAGATGATGCCGTGTGCACATGCCAGACACTGTACTAGACTCTGGGAACACGGGGCTGAGGGTGTAATGGTGTCTGCAGAGGTGCTGGGCCTTCATGCCGCCTCACAGAGAGGGGAACACAGAAACAAATGACCTTCAGAGAGGCATTTCTCTATCCCATAGAACAGGGGTCCAACATAACCCAGAGACAGACACCCTGAGCCAACTGGACTATCTGCCACTTGGTGCCATAGTGATCTGGATATCCAGGGCTGTTAAAGCTTCCTCCAAATTAGCTTTTCTCCTAACTCTCTAGACTAATTTATTTCATCCGGTCACTAAGTCCCCAAATGGGTCTATCCCAACAGACCTCTCGTGATAACGTAATCTGAGAAGCTACAGCCTGACTTAGAACATACTACTGAGGGATGATCTCCTGAACTCTGAATCCCCCACCTCCCAAGCCTGTTCTGGGAGCTGCTTTCTTTCCCCAGAGCTCTCCTCGCTGCTATCCTCATGCTGAGCACAGGTCTCTCCTAGTCCCAGGTCCCTGCAGTCACACAGGCCAGCATCATCTCCTCCCCATTGTGGTGGTTGCTCACCTGTTGGGGGTATGGTGAGAATGACCATGGGCTAGGCCCGCCCCCCTCTACCATCATTCCTAGGCTCAAAAGCATTGCTGACACTTGCCCAATTGTAAGGATCTCCGGGACCCCTGGTAAAGTCCAGGTTCCAGATGGCCCTGGCACAGAACTGTCTTTAGGGGAGGGGATTGGAAATCTGTATTTTTAATATGTGCTTGGGAGATTTTAGAGAAAGCAAGTCTACACAGCTTCATCTAGCATTTTAGAGGAGAAATTCAAAACCAAGGATTAGGCCAGGCACAGTGGCTCACACCTGTAATCTTAGCACTTTGGGAGGTGGGCAAATCGCTTGAACCCAGGAGTTCAAGACCAGCCTGGGCAACATGGTGAAACCCCATTCCTACAAAGAATACAAAAATTAGCCAGGCATGGTGGTGCACACCTATGGTCCCAGCTACTTGGGAGGCTAAGAAGTGGGAGGATCACTTGAGCCCGGGAGGTGGAGACTACAGTGAGCTGTGATGGCACCACTGCAGTTCAGCTTGGGTGACAGAGTGAGACCCTATCTCAAAAAAAAAAAAAAAAAAAAAAGGACTTTGGGCCGGGCGTGGTGGCTTACGCCTGTAATCCCAGCAGTTTGGGAGGCTGAGGCGGGCGGATCAAAAGGTCAGGAGATTGAGACCATCCTGGATAACGCTGTGAAACCCCATTTCTACTAAAAATACAAAAATTAGCCAGGCGTGGTAGAGGGCGCCTGTAGTCCCAGCTACTCGGGAGGCTGAGGCAGGAGAATGGCGTGACCCCGAGAGGTGGAGCTTGCAGTGAGCCAAGATTGCGCCACTGCACTCCAGCCTGGGCGACAGAGCAAGACTCTGTCTCAAAAAAAAAAAAAAAAAAAAGGACTTTGAATTTCTTTCCAGGTCTGTGAATGTGTGGGGCGAATCTTAGAGGTGAGTGGGTTTGTAAGTGAGCAGGCGCCTTCTTAGAGCACTTGCTCTTTCACATCTCTGGGGAACCACTTGCAGAGTTGTGATCAGAGAGCAAAAAGTTCCCAAGGGATCTGTAAGTGCCCAACATTCACTCTGAAAGTGCTTGCCTAACCGCCACACAGAGAGTGGTTGGTTGGCCTGTAGGATTTGGAGCTGTGGATGTTTCCTGCCTCTAAGCAGAAGTAATAACCCTTAGTCATATAAGAGACCTAGTCATGGCTCGAAACAGAGACTTCATTTTCTCAGTTCTGCGGAATTCCCAAAGTCTGCAAGGCCATGTGTGTGACTCTCTTTGCAAAGAGTTTGGGAGTTGTTTTCTTTTAACTTGGTTGGAGAGCAGCATTTAGTGAATGCTTCTGGGCAGCCCAGGGGTCAGATATCAGACCCCCGACAAGAGTGGGCCCCCCTGGGATTTGGAGCCATGCACTTTTCCTCCAAAGGTTGCTTTCTCTGTTGGTGTTTTTAAAACAGGGCTACACCCCGTTATGTTTGCTCCAGTGTCCCTTCCTTTCTCTCCTGGACTCTCCCAGTCTGTTCGGGGTTCTCAGCCAAAGTTGACCTCACTGGCCGCCTCTGCATTGCATCTTGGTGAGTCCCACTTGCAAATGCCAAGAAGTGAGCTGTGCAGTTTGTTCAGGCCCTGTTCACATTTTCCATATGGCCCTGAGCATAACAACTCTGCGCCTGGGCCTCCGGTCTGCACCCGGGTCCTGTCCTGAACTCTCCAGTGGGCAGAGCCCAGAATGTGGCAAGAAGGTCCCTGGCCGGGCCAGACCTGTGGAAACGGCTGGTTGGGCACACTGGATCAGTCTGAGTATGCTGGAGACAGGGCATGGAAAAGCCGTGACCAAGGGATTCCATGGCAGGATTGCCAGCAAATCAATGCCCCCTTTGTGCCCCATTCCATAATATGACACAGCAATCCAGCCTGGGGCTGGCAGAAGCAAAGAGCATGCCTTCCACATGCATCCCCACCACTGTGCATCAGATAGAAAGCTGCTGATACCCTAATAGGGTGGGATTGGGCCCTTGGCTGAGTGGATCTCAGCCCACTTGACTCGCAAGCTGGACTACCAGGGGTTCTATACTTCCCAAGTCTAAGACTCCCTCAGCAGGGCACAAGACCCCACAGATACTCCAGCTTCTTTGCTCAAAAAGGCTAACCAGAAGAAGTAGAAAACATGGTTTTCTTTGATTGAGACCCCAGCGAGTGCCAACCCAAAGTCAACTGATCATTTGCAGCATGCTTCTGTGATTTAATTTGCTCTTCTTCCTCATCTAGTTGTCCAACCAGAAACCTTGGCACCATCCTGAAGTCCTTCTCCTCCCTCATCCTGCAAATCTAGTCAGTCACCAGGTCCTGATGATTCTACTTACATAGTACCCACAGAGCTGCTCCCTGCCCTTGATTCTCCCCTCATCCCTCATCAATTCAGGCCCTCACTCTTTTTTTGTGAATACAGCGGCACAACAAATCTTCTTATCTCCAGCCTAGACAACTCTCCAATCCATCCTGTTTACGTGGGTGCCATAATTATCTTTCAAAAAGTGATTATTCAAAAATGCAAATCTAGTATGGCACTCGCTTAAAAATCTTTCAATGGCTCCCCGCAGTCTGTGAATGAAATCCCAATTCCTCAGTGTGCTATATAAGGCCCTTTGCAGTCCAGACTGCTTAACGGTTCAGCCTAATTTCTCAACAAATGTCGAATATACCCACAGATACAGTCATGCCTAACACATTCATTCATTCATTCTCAATTCCTGTTATGCATCAGATCCTGTGCTAGCTCTGAGAATCCAGGGATGAGCAAGAGAGCCACAGTCCCTGAGCCCCTAGAGCCAGCAATCCAGAGTGAGAGCAGACTCTAACAAGAAGGTACAATTAAGTTCAAGTTCAGTGGGTGAACACGTGGGGGCTATTGCCTTGCCTGAGTCCAGGGAGGGCTCTGATCCAGATGAACAAGGGATCCCTGATGACTATGAGCTGGAAGTTGGTGGTGAGAGACAGTGTGTGCAGAGTCAAAGGGGAGAGAGAGCTTCACCTAAGCTAGACTTTACCCAAGCTAGTGGAGAGCCGCAGAACCATTTCAGGCAGATTCGCCTTCTCAAAATCTCTCTCTGGCTGCGGTTTGGGGAACAGGTCGAACCACGTGTAGCTTCCCATATTGTGTGCATTCTTTCACAGAACCCTGAGCACAAGCCCTTCCATCCTTCTAGAGGCTCTCTGCCCCTTGTGTATCTGTGAATTCTTTCCCATCTTCCAAGAGTCAGCTAGAAATCATTACAATTCCTATGCCACCCCTTCCCCTCTGCCTGCGTCCAGCTGGGCACATCAAGACCTACATGATTCCCTGCATTTCATGTCTTCTCTCTCCGTGGGAGGAGTCCTATTTCATCCTAGACCTGGAAGTCTTGCGGGGGCTCCATTGTCCCTAGATGCTTGTGTTTTTCACACAGTACATTTCAGAAAATAGGCTCCTGAAGGAGAAGAGGACTTGTAAGCATCCTTCTGATCTTTCGTGGTGGGAAAACCCTTGGCTTTGTACCTAAGTTTGGGCAAAGGCCTGATCAGGAAGGAAACCTAAACTTATTTTTTTTTTTGAGACAAGTTCTCACTGTGTCATCCAGGCTGGAGTACAGTGGTACGATCATAGCTCACTGCACCTTGAACTCCTGGGCTTAAGGGATCCTCCTGCCTCAGCCTCCCAAGTAGCTGGGATTATAGGCACACACCACCACCCCTGGCTAATTTTTTTGTTTTTGTAAAGATGGGGTTTGCCGTGTTACCCATGCTGATCTCAAACTCATGAGCTCAAGCAATCCATCCACCTCATCCTCCTAAAGTGCTAGGATTACAGGCGTAAGCACCACACCCAGCCAGGAAGCCTAAACTACTGATGGCTCCGTGAACAGGCTCATGGTAGGTTACATAGGCTGTGCGGTGCATAGCTCGGGGCACCCTTCCCATCAGAGTCATTGTCCAGCTGCAGATCAATTAGGCTTTGGTGGGGCCTGGGGTGCAGATGGCAGTGGAGTGTCTGGAGGAAGGGGTGCCTTCTCCCAATCACACAAATAGCTCAGTATGAACTGGAAACAGTGAAGATGCTCGGTGGGTTTGATAAACTGAATAGGGTGTGTCTTTGATAACGATGTAAGAAACTTGGTTTAGTTTATAATTTGTAAGTAGCTTCTAGCAGTTTTCAGTTAGGATTAACTGACTTAAGGAAGAGTGGGCTTATTTTTTTGGAAAGGGTCTTAGTATTGGCCAGAGAGAGGTGTTTACTTCATGTCATCTATGCCATACTGCAGGCTAATGATCTGGTCCCTTGCGAGCAGCGAATGCATTTGCTGAGGTTACAAGCAGTTTTTGTTCCTATGTACAAATTAGTGAAAACTGAGATTCATTTCATTCATTCATTCAATCCTTCATTCATTCACTCAACATATTTAGGGAGCATCTTTTTTTGTGCCTGGAAATGTGCTATTTGTTTTATACATATCATATGCCTACAAAGCCCTTATTATACATGTATTTATTGTAATTCCTATTGCACAGCTTAATAAACTAAATTGAAAAGTACATCGGCCACTTAGATAGGATTTGGAAATACAGAAAAAGGATGAGATCTCCTCTCTCTACAACCCCGCGATGGAGGTTCTAAAAGCTGCTCTTGAACTTTAAGCCCTAGAAGGATGCAAACATCAAGAGGTGGTAAAAAGGAAGAGAAGAGCAGCCAGATTTAATCATGCTTAGATCTCTCTTGGCACAGACCATACATAAGCCATGGCCCCTGCCCCAATGGGCAGCAATTTAAGAGGCAAACAAGTGGCCCCACACTATCCAAGCATACACAAGGTAGGAGGGCATGAAATTAGCACAGCAACATCCAGGATCAAAAGCAATGTTTGATTTTATCTTCATAGGCAATAAAATGTGAAGCATATTCTTTGGCAGCAGTCAGAAAGGCAGACTGCTGGCTTTTTGTAATTCTTTGAAGGTTTATAGCATGTCAGTTATCATAGCACTTTTGACAATGGAGACTTCATATCTTGAGGTGGGCCAGGTGAGTGTGCAAAATGAAATGTGGTTAGAATATTAAGGCTTGTGACAGAGTACTTGGCCCTCAAGCTGTTCTGACTCTTCCAAATACATTCAGTTCAAGAATGCATCTCTGGTTTCTATTCCTGGTCACTCGGGAAATGACTCCTTGTCTGTAGGTATTTGTTTTGCATGAAACCAATTATGATCGTGTTTCTCATGTGTAGACATCATTATTATGAGTGCAGTTTTAGTTCAGTCCAGTATATTTATGTCTATGGGGCTAGTTTCTTGTAATTCAAATTATTATTATTTTTCTGAGATAGGGTCTCACACTGTTGCTTAGGATGGAGTACAGTGGCGTGATCATGGCTCACTGCAGCCTTGACCTCCCTGGGCTCACGTGATCCTCCCATCTCAGCCTCCCGGGTAGCTGGGACTACAGATGTGCACCTCCACACCCAGATAATTTTTGTATTTTTGCCTATGCTTGTCTCAAACTCCTGGGCTCAAGCAATCCTCCCAGTTCAGCCTCTCAAAGTACTGGGATTATAGGCATGAGCCCCCATATCCGGCCTGTAATTCAAATTTATCACACTTTCAAAAATACTTCTCACCTAAGATTGCTTTATATTTTATTCTTTTTTTTTTTTTTTTTTTTTTGAGATGGAGTCTCACTCCGTTGCCCAGGCTAGAGTGCAGTGGCGCGATCTCGGCTTGCTGCAACCTCCGCCTCCCGGGTTCAAGCAATTCTCCTGCCTCAGCCTCCTGAGTGGCTGGGATTACAGATGAATGCCATCATGCCTGGCTAATTTTTGTATTTTTTAGTAGAGATGGGGTTTTGCCATGTTGTCCAGGCTGGTCTTGAACTCTTGACCTCAGGTGATCTGCCCACCTCGGCCTCCCAAAGTGCTGGGTTTACAGGCCTGAGTCACCGTGCCCAGCCTATATTTCATAGCTATCTGTTGAATTTAGTTTGATATGTGAATAAACGATCACTGACTATATCCTGATGATTATCCCTTCAAGGTAAATAACCTCTTATGCTTGATAGTTCTTATAAAAAGTGCTAACAGTTTTGCTTCGGTCTGGAGAAGGTGTGGGCTAAGAGAGACCAGATGGTTTAGTGGAAGATTTTTAAATGCTGGAAAAAGACAGTTGTGGAAGCTCCTCTGTCTTCAGAAAGCAGCTTTCTTTTTTTATTTTTTTAGACAGAGTCTTGCTCTGTCACTCAGGCTAGAGTGCAGTGGTGTGATCTCGGCTAACTGCCACCTCCACCTCCCGGGTTCAAGCGATTCTTGTGCTTCAGCCTCCTGAGTAACTGGGACTACAGGTGTGCACCACCATGCCCAGCTAATTTTTTAAATTTTTTCTTTAGTAGAGATGAGGTCTTGCTATGTTGGCCAGACTGGTCTTGAACTCTCGACCTCAAGCGATCCACCCACCTTGGCCTCCCAAAGTGCTGGGATTATAGGGGATTATAGACGTGAACCACCACACCTGACCCAGGAAGTGTTTTTTGGTTTGTTTGTTTGTTTGTTTGTTTTGAGACGGAGTCTCACTCTGTCTCCCAGGCTGGAGTGCAGTGGCACAATCTAGGCTTACTGCAAGCTCCACCTCCCGGGTTCACGCCATTCTCCTGCCTCGGCCTCCTGAGTAGCTGGGACTACAGACGCCTGCCACCACGCTTGGCTAATTTTTTTGTATTTTTGGTAGAGATGGGTTTCACCATGTTAGCCAGGATGGTCTTGATCTCCTGACTTCGTGATCCGTCCGCCTTGGCCTCCCAAAGTGCTGGGATTACAGGCGTGAGCCACCGCGCCCGGCCAGAAGTGTTCTTGAAGTGACATGACTTTAGGATAGGAGAACACCTGCAGTGAGAACCAGGAAACGGCCCTAGAGAAGACAGACCATGGTTTCCTACGGAAGAGTCTTTCAATCACTTGGTTCCAAAACCGTTTCTTCCTGCCATGTTGGCAACGAGACTGGTCCCTCTCAGCTTGCAGAGAACAAGACCAGACAGATGGATCCCTGAGAAGTCACTTGAATAGGAGGAGAGACGTGCTGGTCAAGGTGAGGTCAGTGCTATCATGTGGCCAGCTGTCATCTGACTGCTGGCTGGAATAGCCAGGTAACCAGGTGGACATTGTGCCCAGAGAGAAAGCCCAGGTCCGTAAAATCATCGGCTTAGTGGCTGTGCGGGAAGGATGAGGACTTTCCAGGAATAAGATGGCTGAGAAAATAATAAACGAAGCCAAAGCTACCACTTTTAACCACAAAAGAGCAACATTGCATCTTTATCTAAAACTATAGGCACAGTTTATTCTTGTCGATTCCTTAGAATCTGTTTTGGGGTCAAATATTTCTGGATAATAAAGGGGGAAGAAGTAACATTTGTGAGCACCTACCATGTGCTAGGTGCTTGATTTGCATTCTTTTTTCTTTAATGATTTTTTTTTCGAGACGGAGTCTTGCTCTGTCGCCCAGGCTGGAGTGAAGCGGCATGATCTCAGCTCACTGAAGCCTCTGCCTCCTGGGTTCAAGTAATTCTCCTGCCTCAGTCTCCTGGGTAGCTGAGACCACAGGCATGTGCCACCATGCCCGGCAATTTTTGTTGTTTTTAGTAGTGACAGGGTTTCGCCATGTTGGCCAGGCTGGTCTTGAACTCACAACCTCAAGTGATCCTCAAGCCTCAGCCTCCCAAAGTGCTGGGATTATAGGCATGAGCCACTGTGCCCAGCCTGTAAGGCATGATTTTTTGCCTCCATTTTATAGATGAAGAAACTGTGTCTCCATGAGGTAAAGTCCCCCCCAGCTACTGAAGGGCAGAGCTTGGGCCACCATGCACTCCCCACTGTGCTGGTGCCTTTCTGTGAACAATCTTTGCTAAATCAGACTCTAGTGGCCCCATGCAACAGTGGAGACCCTGCCTTCAATGCCAACAGTAAGGCCACACCCATGCCAAAGTCATGTGTCCCTTTAAGTTTCTTGAAATATGTGACCGAGCATTCAAACTAAACCAGCTCCACGTCACACCTTACCTGTCACAAAAGGAAAAAAAAACATTCATGGATGGGAAGAGAGAGTAGCCAGCTGTATTCTATCCACCTACGGGAAGGACATGCCAGAATTCGTCTAGGGTTCGTACCCTTGAGGCAGACACTTGAGACCTCCTCACCAAGTTACCCCCTGTGAACACCTAGCCAGGAAAAAGGATCCTGCCCCTGAACTATGACTTCTCCCCAGAAAGGAGCCGGTGAGTGGACGTTGCCTTGCAGCCCAGCCCTCCTCCCCTTCCGGCTCATGCAATGTCCAAGAAAGGATATCTTTGAGAAAGATGAAAGGTCAGTGAGTTGGAGTCTAGAAATCAAGGGGGTGGTTTTCTGGACTAACTACAATGGCGCGTGATCTCACCTGCCAGGGCTATTCCAGCCCCCCCGCTGACAAGTCCACTGCGCAGGGACGGGACCCACACAGGCCTTCACTGGCATCAGGGAAACACATCTTTCTCCTCCCAGGCTGTAAAGTTCTGGGTTTTCGCTATTCTGTCATGAGCCCAGATTATTCAGGGAAAGCCACAGTCTGGAGAGAAGACCCTGGAATGGGCACAGAGGTGACGCGTGGGCTGCCGCAGAGCCAGCCGTTTGGGGCCCATGTGGGAAGCCAGACTCCAGGCCCCGGGAAGGATCAGGCAGCCAGGAACAGCATGGCCAGGGAGGCAGCATCAAAGCCTGGCAAGGTCTTTGCCAAGGACCTGCTAATAGCTTCCGTCTATCATCCGGGGAAATGATTTCTGGGACTAGATAATTGACTTCTGTTCTTTGTGACAGATGAAGTTTTAAAACGCCGGAGTCCATGCCTGTCTCTTTCATTACTGACGGGTTTTGCCTTGGGAGGGCAGGTCAGCGGCAGGCAGGGAGAACGTGTGCCCGGGCTTCCTTCTCTGTGCGGGGGAGGGGCGGGGCCCGTCAGAGACCCGAGCAGTTACCTCCATCATTTAGACCCCAAATTCCGGGGAAAATTTGATGATCCCAAGGTTCTAATCCGAAGAGTTGCCATTACTTATACTCACACAGATGTTTGTCTTTCTTTCTTTCCTTTTCTCTTTCTTTCCTTTCTTTCTTTCCTTTTCTCTTTCTTTCTTTCCTTTTCTGTTTCTTTCTTTCTTTCCTTTCTTTCTTTCCTTTTCTCTTTCTTTCTTTCCTTTTTTTCTTTTCTCTTTTCTTTCTCTTTCTCGCTGTCTCTCTCTTTCTTTTCTTTCTTTCTTTCTCGCTGTCTCTCTCTCTTTCTTTTCTTTCTTTCTTTCCTTTTTTCTTTCTTTTCTTTCTTTCTTTCTTTCTTTCTTTCTTTCTTTCTTTCTTTCTTTCTCTTTCTCGCTGTCTCTCTCTCTTTTTTTCTTTCTTTCTTTCTTTCTTTCTTTCTTTTTTGAGACAGGCTGTCTCTCTGTCACCCAGGCTGGACTGCAGTTGCACTATCTTAGCTCACTGCAACCTCCGCCTCGTGGGCTCAAGCCATCCTCCCACCTCAGCCCCCCAAATATCTGGGACCACAGGCGCACACCACCACGCCCATTGTATTAGTCCGTTTTCACTGTGCTGATAAAGACATACCTGAGACTGGGCAATTTACAAAAGAAAGAGGTTTAATGGACTCAGCTCCACATGGCTGGGGAGGCCTCACAATCATGGCAGAAGGTGAAAGTCATGTCTTACACGGCGGCTGACAAAGAGAAAGCTTGTGCAGGGGAACTCCTCTTTATAAAACCATCAGATTTCGTGAGACTTATCCACTATCACGAGAACAGCACATGATTCAATTATCTCCCACCTGGTCCCTTCCACAACACATGGGAATTGTGGGAGCTACAATTCAAGATGCGATTTGGGTGGGGACACAGACAAACCATATCACCTGTCTAATCTTCTTTTGTATTTTTTAGTAGAGATGGGGTTTTGCCATGTTGCCCAGGCTGGTCTTGAACTCCTGGCCTCAAACAATCCACCTGCCTTGGCCTCCCAAAGTGCTGGGATTGCAGGTGTGAGCCACTGTGTCCAGCTAACACAGAGTTTTTTTTTTCTCATTTGTTTGCTTTAATGCTTTTACAGTTTGTCAATTTTTATCTCAGCTGTAATAACCAACATGTACGTGACATGTTATGGTTTACAAAACTTCACTTGGTCATCTTGTGAGTTAAGCCAAGGAAGGAGTGCCTTGTTATCCCCTCTGAAATTCAGAAAGGTGAAGTGATGCGCTCAGCACCACAGAGCACAGAAAGAGCAGGGCTGGAGCCGGGCACGGGGGCTCATGCCTATAACCCCAGTGCTTTGGGAGGCTGCAGAGGGGTGAATAGCTCAAGTCTAGGCATTTTAGACCAGCCTTGGCAACATAGCAAAATGCCATGTATACAAAAAAGTACAAAAAGTTAGCTGGGCATGATGCTGTGCACCTCTGGTCCTAGCTACCAGAGATCCTGAGGTGGGAGGATCACTTGAGCCCTGGAGGTTGACGCTACAGTGAGCCATGATTGAGCCACTGCACTCCAGCCTGGGCAACAGAGCAAGACCCTGTATCAGAAAAAAAAAAAAAAAAAAAAAGCAGAATTGGGACTCAAATCCAGTCTTCTGGATCTGAACCACTGTCCTAAACACCATCCCTCCTAAGCAACAACTTGTGAACACAGTGGCATTGCTTACTACTTTTTAAACCAATGTCTGAACTCGACGTGTCTAAGCTAAACTCACCTCCTCCTCTCCACCCCTCAACCCACTTCTCTCCTGGCATCCCCATTGCTGCTCAAGGTGCCCCCTTCAAGATGTCCTTAAATTGTTCCCTCCCTTCCCTCTGCTCCACATCCAATCGGTCACCTCTTCCCTCATCTTCCTTTCAGGCTGATCCTCCAGGATGCCCTCACTTTCCTGTCCTATTTTCCTGCTCAGCTCAGCCCCGTCTCACAGCTGGTCTCTCCCAGCCACCCCTGAAAGCTGTCCCCACCTCAGTACCATCTACCTGGGACACCTGTACACCAGCACAGCCGACTCTACCTTCCAACAACATGATTTTCGCCACTATCTTGAATTAAGCGCCTTATGTTAACTAGAATTTAACAGTGTTGTATACATAATCAGCCGTCAAAAATAATTTACTGAATGAAATTTGACGGTGGGTTTCTCAGGAGCAGGGGTCACGCAGTGTGATGTTTACTGGTGGACACCCATGATCCAGCCCCATGCAGATGTCCATACTCGTCAAATGGGTACTGGCTGATCAGATACATCAAAGGATGCCACCTGTCTATTCAAGCCTTCCAGGGCTCCCCTCTTCCTGCTAAGTCAATGCATGGACTGCTGAGCTTCTCTTTCAATTTACTTTATCAAATACCTCTGTATTAGTCAGGGTTCTTGCATTTTGAGAAATTAAAAACCCAATTCTAAAGACCTCAACCACCATAAAGGGAATTTATTGGCTTGCATAACTAAGAAGCGTAAATATCGGGAAGGGGGTCCATTGAGCCAGTGGGTTTGTAGCAGGCTGCCACATCCTAGGGTGTCTGTTCTCATGCTGCTAATAAAGACACCTGAGAATGGGTAATTTATAAAGGAAAGAGGTTTAATGGACTCACAGTTCCACATGGCTGGGGAAGCCTCACAATGATGAAGAAGGCAGAGGAGAAGCTAAGGCATGTTTTACATGGTGGCAGGCAAGAGGGTGTGTGCAGGGGAACTGCCCTTTATAAAACCATCAGATCTCATAAGACATTCATTACCATGAAAACAGTATGGGGAAGCCATCCCCATGATTCGATTATCTCCACCTGGCCCCACCCTTGACACGTGGAGGTTATTACAATTCAAGGTGAGATTTGGGTGGGGACACAGACAAACCATATCTATGCCTGAGGCAAGATCTGGAGCTAGGCAAAGTCAAGTGGGAGGTGAAGAAGCAGAGATGATGGGGAGGAGTGGGAGCAACTGATAGGAGTGTGAGGTCAATCCTTGGGTCCTGATTTTTCTGCAGTCCCCACGTGTTTGTATGAGCAGGGTGGGTCCATTTGTGGCAGCCACAATGGGTCCTGGTGGGTGTTCAGGGCTAAGGCTAGGACTGCTCAATCTGGAATCTGGAGGTGGGCGAAGGGAGGTGTTTGACAGTGCCTTATGGAAGTAGAATTGGTCAGGAACTTCCATCCTGCAAGAGAGCTATTTTCAGGTAACCCCAGCCCTCCACCCAGTGAAAATTATGTCCTTCCTTTTGAGAAGCCAGAGTTCAAGAACATCAGGGCTGCTGCCCTGAATAACTTTCTGTTATGCCTGAAATTGGGAACCTGCACCAGAGAGCTGTTTCCTGTGTCTTTCACTGTTATAACTTTGTCGTTGGTTCCTTCTTATCAACAACATGGGGTTTCTCCAATTTGTAGAGAATGAAGAGAAGTGGTGCAGGGTTGATGCAAACTGGCCTAGCTGCGAGGAAATGTGTGCATCCCCAGGACACAGAGCCAGGCCCTGGGGTTACAAAGCCAACGCAGTGTAAGCACCAAGAAATTAGTAACAACTGTAACCGCTCCAGGCACCTGCCAGTGTGCTGCCTGCGGTTCAATGCTGATGGATTCTCGTTGGTTAGTTGTGTGTTGTGTGTTGTGTACATGTGTATTAGGAACCCATGTATGTGTGTATGTGTAGGGGTGGAGGCACTACCAATATCAATTCAGACCATTTTCACAATAAACCGCCATGTCCTACAGGCCTGCTGGATCCTTGCGTGCCTTTTTTTGCTACTCCACCCAACATTGCAGAGGTGGAAGAGCTTCCTGAAGCCTGGGAGGGTCAGGGGAGGCCCATGGAAGTTGTGTGGCACTCCCCTGGGACTCAGATCCAGCTCATGTTTATTGAGGGCCTGCCCCAGTGACTAATCCTCCCACAACAGTGCTGGGGAGGCATTAGTGACTCAGGAAGGATATGGGACTTGTCCAAGGGCACACAGATTCCAACACGGGAGGTGCTTTTTCCACCACGCGGAGCCCAGACTCTGTGGCCAGACTACCTGGTTTGCACCCCAGCTAGGCACTTGCTAGCTGTGTGGACTTGGGCAAGTTACTTACTATCTCTGTGTCTGGGTTCTTCATCAAGGAATTACTTACTATGTTTAGCACAGAATAAATGCTATGTAAATGAACGCTTATCTTCTTAAGATGATTACATCACATGCTTCTGAAAATGATTTCCTCAGAAAAACAACATACTAGAAGAACACGAAGGCTGTTTTCAAATGGAACCTCAGTAAGATTAATCGTCTTGGGAAAATTGGCCTTCTCTTTCCTGCCTTGGTCAGTACGTCCCTTTCCAGGGGGCCCCTGTCTGGGACAAGGTCCTCATGGAGAAGGTCAGCCGAAGAGCTTCGCAGCTTTGCCCTCGTTGGCCTGAATTAGATGGTCTGATGGCTGCTTGGAAAAATGCACTGCATTTTTTATGTATTTTCCCCATCAAAACACGTCTGTTTCGTTCTCTTTTAAAGGGCGTCCATGAGTCATTTGGCAGGAACAAAGAAGCTTCAGTTTGCAACTTCCGTGGGGATACAGTTTAAACAGTGTGGGCTCACGTGGTTTTTTTTAAAATCTGAAAACATGCCTTAGAGGTGCCTTAAGCACCTGATGGCAGCTGTTCTCTCTTGACAGCTGGATTCCAAATGTAAATATTATTTGTCAGAACGTATCAGAATCATTTGCATGCAGATGTAGACAGCCATCCCACGGGTGTGCCGGGGAGGCGGGTCCAAGGCCCTTTCTGCTTGTTCAGTCTGGTGGAACACAGTGCGGTTTCCTAGACTGGTTCACTGCTGTGTTTCATAAGGAGCTCAAAAGCCAGGCCAGCATCATTTCTCTTCCTGAAGGCAACCCTCCAACTGTCCCACTCAATCCCAAAGTCATCAGCATGAGGCAGGAACCTGAGGCCAGGGGCCTGGGAGGAGAAGAGCAGGGAGTGAAGTCCCACAGGTCCCCTGAGCCCTGACACCTTCTCCCCTCAGCACCCCAAACCCAACCTGTCTGGGAGCAGACTCCCCTCCCTCAACTCCCGGGTGCACCTGTCACCTGTCCACACACAGCCACACACTGGGGGCTGGAACATGGGGTGAAGTGCACAGAGTTGGATTTGGGTACATGCCACTTCCTCTCTAGCAACTGGGGAGGTTACTTCACTTCTCTGCATCAGTTTCAGCTACCTCATAGGGTTGCTGTGAGAATTAGATTAAGTAAAGTGCTGTAAACCAAAAAGAAAACTCTAAATTCTAAGCCCCATAACTCTCTGAATGAGCCCCTCCTGTCAGCCAGGGGCCTTCCAAAGTCAACCTGAAAAACCAGTTCAGGCTGTGACAGGAATGTGGGGCTGGATATGCCTCATTACACCCTCCTCCCTTTTGGAATTACTGATAGAACACACTCTAAGTCTGATAAGAAACATTTACAATCTAGTCCCTCTAAAGCCTGCTCCCTGGAGGCTGCCTCTGCATAATGGGAACTTGGTCTCCACAACCCCTTATCTTAACCCAGACATTCCTTTCTATTGATTCTAGGTCTTTGGACAATAACTTGCCTTTTCGAATTGAACCAGTGTACATCTTACATGTACTGACTGATGCCTATGTCTCCCTAAAATGTATAAAACCAAGTTGTAATCCAGCCACCTTAGGCATGTGTTCTCAGCACCTCTTGAGGGCTGTGTCATGGGCATTGTTCACTGAGATTAGCTCAGAATAAATCTCTTCAAATATTTCACAGAGTTTCACTCTTTTTGTCAACAGCACTAACCCACATAATAAATGCTCATAGTAAATGCTCAGCACGTTACCTGTCATTGTCAATCAGTCAGTAAGTCCCATTGTCGCTTTCCTGAGTTACTACTCGGGACTTTCAACAGAGCTCCTCATTCTCATCCGATTTCAATCCATCCTCAACTTGGTTACAAGAGTTAGCTCCCTACATTCTTTTTTTTTTTTTTTTTTTTTTTTTTTTTGAGATAGAGTCTCGCTCTGTCACCCAGGCTGGAGTACAGTGGCGTGATCTCGGCTCACTGCAACCTCTGCTTCCCGGGTTCAAGCGATTCTCCTGCCTCAGCCTCCTGAGTAGCTGGGATTACAGGCACGTGCCACCGCACCTGGCTAATTTTTGTATTTTTAGTAGAGACGGGGTTTCACCACGTTGGTCAGGCTGGTCTTGAACTCCTGACCTCGTGATCCACCCACCTTGGCCTCCCAAAGTGCTGGGATTACAGGCGTGAGCCACTGCACCCGGCCGGGGTAGCTCCCTGAATTCTTATGTGACTCTGAATCTCCTTAAAACCCTCCATCCATTTCCCATTGCTTCAGGATAAAAACATAAGCATAAGATGAGAAAAAGCAGTGAGAATCCATTAACATTTGCCAGACCACAATAAACTGTGTTTTCTTGAGTTCAGTGATGCGATCTTGGCTCATTGCAACCTCGACCACCTGGTCTCAAGTGATCCTCCCACCTCAGCCTCCTGAGTAGCAGGGACTACAGGCAAGCGCCACAATGCCCAGCTAATTTTTGTATTTTTTGTAGAGACGGGAGTCTCCCTATGTTGCCCAGGCTGGTCTTGAACCCCTGGGCTCAAGTATCCTCCCTCCTTGGCCTTCCATAGAACTGGGATTCCAGGCATGAACCACCATGCCCAGCCCTTCTTATTTTTGTGTAGCAGAAATATAATGTAGTGAAGAGAGCATAAGTTTTGGAGCCCAACAGATGAACGTTGGAATCCCTCCCCTGCCACTTACTGTCTATGTGATTTGGGCAAAATACTTAAGATCCCTGAGCCTCAATTTGATTTTCTGAGGCCAGGCATGGGAGTTCGCACCTGTAATCCCAGCACTTTGGGAGGCTGAGGTGGGCGGATTGCTTGAGCTCAGGAGTTTGAGACCAGGCTGGACAATATGGCAAAACCCCATTTCTACCAAAAATACAAAAAATTAGTCAGACATGGTGGTGCACATCTGTGGTCCCAGCTACTCAGAAGGCGGAGGCAGGAGGATCACTTGAGCCTGGGAGGCAGAGGTTACAGTGAGCCGAGATTGCACTACTGCACTCCAGCCTGGGTGACAGAGCAAGACCCCATCTCAAAAAACAAAACAATTTGCTTTTCTGTAAAATGGATCAAGGATTTAACTTGGCAACTCTGATGTTTAGATGAGACAATATATGTACAGTGCATCAAATGATATTAACTAATTCTTTCTCCTCTGGTACTGACAGAATGACCACCTCCTTTCCTTTATCAAACTTAGTATATCTGCTGCTCAGGCCAAAAGCTTCTCACGGCCTGCTCCTACTGACAGAGCTGCATGCCTACTGAACCTGTTTATACCAGTAGTGCTGGTTATTTTAATTACACAGCTTAATGATACATATGTGACCAATGAAATAGAGTTATCTTGAAACAACAACTTTATTTTAGATAAAAGACTTACTAAGGGTGAATTAGTATTTGCAAAACTCTAAGCAGACGTGGAAATTCTAATCAGGTACAACAACTCAAAATATGGGTGAATGAATGTATATTTTAAATTAAAATAATATGTTTAAGACTAGGCAAAAAATTGTTTATGATTATCTACCCCCACATGGCAGACTGAACACCCACTGGTCTTGACCCCATTATAAATGCACCCAGCATCACATTTGAAGTTTTGTGTTTGTGTCTGAAGATCCTTACCACAAGCTAGGATTAGGTTGAATTGCATATACCCAAAAACTTAGGTAAGATTAGCTTAAGTAATGCAATTATATTTCTCTTTCTCATAAAGGAAGTCTAGACGTGCGTGACTCCCTGGTGTCATCAAGGAGCCAGACTCTTATTTTTTTGCATCCTTAGCACGTGGCTCATTTTCTCCAGGCTTCTTCTTGGGTCCAAGGTGGCTGCAAGAATTCCAGTCGTTACATCCTTGTTTCAAGCAACAGGAAGAAGGAAGGCAGTAGAAGGGAAAATCATTCCCCTACCTTTATAAAGATGTGAACTTCAATCTCTTCTTTCTGTTGGCAATATGGCCAACTAAAAATCCAAGTTCTCTGGGCCAGACATGGTTGCTAACACCTGTAATCCCAGCACTTTGGGAGGCCAGAGAGAGTGGGTCGCTTGAGGCCAGGAGTTTGAGGCTAGCCTGGCCAACATGATGAAACCCCGTCTCTACTAAAAATACAAAAACTAGCCGGGTGTGGTGGCAGGCACCTATAATCCCAGCTGCTCAGGAGGCAGAGGCAGGAGAATTGCTGGAAACTGGAAGGCGGAAGTTGCAGGGAGCTGAGATCATGCCACTGCACTCCAGCCTGGGCAACAGAGAAAGACTCTGTCTCAATAATAATAATAATAATAATAATAATAATAATAATAATAATAATAATCCAGGTTATCTTAATTAGGAGAAAGCAGAAAATGGATATGAAGGCAGGCAATTAGCAGTCTCTGCCACATAGCTTTATCCCCACTTTGCAGGGAGGAAACTGAAGCTCAGAGAGGAAGTGTCACACAGCTGGTAAGTGGCAGCGCTGAAGTTCACATGCAGATCAGCTGAAATGCCTGAGAGTCAGAAACATTCTGCTGGTGTCGAGTGTCCACTAAGGCAGCACTTAAGCACCAGTCTGAGTCACACATCCCTTAGAAATCTGTATGCTTAAGGCACTAAATTCTGCCCACTTCAGAGCTCATATAAGAGCCCTGAGATGGCTGGAGGTCATATTTGTCCGTGCCAGGTTTTTAATTGGTTTCCATTTTTGAAAAATGGTCACAGCTGCTTTAGCCACGACTGTGCCATGGTTCTTCAAAGCAGTTTCTTGTTCCATGAAGACAGAATTGTCAGAGGAAAGAGTCTTGAAGTTTGAGTTGGAACATTATTAATCCATGAGATCACCTTGCTGGATGTAAATCAGTGGTTCCCAGCTGTGGGGGATTTGGAGTGTCACAACTGGGAGAGAGTGCCCTAGAATCTAGCGGGAGGGGCCGAGGATGTGGTTACATGTCATACGATGCACAGGACAGGCCCCATGTTTGTAATGTCGAGGTAGAGAGGACCGTTTGAACTAATTGAGCTTAAGTAACGTGGCATCTGCTCTTTTTATTTTTTATTTTTGAGACAGAGTCTCACTCTGTCTCCTCCCAGGCCGTAGTGCAGTGGCATGATCTCGGCTCACTGTAACCTCCGCCTCCTGGCTTCAAGTGATTCTTCTGCCTCGGCTTTTAGAGTAGCCAGGATTACAGGTGCACGCCACCATGCCCAGTTAATTTTTGTAGTTTTAGTAGAGACAGGGTTTCACCATGTTGGCCAGGCTGGTCTCAAACTCCTGACTTCAAGTGATCCTCCTTCCTCCACCTCCCAAAGTGCTGGGATTACAGGCGTGAGCCACCATGCCTGGCCACATCTGCTCTTTTATATAGACGTACCAATAAGAATCTTGGGGCCTGGGTCTTCTCCTTTCTCTTAATGTTTCTGCCTTTGGCTACGGGAGAAAGTGGTCCTGCACAACGCTAAGTACTGAATGTATGTTCTGTTGATGGCCATGATCGGTAATCACACTAACAATGATACCGGTTCACATCAATCACCAAGTCCTTCTTGAGCAGCTTCAATCCACTGAACGGGAACTTAGTGATCAGCCAAGTCAGGATGGCAAATCCATGGCATCTCGGGCGACCTGGCCTGCCAGCCCCAAGTGTGGAAAACCTTCGACTTAATCAGAGCATTTTTGTAGAGCCCAAAGGCAGCCTCAGAATTCTTCTAAACCCAGCAAGCAATCCAGGGAACACCCACCCAGGATCATCGATGGCATGAAATGTGGGACCGATGTGCCTTCCCTCTTTCGGTTCACCCCATCGATGGCTTGCTAAAAACAGTGCCAAGCTAAAACTAGAACCAAGGTTTTTTAACTTTCAGTCCACTGCCCTTGTCACTGCCCCAGGGTTAGGGTCTGTAAGTCATTTAACATCTGTTAGGGTTGAATCATGTCCCTCAGAAAAATCTATGTTGGAGTCCTAAGCTCCAGACCCTGACAATGTGACCTTATTCAGAAAGGGTCCTTAAAGAGGTAATCGAGTTAAAATGAGATCATTAGGGTGGATTCTCATCCAATACAACTGGCGTCCTTATAAAAAGGGGAGCTTTGGACACAGAGACGGGCATGTCCAGAGGGAAGACAGGAGAGAAGCCCAGGTTCTCTCTGAGATTCTCTCAGAACCCTCAGAAGGACCCAACCCTATTGACACCTTGATCTTGGACTTCTAGCATGCAGGCTTGGGAGACAATACATTTTTACAGTTTAAGCCACCCAGTTTTTGGTACTTTTTTACAGGAGCCCTGGCAAACTAATACAACATTAATCAATGGAGCAGTCTTCCTTAACAAAAACTATTGTTATTCTAGATATGTTGATTTTCATTGCCGTGAGCTTCTCTGATTTTTTCAATATTGTTTTTTGTTTATCCAGGGTTTTGTTTGATATTTATTTACATTTTTTTCTTTCTTTCTTTTTTCTTTCTTTCTTTTTTTTTTTTTTGAGATGGAGTCTTGCTCTGTTGCAAGGCTGGAGTGCAGTGGCGGATCTTGGCTCACTGCAACCTCTGCCTCCTGGGTTCAAGCAATTCTCTGCCTCAGCTTCCCGAGTAGCTGGGATTACAGGCGCCTGCAACCACGCCTGGATAATTTTTTTGTATTTTTAGTAGAGACGGGGTTTCACCGTCTTGGCCAGGCTAGTCTTGAACTCCTGACCTCGTAATCCACCCGTCTCGACCTCCAAAGTGCTGGGATTACAGGTGTAAGCCACCGTGCCCGGCCTTCTTTTCTTTTCTTTTTGAGACAGAGTCTTGCTCTGTCACCTAGACTGGAGTGCAATGGCGGGACCTCAGTTCACTGAAACCTCCACCTTCCAGGTTCAAGCAATTCTCCTCACTCAGCCTCCCAAGTAGCTGGGAATACAGGTGCCTGCCACCATGCCCAGTTAATTTTTTGTATTTTTAGCAGAGACGGAGTTTTACCATGTTGCCCAGGCTGGTCTCGAACTCCTGACCTCAGGTGATCCTCCTGACTCGGCCTTCCAAAGTGCTGGGATTACAGGTGTGAGCCACCGTGCCTGGCCTTATTTACATTCTTTACTAGGTATTAGTATAGAGCAATTTTTATTATCTTAACAGCTAGCACCAGAATTTCTTTTGCTCGAGTGAATTGTGTTTGGGAAAATATTTTGATAAACCTTCCCATCTCCCCATCCCCGAGCAACCACTGGTCTGCTTTCTGTCACTATAGACCAGTTTGCATTTTCTGAAATTCTACATAAATGGGATTATATGGTAGGTACTCTTTTCTGATCTGGCTTTTACATTTGGCATAATTATTCTGAAATTCATCCGTGTTGTTGTGTGTTATCTATAGTTCATTCCTTTTTACTGTTGAATAGTTTTCCTTTGCATGGGTTCGTCACAATTTGTTTATCTATTCATCTATTGGTGGACCTTTGGGTGGTTCCAGAGTTTCACTATTACAAATAAAGCTGCTGTGAACATTATTGGAGAGGCCTTTGTATGGACATATGCTTCCATTCTCTTGGTAAATACTTAGGAGGAGAATGGTTGGATCATCTTTTCTTGTGCTTATCTGCTGTCTATATGTCTTCTTTGGTGAAGTGTCTAAGTCTTTTGCCCTTTTAAAAATTTGGGTTATCATTTTCTTATGATTGAGTTTTGAGAGTTTGTGTATATATTCAAGATACCAGTCCTTCATCAGATATTTAATTTGCAAGTATTTTCTCCTAGTCCATGGATTACCTTTTCATCTCTTAATAGTGTGTTGCTAAGAACAGTAGTATTTTGATAAAGTACAATTTATCAACATGTTCTTTTATGGATTGTGCCTGTCATGTGTATTGACGAAATCTTTGCCTAATCAAAGGTCATGATGACTTTCTTCTGTCTTCTTCTATACATTTTACAGTATTAGGTTGTATACCTTAGTTTATGATTGAGGCCATTTTGGGGCCAGGTGTGATGGCTCACATCTGTAATCCCACCACTTTGAGAGGCCGGGGCAGGCGGGTCGCTTGAGGCCAGGAGTTCAAGACCAGACTAGGCAACATAGTGAGAAGCCCCCATCTCCATAAACAAACAAACAAACAAACAAAAACCAAAAACATAATCCATTTTGGGTTAATTTTTGTTTACGGTGTGAGATATGAACTGAAGTTTATTATTTTGCCTATTAATATCCAGTTGTACCAGCACCATTTTTTGAAATGACAACTGAATTTTGCCTATAGGAAAAAATATTTGACAAGTATGCCTGGATCTATTTCTGGACTCTTTATTTTGTTTCACGGATCTGTCTTGATGTCAGTACCACAGTCTTGATAACTGTAACTTTATAATAAGTCAAATATTTGCAAGTCCTACTTTGTTCTTTTTCAAAGTTGTTTTTGCTATTCTAGGTTCTTTGCATTTCCATATGAATTCTTGAATCAACTTGTTAATTTCTACAAAAAGACACTGATCTCAAGAGACTCCTGATGCCCAGGTGCCCCTTCAGGGTGGAGGCATTCATTCCCAGCTGCTGGGGTAACCGCCTAACAGGTTCACCTTGTGCGCTGCCTAGACAGAGTTGATTTATCAAGACGGGGGAACTGCAATGGAGAAAGAGTAATTCACGCAGAGCCAGCTGTGCAGAGGACTGGAGTTTTATTATTACTCAAATAAGTCTCCTCAAGAATTTGGGGATCAGAGTTTTTAAGGATAATTTGGTGGGTAGGGGCTCGGAAAGTGGGGAGTGCTTATTGGTTGGGTTGGAGATGGAATCACAGGGGGTCGAAGTGAATTTTTCTTGCTGTCTTCACTTCCTGAGTAGGATCGCAGAACTGGTTGAGCCAGATTACTGGTCTGGGTGGTGTCAGCTGGTGCATCAAGTGCAGGGTCTGAAAAATATCTCAAGAACTGATCTTAGGTTTTACAACAGTGATGTCATTCCCAGGAGCAATTTGGGGAAGTTCAGACTCTTGCGGCTAGAGGCTGCATGGACCTTAAGCTGTAATTTATAATCTTGTATCCAATTTGTTAGTCCTACAAAGGCAGACTGGTCCCCCAGGCAAGAAGGGGGAAAGGGCTATTATCAATTTTGGGAAAGGGCTAGTATCAATTTTGTTTCAGAGTTAAAGTAGAAACTAAATTCCTTCCCAAGGTTAGTTCTGCCTACGCCCAGGAATAAACAAAGGCAGCTTAAAGGTTAGAAGCAAGGTGGAGCCAATTAGGTCTCACCTCTTTCACTGTTATAATTTCCTCATTTATAATTTTTGCAAAGGCGGTTTCATTGAGGGCAGTAGAGGCTGGCTGCACTCAGCTGAATCCTTCAGATATCGCCCTCAAAGAAGTCCTTCTCGCCCAAGGATATGCCCCTTTTTGGGGCAGCACATGTCCCATTATTGGTGAATGAAAGGGGTACATACTCTTGGTCCTCTTTTCTCAGAGGTCAGACGTTGTCAAAGGGCCATCCCGATTCTAGGGCTCTCTGTGGAGACCTGGGATTGGCTGAAATCTCTCTGTGACTCCATCCTACATCACAGCAGAACTCCTCTGCCCAGCCCTGCTTCCTTCGCTACCTTACAAGGCGATGGTCCCTGGGGTACTCGCTACTAACCCTCGTCCATGAGAATGTTTGTATGTTATGTCTGTATGGATATGATGAATGCCTTATGTGTGTATATAAGTATCTACACAAGGTATACATAGGTACAATGTATTCCATACAACGGATGCTGCATGTATGTATGTATGTATTGCACACAGTGTATACACACATATCATGCATTACATATGAGGAATGCTGTAAGTCATTAGGGCTTAATTCACTGACATCCTGGTTGAGAAGCACTGCCTTGGGTGTGTGCACCCACTTTTCTGGTCTAGAAAGTCTATCTGAGGACTGTCCAGGAACTCATGCCCAGCCCTCTGACTCAGATCTGCTGCCCTTGGGGCTCATCCTTGGGTGCTCCATAGCTCCTCTGTACTGCACTTTTCCTCGGCGGTTCCTTCTGTCAGAGGCGTTTGAACTAGAGCGACTCCATCTTGTATAAGGGCTGGGTAAAATAAGGCTGAGACCTACTGGGCTGCATTCCCAGGAGGTTAAGCATTCTAAGTCACAGGATGAGACAGGAGGTCAGCACAAGGTACAGGTCACAAGGACCTTGTTGATAAAACAGGTTGTGGTAAAGAAGCCGGTCAAAACCCACTAAAACCCACCCAAACCGAGATTGTGATGAAAGTGACCTCTGGTTGTTCTCACTGGTCATTATACGCTAATTATAATGATTAGCATGCTAAGAGACACTCCCACCAACACCACCACAGTTTACAAAAGCCGTGGCAATATGAGGAAGTTACCCTATATGGTCTAAAAGGGGGAGGAACCCTCAGTTCCGGGAATTGCCCATCCTTTTCCTGGAAAACTCATGAATAATCCACCCCTTGTTTAGCATATAATCAAGAAATAATCATAAAAAATAGGCAACCATCAGCCCTCAGGGGCTGCTCTGCCTATGGAGTAGCCATTCTTTTGTTCCTTTACTTTCTTAATAAACTTGCTTTGACTTTATGGATTTGCCTAGAATTCTTTCTTGCACGAGAATCCAAGAACTCTCCCTTGGGGTCTGGATGGGGACCCCTTTCCAGTAACATCTCCTCAAATGCTCTTCTGCCCCTTGCGCTCCTCCCGCCTCCTCCCCAGCTGCTGCCTTAGGCACCTGGCCTGCAGCATCAAGACTGTCCTTCCAGGGCTCCTCAGCCACTCATTCTTCTCACTGACTGCAGGGGGGACTGTTTCTCTAACCCCAGGAGACCTTGCTGAGTTGGCAGAAAGGGACTGGCTCCTGACAGCATCAGCAAGAGAACTTCCCTCTGGAAACAAAACACACCCATTTCCATGGTGTGTCCTGTTTTTTCTATTCTGAAGAGGCAGCGCCAAACCCTATGGAGAACAGCGAAATGCATTCTTTGAACTTCTGCTTTTAAGCATTTAATGCCCACCACAAGTGGGTTTCACCATCACTTAAGGAGAAGATTAAAGAAAGTACTTCAACAACTAACTTATGGCCTAGATGCAAATAACTTGTTTGTTGAGCAGGAATTTCTGGTGGTCTGGGCTGGCCAAACTCCTGATTTCTATCCAGATGCTTAGATCATGGTCTTGGGGTGTCGAGTATCTTGACATTCCTAGACAAAAATCAGCTCAAGAAAAATGTCTTAAGGTAAAGAGAATGCTCAGAATTTCCACCTCTCTGGCTATCTCATGGGAAAATAAATAGCCTAGATTAAATATGAAAAGCATATTTCCTTCAGTGTCATAAGAGTCATCAGAGTGATCTCTTTAGATTTTTCAAATGTTGGTCAACTCATGGGGAACTATGTAAAGTGTTGCATGTGCTGGTATTTTGGAAGTCAAAGTTGACAGCACAATCCAGAGAATGCGGTCCTTCCAGTGACTTTGCGGCTAATGATGTGCTGAGTGACACAGGCTGGAAGGCACTGACCTGCTGTTGCGCTGAATATTGACAGAGGGTCAGTGGACAGAGCTGAAAGCACAGCGCTGGGATGAATGGCTCCTGCTCTGCAAACAGACACTGTTGATAAAAGGGAGGCAGAACCGCAAGTGGCTGACAGCTTTCATTAAACCCTAGAGCTGGAAGCAGACTGAAAGGTGACTGTGTCCTCAGGGCACTGGTGTTTAGTGACTTTCCCAAAGTCTGGCCAGAGACTTTTCACTTTATGGATTTGCCTTGAATTCTTTCTTGCACAACATCCAAGAACGCTCTCTTGGGGTCTGGATGGGGACCCCTTTCAGGTAACACCTCCTCACCTGCTTTTTTGCCTCTTGCGCTCCTCCCTGCCTGCCCCTCAGCTGCTGCCCTAGGCTTTGCAGCAGAGCCACGGTGAGAACTGGACCTGCTGCCTCGCCCTGGGCACCCAGCTCTGGATGTTGATTGGCTCCTTAGTTATCAACAGCCAGCTGTGCCCAGGCAGGCTATACAAGGTCACAAAGGTTAAATAGGCCATGGAGGAAGCACGGCAGAGGCTCGGGTCCTTTTCCTGACTAACTGTCCCACGTCCTTGATTCGTGGCCCCTGGGAAGTCAGTCACCAGGCAGAGGGATGCTCTAGCTGACATTAAGATGAATGGATTGACCACTAACTCATCGTGTGGCTTCGGGCAAATCACATCACCTCTCCAAGTCTCAGGTTCTTTATCTGTAAATGAAAACACTGGTTGAAGATGTTGCTCCAGACATCCAACCCTTGCTTTCACAAGGAATGCAGTTTTCCTTATAGCTGTGCCGTTGACCTTCCTCCACATGCAAACCGAGAAGGGTGTGTGTGACAACCCATGTCCTAGCCCTGTTTTCCGAAGCTTCGGGTGTCACACATTGTGGAATTCTCAGGGCAAAAGGCACTTGTCTTTTGTTTTTCTGTGCTATGCAGTGTCTTTAGCATGGAGAGGAGTCTCTTCACTAGATAGTGGGCGAGGGCTACCTGTCTTCTGTGTTCTATCATCCCCGACTTCCCCACCTTGCCCTGCCCCATTTGAATCTTAAAATGCCGTAAGTGCAGCTGACCCGAGGGCCAGGGGAGAAATAGCTACACGAGCCCAAACCAGAAGCAGCTGGGATCTGTCTGCTGGGCTGTGATTCATGCCAGCAGTGTAGGATGGGGACTCAGGAGAGCTGGGTTCTAGTTTGTTTCTGTTGCTTCCTCATCTGAGCAAGGCTCTCCGCCCAGCTGAGCTTCATTCTCCCTCTGAAACCTCAGAAGAATCAGCTCTCTGGATGCCCAGGTCTTGGGCCTCCTGTCCCTCAGATCCCTTTGCGGCTCTTCCCTCTCTTCCGGGTCACAGAGTGGGCCTGAGGCCTGCAGGCGGGGTACCCAGGCTCAGCATTCCCTGGCTTCTGGAGGCTCTTGGCCAGTGGGAAGCTCTGGGAGGAGACAGAAGGAGTAAGAAGGTGGAAGCCCGGCTACTTCTCCCTCGGCTCTGCCTCCAACTGCAGCTGGGCAGGCCTGCCATGGCCCCAGTATCTACCACATGACCCCAGCCCTGGGCTCAGCTGATGTCACCTCTCACCTAGGGTGACAGTGGCTTCCTGCTGTTGCCTCACTGTCTGCCTGCCAGCTCAGCTCCTCCATCTTCTATTCCTGGTGGAGCCTGGACAACCACAAGACCCACACTCCCAGAGTCAGTGCTCTGTGTCTTCTAGAATCTTCTGTTCCCCACATTTTCTCATTTGAAAGTGAAAGTTTTGTGCTTGGTGATCTTCAGTCTGTTTCCAAACACGCGAGCTCTGCACCTGTAACAAGTCCTTTAGGCCCATGCAGTGGGGGTTAAATTCACCATTTAGTCCAGTGATTCCCAAACTTGCCTGAAGAGCTCATTAACAATGCAGGAATACAGGCTCCAAACCCTCGGACTACAAAGCAGTCTCTGGGGTAAGGCCCAAGAATCTGACATTTATCAAGCATCTCAGGAGATTCTAGTGCAGGCATTCTGCTGCCCATTCTTTTTTTTTTTTTTTTTTTTTGAGATGGAATTTCACTCTGTCCTACAGGCTGGAGTGCAGTGGTGCCATCTTGGCTCGCTGCAACCTCTGCCTCCCAGGCTCAAGTGAGTCTTCTGCCTCAGCCTCCTAGGTAGCTGGGACTACAGGCGTGCGCCACCACCATGCCCAGCTAATTCTTGTATTTTTAGTAGAGACAGGGTTTCACTATATTGTCCAGGCTGGTCTCGAACTCCTGACCTCGTGATCTGCCTGCCTCGGCCTCCCAAAGTGCTGGGATTACAGGCGTGAGCCACTGTGCCCGGACTTGCTGCCCATTCTTATGGTGCCTGTGGCTCCGGTTTATTGAATAAACCTCAGAGACTGCAGAAAGAGCCAGGTGCTGCTCCTCGGTCATGCCCTGTGGCTGGATGGCACTGTGAAGTGTCAGCCACATTTTTTTTCTTAACCTTCCTCTGACTCTTGCACCCAGCAGGTGCTTTGAAGCAAACAGAATCCAAATCTGGCTGATGGGAGCAGAACAAGACTTCTTTGTAGGCAATGGGATGACTCACAGAATCTCCAGAAGGGCTGGTGCGCCAGGCCCAGACAGTACACAGCCGGAGCCATATCCCAACTGCAAAACAGCAACAGTCCTCCAGGACACTCAACCCCTGGTTCTGGCCACAGGCCGCTGGCTACACCAGGATGCCACCATTAGGGTAGAGATTTGATCCCATAGTTAGCTGTTGCCACTGCCAGAGAGCTCTTTGCTCATTTCATTATGAATTTCCAATTCAAGATCAAGGCTACATGTAATGCACTGGCCTCAAGCGAGGCTGGGGAAGTGAGTATCTGGCATTTTTAGCTTCTAGAAGCAGAAGAGGGCTTTTCTCACATGAAGACCCATAGGCGGGAAATTCTGTAAATATAGGAAGGGGGTTCAGCCGCAAGAACAAAAAGAAAGACAATTGTCTGCTGCGTGAACCTTGCTTCACATCCCTCCCCCCGACTGCCTGGTTCACCTTCTGGAGAGAAGGCTTCCGTGGCTCCAAGAGGAAGTTGTTATAGCAGAACCCGAGAACAGGGGATGAAATTCTTGGTTTTAAAACTGTGAATTTTTTTGGCTCTGGACCCATGTTAGAATCTTCTGGGAGACTTTTTTTTTTTTTTTTTTTTTTTGAGACAGAGTCTCACTCTGTCACCCAGGCTGGAGTGCAGTGGCGTGATCTCGGCTCACTGCAAACTCCACCCCCCAGGTTCAAGCAATTCTCCTACCTCAGTCTCCTGAGTAGCTGGGATTACAGGCGCCCGCCACCACACCTGGCTAATTTTTGTATTTTTAGTAGACTCAGGGTTTCACCATCTTGGTCAGGCTGGTCTTGAACTCCTGACCTCATGATCCACCCTCCTCAGCCTCTCAAAGTGCTGGGATTACAGGCGTGAGCCACCGCGCCCAGCCTCTCCTGGGAGATTTAAAAAAATATCCATCCCTGGCCAGACGTGGTGGCTCATGCCTGTAAACCCAGCACTTTGGGAGGCCGAGGCGGACGGATCACAAGGTCAGGAGATCAAGACCATCCTGGCTAACACGGTGAAACCCTGTCTCTACTAAAAAAAACACAAAAAATTAGCCAGGCGTGGTGGCGGGCGCCTGTAGTCCCAGCTACTCGGGAGGCTGAGGCAGGAGCACGGTGTGAACCCGGGAGGCGGAGCTTGCAGTGAGCGGAGATGCACCGCTGCACTCCAGCCTGGGCAACAGAGCGAGACTCTGTCTCTAAATAAATAAATAAATAAATAAATAAATATAAAAAATAAAAAATAAAGAATACCCATCCTTGGCCTAGCACAAACCAATTGAATCAGAATCTCTGGAGCTGGGGCCTGGATGCCAGTATGTTTTGTTTTGTTTTGTTCTAATCTCCCCAAGTGATACTGACATGCGTCAGGGCTAGGAGTCACTGCTGTAAAGTCTGAGAAGCTATGAGCAAGGTGTAAGACAGGGCGGGAGGGTTTAGAATCACATGTGATTAGGCAGAAGTGCTTCCCCCACCCTCCTGGCACACTGGAGAGGGGTCCTGAGCTGGTGGAGAGGGGAGACCCAAGAAGGGGGAACAGGAGGGGGCATGGGGTGGGCCTGACTCTGCCCTCCTCAGGCTGGGCCCCAGGGCTGGGTAGGGGTTGCAGGAAACTTCAGATAAGCTAATGATTGAGGGCAGAGGGTTCTGCTTGGAGCTGCCTGGTCGCCTTCCAGTGCTGCCCCTGCCCCGGGGCACTGGGAGCAGCCAAAGGCTTTTCCTCTTGTGACTGAGCCAGGCTCAGTCTGGATGCCAAAATAAGCCATACCTGAGGCTCCTATGGCCTGGAACGAGGAATGTGGTAGGGACCTCAGGACTGGTGGCCTGATGGGTGGGGCCACAGGAGGTGGCAGATTCTGGAGCCAGAATGCAAGAGCTTGAATCCAGAACCCACCACTTATAGGTCTGTGACTCGGGCAAATTACATAACCTCTCTGTGCCTCATTCTCCTCATCTGTGAAATGGGACTAATACTGTCCCCACCCCGATAAGGTTGTTTTGAGGGTTACCTGGATGGGTATCTGAAGCACCAAGCACCATGTTCAGGAGATACACCGTTAGCTCTGTATGGGAGCATCCTACAGAAATACACACATGGGCATGCAGACGTCTTTACGGATGCCAGCCCAGGGGGAACCAGATGCAACCCCCATGCCCTAATGCCAAAAATGCCCCAGGGAGAAGAGCTGCAACTCTAGGGAGAAAGTGGGGAGCAGAAACACATACATTGTCTAATTTTATCATGAGTCAACTGAGAAACTTTTGAATTGGCAAGATTTTATTTTCTGTGACTAAGAGGAATGGGAGCTAAAGATAGAAACTAAGTCTAGCTCCAAAAAACTAAAGAAAGAACCATTTTGCATACCTGAGTATAGGGCTTAAAAAAATGCCTATTTTTGTATATTTTATAGCTCTGGAGCTATAAACTTCCAGGAGACTTTCTTGGGTCATCACAAACACAACACGTCATTGGTGTCTTAGTGCATTTTCTGTTGCTATTAGGTTGGTGCTTTTTATGCCATTAAAAAAAAAAGTATGGCAAAAACAGGCTGGGCGCGGTGGCTAATGCCTTTAATCCCAGCACTTTCAGAGGCCGAGGCGGGTGGATCACTTGAGGCCAGGAGTTTGAGACCCTCTGGCCAACATGGTGAAACCCTGTCTCTATGAAAAATACAAAAATGAGCTGGGCGTGGTGGTGGATGCCTGTAGTCCCAGCTACTCAGAAGGCTGAGGCAGGTGAATCGCTCGAACCCCGGAGGTGGACGTTGTAGTGAGCTGAGATCATGCCATTGCACTCCAGCTTGGGCAAGACAGAACGAGACTCCCTCTCAAAAAAGAAAAAAAGAAAAAAAAGTATGACAAAAACTGCAATTACTTTTGCACCAACCTAATATAACTGAAGACCTGAGACTGGGTAATTTGTAAAGAAAAGGAACGTATTTCTTTTCTTTTCTTTTTTTTTTTTTTGAGATGGAATCTCGCTCTGTCACCCAGGCTGGAGTGCAGTGGCGTGATCTCGGCTCACTGCAAGCTCTGCCTCCTGGGTTCATGCCATTCTCCTACCTCAGCCTCCCAAGTAGCTGGGACTACAGGCGCCCACTACCATGCCCGGCTAATTTTTTGTAATTTTAGTAGAGACGGGGTTTCACCGTGTTAGCCAGGATGGTCTTGATCTCCTAACTTTGTGATCCACCCGCCTCGGCCTCCCAAAGTACTGAGATTACAGGTGTGAGCCACGGCCCCCGGCCGAATGTATTTCTTATAGTTATGGAGGCTGGGAAGTCAGAGGTTGAGGGGCCACATCTGGTGAGGTCCAAGTTCAACGTGAGTTTCGGAGGGGACAAACATTCAAACCACAGCATTCTGGTGTAGGAAAATATTGAAGTTTGTTCACTGCCATGTTCTCTTAATAAAGCAAAATCTTATATGTGACTAAAATATCCAACCACAAGATAATGTCTAAAAAAATTCTAGTTTATGAATATGCAGCCTGTTAAAAATGATCATTTTAAAGAGTATATATAAACCTCGAAGTATTTTATGGTATACATTTTTTTTTTTTTTTTTGAGACAGAGTTTCACTCTTGTTGCCCAGGCTGGAGTGCAGTGGCACGATCTCAGCTCATTGCAGCATGTGCCTCCTGGGTTCAAGCGATTCTCCTGCCTCAGCCTCCCAAATAGCTGAGATTACAGGCGCTCACCACCACACTCAGCTAATTTTTATATTTCAGTATTTTTATATTTCACCATGTTGGTCTGGCTGGTCTCAAACTCCTGACCTCAGGTGATCCATCCACCTCGGCCTCCTAAAGTGCTGGGATTATAGGTGTGAGCCACCGCACCCAGCCAAGTATACAATTTTAGAAACAGACTGCAAAAATGTAAGTATGATGTGATGGGAACCACATGGTTGGCAAAGAATGGAAGACATACGAAGGGGAATATAGTTTTTGTATTAGGACAGTGAGGTTACGACTATTGCCTCAACATGTTAATGTATGTTGTTTTTGAAAGAAACAAGTCCTTCAGGCTCTGGTCCTATCTGCATTAAAACACATCATATGGACTGCGGTGGGACATTCTTGACATTTGAAGTCCCTCGTAGGAGGACTCCGATGGGGGCTGCGGCCAACTGTCCTCAGCAGCCTGGACAGTGACTCTGCAGGACCCTAGGGTGGTTGCCACCCCTTCTCTGCAGTGCCTGGGGCAAAGATGCTCTACCAGAAGCTACTACTGCCAGCACAGAATAAACATGCCATCCCCAATCAGTGGAGAAGTTTGGACTGTTTTATAAGGATGTCAGGGAAATTAGCAGGGGAAATGAGCTATCCATGTAGAAAAGATAAAATCTGATTTTGGTCTTATGTTGGGTTTCTCACACATGGATCCTGAGCTGAGGATTTGTGAGCAGGTGAGTATACATATATTTTTTTGTTTGTTTGTTTGTTTTTGTTTTTTTTGAGACGAAGTCTCGCTCTGCTGCCCAGGCTGGAGTGCAGTGGCATGATCTTGGCTCACTGCAACATCCACTTCCTGGGTTCGAGATTCTCCTGCCTCAGCCTCCCAAGTAGCTGGGACTACAGGTGCCCGCCACTACGCCCAGCTAATTTTTTGTATTTTTAGTAGAGACGGGGTTTCACCACGTTGGCCAGGCTGGTCTGGAACTCCTGACCTCGTGATCCACCCGCCTCGGACTCCCAAAGTGCTAGGATTACAGGCGTGAGCAACCATGCCCGGCCGAGCAGGTGAATTTTTAAGAAGTGCTCCCAGTGAAAGTCAGCAGGGGAGTAGGGAAGTGAGGCTGGGAAGGGACAAGGCCAGGCAAGGATGTAGAATCAGCGAAGTCCTGTGGAGGGCAGCTGTGGCTCAGTCCTCAGGGCAGCCTAGGGGCAGCATAAATCCCATCCAAGTTTGTTACAAGCAGAGATCAGGGTGTAAGTTACTTATCCCCTGCACAGGTTGTTTGTAAGGCTTTCCCTGGGGGACATAAACTCAGCTCTTCCAGGTCTCAGCATGTTGGCACAGTGACAGCCTCTGTCACAGTCTCTGCCTTGCATCATAAACAAAAAATAGATTTTAAATAAATGAGGGGTTTAAATGTGAAAAGTAACTATAAAATCATAAGATGAAATATTTTAAAAAATTTTGTGTGGGGAAAGTTTTTAAAAGAATAAATCATTAAGAAAAGAATCTAGTAAAAAATGAAAAAATAACATAATAAGCATAATAGAATATGAAAAAGACATACGCAACATTAAAATGACCAATAGTATTGTTAAAAACTGCTCCTCTCCACCAGTAAAAATGCAAATTACAATAATAATGAGAGACTATTTTTAAACCTATAATATTGGAAAAAAATTTTTTTAGTGAATTATATTAACTATTGGAGAGTTTATAGGGAAATGATCATTCTTATGCAGTCTTGTGGGAGTGTATATTGGTACAAAGTTTTTGGAAGGCAATTTTGCAATATCTATCAAAATTTCAAATGTGTATGTCTTTTGCATAGCAATTGTACTTTTATGAATGAGTAATAAAAATACATGCGTAAGTGAGCAAAAAATCTATCTAATATGTGTACATATGCACTGATATTATAAAGTGTAATATAGAATATACAAAAGCTTATGTATACTAATGTATATGTGTATACTAATATTAATAGATATATATATTTTTGAGACAGAGTCTGACTCTGTCGCCCAGGCTGAAGTGCAGTGGTGGGATCTTAGCTCATTGTAGCATCTACCTCCCAAGTTCAAGCAATTCTCCTGCCTCAGCCTCCTGAATAGCTGGGATTACAGGTGTGAACCACCACGCCCAGCTAATTTTTGTATTTTTTGTTAGAGAGAGGGTTTCACCATGTTGGCCAGGCTGGTCTCGAACTCCTGACCTGAAGTGATCCACCTGCCTAGGCCTCCCAAAGTACTGGGATTACAGGCGGGAGCCACCATGCCCGGCCTTCATAGACTTTTTTTTTTTTTTTTTTTTTTTTTGAGACGGAGTCTCACTCTGTTGCCCAGGCTGGAGTGCAATGGCATGATCTCAGCTCACTGCAACCTCCACCTCCCGAGTTCAAGCAAGTCTCCTACCTCAGCCTCCCGAGTAGCTGGGATTACAGGCACCTGCCGGCTAGTTTTTGTCTTTTCAGTAGAAACGGGATTTCATCATGTTGGCCAGGCTGGTCTGGAACTCCTGACCCCAGGTGACCTCCCTGCTCAGCCTTCCACAGTGCTGGGATTGCAGGCGTGAGCCACTGTGCCCAGCCAATAGATTTTTATAGTAGCAAAATATTTTACATTAATGAGTAACAACAGAAAAATAGTTAAATCAATTATTATATATTTACCTAATGGAATGTGATTGAGCCAGTGAAGTAATACCAATCTAGGTGTACAACAGTTTATTCTAATTCTGTTTTCTGAAAGCTATTAACTACTGTAATGAGATATTACTGCACATCTATCAGAATGATTAAGGTAAAAATGGCACCATCCAATGCTGGTGAGAATGCACGGAAACTGGATGTCTCAGACATTGCTGCAGGAATATAAAATGGTACAGCCACCTTAGAAGACAGTTTGGCAGGTTTTTTTTTTTTTTTTAACTATTCATGCATTTACCATATGACCCAGCAATTGCACTCCTGGGCATTTATCCCAGAGAAACGAAAACTTATATTCACACATAATCCTGTGCACAAACATTCAGAGCAACTTTATTTGTAATAGTCCCAGACAGGAATTAGCTGAGATGTTCTTCAACGGGTGAATGCTTAAACAAGCTGTGACACATGCATGCTATAGAATGCTAGTCAGCAGTGAAAAGGAACAAACCTGCTGGCACACGCAGCAACTTGGATGGGCCTCTAGAGAATTCTGCTGGAAAAAAAAAATTCCATCTTTGCTGCTCTGCCTATGGAATAGCCATTCTTTTATTCTTTTACTTTCTTCCTTTTTTTTTTTTTTTTTGGAGACAGAGTCTCACTCTGTCACCCAGGCTGGAGTGCAGTGGCTCACTGCAACCTCCGCCTCCTGCATTCAAGCGATTCTCCTGCCTCAGCCTCCCAAGTAGCTAGGACTACAGGTGCCTGCCACTATGCCCGGCTAATTTTTGTATTTTTAGTAGAGACGGGGTTTCACTATGTTGGCCAGGCTGGTCTTGAACCCCTGACATCAGGTGATCTATCTGCCCGCCTCGGCCTCCTACAGTGCTGGGATTACAGACGTGAGCCACTGCGCCCAGGCTATTCCTTTACTTTCTTAATAAACTTGCTTTCACTTAAACAAAACAAAACAAAACATACTAAAAAAGGATGGGGGAGGGGTTGGGGGGGAGGTTGGTGTGGTTATTAATAACCTCTTTAAAGAGGCAAAAGAAGGATCCTTTGGGGCTGGAAGTGTCCAGTATCCTGACTCCGGAGGTGGGTACATGACATAGAAAGGTGAGAAGATTGTATAGAACTTAATATGCACCCATACTCATGCCAGTGAAGACAAGTGAACCTGGGAAAACTTGACAAAGATCAGTGGGTTGGATGAAGGGCCGTAGCCTGGTTGGGGACATTGCGCTACAGTTTTGTGAAATGTTGCCATTGGGGGAAACAACCAAGGCATCTTTCACACTGCCTGTGAATCTTCTCTCATCTCAATAAAATTTCAATTAAAAAAGCTATTAGCAATAACATATGTTGATATGTTTATATTTGCATAGCAACATGTTTGAGAGTGAAGATCAGGCAGTTAGTGGTTATTTCTGAGATATAGGATCAAAGGGGAATTCTTAATTTTATACAAGTTGTGCTTAAATTTTTCCAAGGGTAATTTATTTTTGTAATTAAAAACAAGGTTTGTGTAAAAAGTAAATAAACCATTTTGCATTCATAGCAAGGTTACTGGAGTCTAGCCCAGTAGATTAACAAATGAGTCTAGTTTGTTGCAAGAATGACAAGGCAGAGATTTCAATTGCAAAGGAGGGCTTCCAGGTTCCTGGGATTACTGCACACCTCCACCTGGGTTAGTGCCAGGTGGCTTTGGAATAACAGTCGTAGACAGCACCAAAGGCTCAAAGGATGCTTGTATTTCATGAGTGAGAAGTAGTCGCTTGTCTTCGTTCTTCTAATCTCACATCCCTGAAATCTTCCAGATTATTCAGTTATTTATTGGTTAAATCGGTGTACTCGTTTTTCTGTCTTGTCAGTGTGTTTCATGTTGACTGTCAGCCCCTCCCCTCCCATGCCAGTCTAGCCCCAAACAACCTCATTCACCCCACCTGGGCCAGGCCCCTCACTTCCCCTAAACATCACATTTCCTTTCTGCCAGAGACGCTTACTCAGGTGGTTCTCTCTGCCTGGAAGCTCTTACCATCCTTCAAAGCCAGCTCCTCTGTGAAATATGGGACCCGCTCCTTCTGTCGGATTGTGCTCTCCTTTGAATTCCCATGAGCACTTTGATCCTGCCTGGGTCTGTAAGACATAGAGGAGGGTCAAGTCTGCAGGGCATGTGGGCTGCTGGATGGAAACTTCCAGTACTTAGTTCTCAGCTCCCAGGGGAAGGAAGGCCAAGGTACTGAGGCCCAGGTGGAGCTTCAGTACCCACTCAGGCTACAACTGAGATGTGCAAAGGAAATACAGTTTTTATTTGGTGTAATCTGAACTAACAGGGTCTTTCTGTCCCATCATGCCTTTGCAGGAAAATCTAGTTCAACTCTTCTTGCTTTGATATCTTGAGCTAAGAATTTCCCCTGGTACATCTTATCTTTGCCAAGTGGAAGGAGCTTTATATATTTCTAGAAGTGCTCAGGAAGGTACGATTATCCTAATAGGTAGAGAGTGTGGTGATACTGTATCACTCCTCTAAGGCACTGTGGCACTTTTGCAAGTCTCTGCCACCCATCTACACACCCATACACCCAAACACCCATTCCTCCACCCATCCACCCATTCACCCATCCACCCACCCATACACCAAAACACCCATTCCTCCACCCACCCACCCATTCACGCATCCACCCACCTACCCATCCATCATCCATCCATCCTTCCACCCATCCATCCGTCCATCCCACCTGTCCATCCACCCATCCATCTACCCATTTACCCATCCTCCCATCTACCCATCCATTCATCCAACCATTTACCTGTCCGTTTGTCTATCTATCCAAGCATTCACCTACCCATCCACCCATCTACCCATCAATCCATCCATCCATCCATCCATCCATCTACCTGTCCATCTACCCATCCATCTACCCACCCACCTATCTACCTTTCCATTCATCCAACCAACTACCTGCCCATTCGTCCATCTATACAATCATCCACCCACCCACACATCCCATTCATCCAACCAACCATCCATCCACACTGTTATGTCTTTGCTACTGCAGAGCTTTGTTTGTGACAAGTTTTGGGATCAGGCCGGTGTGCAAAAACAACTGTAGTTCACATTTTCCCAAATCACTCAAAACAAACGACATGATACTTTCTTCTGTCCATTGGGATGAACTCCAGAAGAAGCATTTTTTTTTTTGCTATGCATACTGGTTTTTATTTAATGGGAATGCTCCCTGTTTTTGTCACTGCCTGTGGCACATGGGCAGAGTGTGCTGGTTCATACCAACTGGGGGCAGGACCAAGGATGCTGTCTTCAGCCACCTCCTCAAATTCCAGTGCATGGCCAAGTTTGGAAACCACTATCTGAGTATTGTTTCCAAGGGCCACTTATGGTCATATTGGCAATCTTTGGAGAGGAGTATTGGGTCATGTGCTGGTAAATGTTTAAGAACATCTCTCCCTGGAACCAGCCCTGATGTGAAGCATTTTCCATTGCTGTGGCATAAATACTCCCACAATGACCAATTTCATGCTACCCACCCGCCAAGCATGGAGTTGGGAGAGAGGAAGATCACTGCCTCCGGCAAGTCACTGTGTGCTGGGACTGTCCCAGGGCCCCCTTTGAGATTCCTTTTTAGGCTTCCAGGCCTGCCTGTGAGGTCTGAGGGAAGGAGACGTCCTGGAAATTAACCTGTAGCAGCTGGTCAGTGCCAAAGGAGTCAGTGGAAGAGCCAGTTACGGATGATGGGTCCAGGATTGAGGCAAAACATCTGGGATTTGTGATCTCCCCCCTCAATGACCATTCTGCAAGCTCCAAGACAAAGCTTTTGTTCCTGTTATGAGAATTCTCCCCAAGGAGGGAGGGCTGCCCTCCCGCTCCCCACTCCAACCCGAGGGTGGAATAGGAGGAGCCCAGCTTCTGTGGACTTCGAGGAACTAATAGGTATGGAGATTAGATTCCACGCCAGGTGCTGGGCTAGGGCATTAGTGGGTTATTTCTTAGTCCTACTGATGATTCTGTGAGGAGGCATTAGTGCATGGGGCTAGGGAAGCTGAGGGATGAGCCCTGGGTTGCCTGGCTGGTGGGACAGGTGATGTCCCAGAGAGTTTAATTGAGGGGCTGTTCACAAAGGACATAAAGGAAAGCAGATGCAGGGACACACCCAGGGCATTGTAGACTCCAGGGCTAGGGCCAGCCTGGCTCATGAGGGGCAGGCAGGGAGCAGTTATCAGAACCTGGGAAGCAAGACCTGTGTAGAAAAGGCCACCATCAAGGAGACACAGCCAGCTCACAGTGACCCACAGGACATCTATTTCCTGATCTCACTTCCTTCCTCCCTCCAATCTCCCACCTGGGATCCTCATTGGCTAAACCCAAGCAGAAGCCAGAAAACCAGAGAGACCGGGCTAGCCTCCGTGGGCAGAGAGTAAGATAGAGCGGGGCGTGGTGACTCACACCTATAATCCCGCACTTTGGGAGGCCGAGGCGGGTGGATTACGAGGTCAGGACCGGCCTGGCCAAGATGGTGAAACCCCGTCTCCAATAAAAATACAAAAAAATTAGCTGGGCATGGTGGAGGGCATCTGTAATCTCAGCTACTCAGGAGGATGAGGCAGAGAATTGCTTGAACCCGGGAGGTGGAGCTCGCAGTGAGCCGAGATTGCACCACTGCACTCCAGCCTGGGCCGCAGAGCAAGATGCCATCTCAAAAAAAAAAAAAAAAAAAAAGTAGAGCAGGTGGAGAAGGACTCAGGAGCAGAGCACACAGCTACATGGAGAGAGCCCTACCTTGGAGGCTAATTATCTTTGTGACCTTGGGCAAGTCTCTTCTTCGTTGCAGGCCTCAATTTTCCTGTATGTGACAAAGGTTGAGCAAGATGCTTTCTAATAATCTTTTCCTATTTAATATTCTATTATCATCTCAATGCCTCCTTAATGTAATATTGTTTGGCTACTCCCTTTTCAGTTTCTTGAGATTGAATTTGGCTGCAATTAACAGATAATACAAATAATAGTAGCTTAAAGAAGATTGGGCTGTATGTTTTCCTTAGGCAAAATAAGTCCAGGAGAGTGTGGACCCAAATGGACTTGGCAGCCGGTCAGAAACCCATTCTCCCTCTATCCTTCCTTACAGCCATCCCTGGCATGGGTTTGTTGCCCTTTGTGGTCACAGAATGGCTGCGGGAGTTCCAGCCATCATGTCCCTGTTCCAGGAAGAAAGAAGGGAAAGGTTAAAGGGCAGAAGAGGATTTCCTAGAAGCTTCACCCAAGATCTTCCATTTAATCTCCTTTTAAAAACTGTGTAAGAGGCCCACATGGCATTGCTGAGTGGCTGGGAAATTTAGCTTTTTAGCAGGACACATTGCTTCCTTGAATTGAATCTGGGTTCGGTTATAAGGAAGAAAGGAAGAACGATTATTAACTTGGTCTTTCTCAATCCCTGCCGCAAGATACTAGCCCAGAAGAGAAGACAAAGGCCATTAATAGCCAGCAAGAGAAAAGGACTCAACACCCAGGACTTTGTTTACTCCCCAGCAGGTGCCAGTGTGCCCTGGTGATGAGTTATGGGCCAAGCATCTGGGAGAAGCTACTGGCTCCTCATGAACCCCTGGTTTCGGCTGGCACCCTGCCTCCTGAGTGATTTCCACATGGTCGCTCTGCCCCATATCTGATCCATCAAGCTTGGCACTCTGAATATCTCCACCTCTCCCTCTCTAGGACAACAAGGCGTTGCACAATGGGAAACTATGCGAATGAAATTGCTTTATTTCTTGATTTTAAAGCATTTGACTTGTTGATTTTAAAAGTGACCTACAAAAGAGCACAGCTTAACAAAATGAAATGGATCTCTTCTCTCTGGCTTTAGATAGATTTATTTCACACTGGCACCAGACAGATCAGAAGCCGTAGGGTGGAGACTGAGGTGGAGTGGAGAACACAGCCGGCATTCTTTCCAGGAAGCGGTTGGAGCCAAACCCCATGGGAGAATTGATCTGATCCAACTTTTAACTAATTGATGAATTGCTGTCGATGGTCCATTCATTAAAACGCACTCTTAGCACCGATGGAGTCGTAAAACTGCCAAAGCCCAGCATGAGGGTGGAGGATGCCTCCCTGGAGGAAGTGGGTGGCTCTTGCACCGGGGGAGGGTTGGAATTGGGGGGGGACAGGAAACAGGACCTGGCAGGGCTGCTTTCCCAAAGACAGGGACGGGGCGGGCGGGGAGGAGAGAAAACCCTGTCTGACTCTTAGTCCAATTGGATAACGGATTTAGCATCCCTGAAGCCCTCTTCTGCAAATGGAGATGGCAGTTCCACCCGACAGGATTAAATTACACAGTGTATGCATATTGCTGCTGCAGAGCAGAGTGCGTAGGGGATTTGCAAAAGGCCGCTCATCACGACTGAATGTGGGGATTGAGCTGACAAGGAAAACGCAGGGGTCAGGCCATGTCCACAGAGAGGTGTTCTGTGAGTGTTGCTCCCCTGGCCTCGTAGAGAAGCAAAGTTCATATAGACTTGTTTGGGGCTCAGATTATGCCCTGAAAAAGACATCCCTGTACTCGTCAGGAGAAGTTTGCTTAAGGATGTTTCTTTCTTTCCTTCCTTCCTTTCTTCCTTCCTTCCTTCTTCTTTTTTTTTTTTTTTTAGTTTCGCTCTTGTTGCCCAGACTGGAGTGCAATGGTGCAATCTCAGCTCCCTGCAACTTCCACCTCCCAGGTTCAAGCGATTTTCCTGCCTCAGCCTCCCAAGTAGCTGGGATTACAGGCATGCACCACCATGCCTGGCTAATTTTTTGTATTTTTAGTAGAGTTGGGGTTTCACCATGTTGGTCAGGCTGGTCTCGAACTCCGGACCTTAGCTGATCCACCTGCCTCAGCCTCCCAAAGTGTTGGGATTACAGGCATGAGCCACTGCACCTGGCCAGGGATGTTTTCTATTATTAATCTTGTTTCCCTAATTGAGTTAAAGCAGCTGAGCTATTTAGTTAGTAGGCATCCTCTATATTATGACCAGGCCTTGGGAACGATAACAGGATGAGAGGGAAAACCCTTCCTTCTGTTTTCTTTTCCTTACCCTTGGGGAGCTGGAGCTGTCAGAAGGTAGGGAGTGTCCCTGGAAGAGGCAGAGTACCCTGTGAGGGCCATCTAGGGTGAGGAGCATTGCTGCGGACCCATCCTGACCAGGCCACGCCTGTGAGGAAGGTAATCCCTACTCCCCAGGCTCTGCTCAGACAAGAAATCCCACTGTACCCCCCGCTAATTCCAACCCTCCCCAGACTCAAAGGGATGCCTTTAGAGAACCAGAAAGAATAGGGGACAGGTGATCGGTGCCATTTCCTTTACTGATTGCAGCACTCAAACACACAATCCTCGTTTCCTGATGAGCGTAATACATGGAAAAGGGGCCAGTAGGTGGAGAAGGAGGTAAATTGGGCTCTGGGGTATGTGTGCTGTGTGTACAGCAAGAGCATGGAGCATTGGTCTCTGCGGGTTCTCAGGAGCTCCCAGGATCCATCCATCATGAATCAGTTGATGCTTAGTCCCAGGTGGAGGCTGGCATGTGAGGGACAAGGCATCATGGCTGTCCTGTTCCTCCTACTTCCGTGACTTCTCGTCTAGAGAGAAGGCCCAATCTTTTACTCCTTTAAATTATATCTGCATATTTACTGAAGAGATGATATGTTCACTTGGTTCAATTTTTTTTTTTTTTTGAGATGGAGTCTCACTCTCGTCGCCCATGCTCGAGTATGGTGGCACAATCTCAGCTCACCGCAACCTCTGCCTCCCGGGTTCAAGTGATTCTCCTGCCTCAGCCTCCCGAGTAGCTGGGATTACAGGCATGCACCACCACACCCAGCTAATGTTTGTATTTTTAGTAGAGATGGGGTTTCACCATGTTGGCCAGGCTGGACTCGAACTCCTGACCTCAAGTGATCCGCCCCTCTCGGCCTCCCAAAGTGCTGGGATTACAGGTGTGAGCCACCACGCTTGGCCTAGTTCAATGTTTCAAAAGCCCGAGTCCAGAGTGAAGTCTCTCTCTCACCTTAATTCTCAGCGACCTTAATGATCCCCGGTTCCCTCCCCGCAACACCCAGTATGACCAGCTTCCTAGGCCTTCTTTCAGGGATGTTTATGTGTTTTTTCCCACTTGTTGGTCACTATGGCTACATAACAGATTACCCTAAAATGTTGTAGCTTAGCGTTTATGATCCCACAGCTCCTGTGGGTCAGGAACGCGGTGGGCTTAGCTGGGCCCTCCAGCTCAGGGTCTCTCGCTGGCTACAGTCAGGGGGAAGCTGGGGCAACAACCGCTCCACACTCACTCAGGTGGCAGCCACAGCGGCCGCCGCAGGTCCCCACAGAATGTAGACATCGGTTTGTTGCCTCTTGGGCCTCTCCACAGGCATTCCCTCAGCGTGAGCAGGGACACAGGCGAGAGAGAGCAAGAGTGAAGCCACCGTCAGTGTGTAACCTGGTCTAAGAAGTGACATCCCCTCACCTTTACACGAGGGTGTCAGCTCCAAGAGGCCAGGGTCTACGGGTCTTTTTGGTGAAGTGTCATTTCATCCCTGGAGTTTGCCCCTGGGGTTCCACATGGTTTTCCAGCCAGTGTTGGGGCTCAGGTGGGGCCATCGAGAGCCGCTGAACTCTCATCCTCTCCAGGTCCCGCCAGCCACCTCTCAGCGAGGCCCCGAGGGGCCAGCAGCCCTAAGCGGAGCCACAGAGCCCATGGCTGGCTCTTCTCCAGACCAGGCTTATCTGACCTTCCCCAAAGCCCCCGAGGGGTGCCAGGGCCACACCACAGCCAGCTGCAAGGGGACAGAAAGGCAGTTTGCCTCAGCAGCCATCAGAGTCTGTCTCCCTGGGGTGAGAGGGACTGATGGGGACCCTCCTAGAACCAGAATTCTAGGGGTCAGCATAGTGAGGAGTGGTGGGAAAGGTGTGGACCAAGTTCCGTTCAGATGGGTTTGGGATTGACCCGCCCAACACTGTCCCCACCTGGCTGTGTGACCCTGGGCAAGTCGTTCAACCTCTCTGAGCCACTGTTTCTTTATCTATAGAATCAATAAAAAAAAAATCTTTATCAAAGAGACCCATCCCAGAGGACTGCTGAGGTGACTCAGTGAAGTGACGAGCATAGAAATGCCTGGTGTGGTGTCTAGGAAAGGAGAGGCAAGCCCAGCCTGCTCCACCGCCTCATGGAGCCTACGTCGTTCAGAACCCTGCTCTGCCCCACAGAGCGCACTGCCCCGGAGTGTGATTTTATATTCATTGCAGCCAGCCCCCTTCTTGGCCTCCAGTTTCCAATTTCCACGCTGGAGCATGAGCTCTGAGGCCAGGGGCCATTTTTGGCACAGCCTTGATCATTGCCTGCCCACAGGGTGCTCTAGGAATTCTTGCGGAGTTGACAAAAGCTGGTTCCCTTTCCATTGACAAACTTGGCTCCTTTCCTTCCCACCCAAACACCCCGCACTGGCTGCTGGAACAGTCAACGCGTCCCGGGCACTGAGGACTCCCTGCATGCCATCGGCCTGAGGCCCTCACACGGTATCCCAGCAAGTCCCCATGGCGTCTTGGAGGAGGCGCTATTGATCCCATTACACAGACAAGAAACCGGGGCCCTGGGGGCTTAAGTAAATTGCCCCATGCCACACTATTTGTAAGTAAGAAAGCCAGGATCCCTGGCCTATTCCAGACTGAGGTCAAACTTACCACCTCCAAATCATTGTCTCCCCAGGTTGAATCCTCTTCTCCCCACCTTAGGTTGCTCATCGAAGTGTCATTTTCTCTGGAGCTGACCTGATGGGGGTGTGGGGAGCCCACTGATGGGGTTGTGATACTGGGGGGCAGGAAGGAGCTGGTCGGCCCTGTCCAGGTCCACACAGAGCCCAGAGCCGCTGAACGTCACCAGGATCCCCCCAGCCAGGGGCTGCCCTGGAGATGGGAAAGTGGCCCAGGGGTTTTGTCCAATGATCGTCACCTGCTCTTTACAGGCAGGCACCTGTCCTGGGTTGCTCTTCCCGAGGGTGGCTTGGCTTGACTGTCCCCCAAACAAGAGTGGCATAAACAACCGGGCAACCCCCCGAATTTCCCAGTCGGGCAATCAGCAGAGCCGCAGGAGCAGCAGCTGAGGCGGGTGCAGGCCCTAGGACTCCCCGGCCTGGGTGGCAGCAGTTGCAAGCCGGGTGCTTGCTGGAGCCAGGGCAAGCCCCTGACCCTTCCCTGTCCCTCACTCTTGGTGTCATCTGAAGGGCTGTGTGGGGACTGTCATTCCCAGCCAGTGCAGCCAGCACTCTTGCAGATTAGGCGCTAAAAGACCAGTCCAGCCTGGGTTGTGTGCAGCAGGAATATGTGGGAAGTCCCCATTTCCAAGTCACCTCCCCAGGCTATGGCAACTCATGTTGACCGTCTGAGGAGCAGAGTTAAGCATTTGGCATTCATTTTGTGCCAAGGAAGATTGCTCTGGGCAGTGGCTCTGCTTGGCATGAACTTCAGCGTTGGCAGCATGTGCCCATGCCTTGGTTCATTCATTGAATGGTTGTTCACTAGCTGTGTGGTCTTGGACACCTTACCTAATTTCTTCAAATGTCTTTACCTGTAAAAGGAGGATATTAAAGGTTCCAACCACATAGGGTTATAAAATTGTGATAATGCAATAATGCTTGTAAAGTGCTTAGCACGATGCCTGGCGCGTAGTCAGTGCTTGGGAAATCTTTGTGATGATCGAGCACTTGCTGGCCACCTCCACGTGCCAGGGAAACAGAAAGGAGGGAGGTGATTGGAACCCTGGTTTTTTTTTTTCTTTTTGAGACAGAGTCTCGCTCTGTCACCAGGCTGGAGTGCAGTGGCACGATCTTGGCTCACTGCAACCTCTGCCTCCCTGGTTCAAGCGATTCTCCTGCCTCAGCCTTTTGAGTAGCTGGGACTACAGGCACCCACCACCACATCCAGCTAATTTTTGTATTTTTAGTAGAGATGTGGTTTCACCTTGTTGACCAGGATGCTTTCAATCTCTTGACTTAGTGATCTGCCCGCCTCGGCCTCCCAAAGTGCTGGGATTACAAGTGTGAGCCACCACGCCCGGCCGGATCCCCGCTTTTAATGAGTTCCCTGAGTAAATGCAGAAGCAGGTGTGGAACCCCCTCACTGTAGCAAAGTGATAAGTGCTGCAAGGGACCACAGAGGAGGGAGGAACCAGCTGCCAGGGAAGGTCAGGTCAGGAAGCCCCCAGAGATGGTGCCATCGCAGCTGAGACTCTGTAGTGTGCTGGTGGGGGCACCTGGAGAATGGAGCTCAGACAGAAGTGGCTTTCCCCTGGCCCCCACCCTGGCTTGGCCGAGGGGAAAGGAGCACAAGGCAGCAGCCAGAACTGAACTCTGCTGCCAGAATGGTGGCGGGGAAAGCAAGGCTCCTCATCAAGACAAGGTCAAGGGGATGTGGCTGGTGGGTCCCAGAAGAGTCACTGAGCAGGAGTGTGGGCCGGGGACGGAAGAGCAGAAAACTCAAGAAGAACACAGGGGGTTCCCATGTCATCACCTGAGGCAGGGGCCTTGTCTGTGGCTTGGGGTACCTGCTTTGCAGGGGCCATGTGAGCACACAGCTGCCTTTAGAGGACCAGGGACAGGGTAGGCCAGCAGAGGCAGAGGTAAGAACAAGAAGCAAAGGAACCCCTGAAAATCAGAAGCCACCATGGAAAAGGGGGCAAAGGATATGGACAGGTAATTTATAGATTTCCCCAAATCAAACAAGCATATCAAGAGATGCCCAAATTAGTAATCAGAGAACTGTATTGTACATTAAGACAATAATGAGGTATTATCTTAAGGCCACTCGACTGGAAACACTCAGAAACCTGAGGACGGACGGGAGGAAATAAAGGACGGGCCTTCCAGTGCGAATGTAACTGTCCTTCTAGGGGCAGCTGTGAAATCAAGCACAGGTTTATTCTGTGACCCAGTTGTTCTACTCCCGGGAATAGTTCTCAAAGAAATTCTCACCTAAGGGGCATATACAAATTCATGCCCTGCAGCTTTGTTTGAGATGGTGTCAATTTAAAAGCAATCCAGGAAAATAGATGCATGAAACGGTTTTAATCCATACTTTGGAGAACTGCGCAGCAATGAGAATTAAATGAGTTGTGCAAAGAGCAAAAGGAATGTGTCTTAAACTAAACAGTGTTTAGAGAAAATGGTCAAAAAAATGTAATATATAAAACAACACCATTTATAGGCATTAAAACACACACAAAAACTTGGCAACACGTATTTCACAAGACCCAGATGAAAGATACATGTTAACACAGGTAGCATTATTGCCTTTGGGAAGAAGGGAAATGGGAGTGGTCGGCAGAAATGAAAGAGATAACATTGATTATTAAAAAGATGGGGTCTTGCATGGGGCACTGACGGCGTTGAGGAATATGAGGAACTCAGCCTCATGCACCTGAAGTATAAAGAAAAACATGAAAAAGCATGGCGTGTTTGGGAGCCTTTTGTGCCAGTTGCCCAAACGCAGGGTGGGTAGGAAGGTGTACGGTGAGGCTGCAGGGGAAGGCGGGGGTCAGATCCTGCAGGCTGTGGGTGGCAGGTCACCAGGGGCCACTGACATTCTTACATTGTTGAATGATGCCATCAGATGTGGAGGATGGATGGGAGCCAGGAGACCAGTTACAGATCCAGGTCAGGGGTTGGCTAGCTTTCTCTGGCAAGGGCCAGAGAGCCAATATTTGGCCTAAGACAGTGGCCTGTGGGTCTTGGTGCAGAGTATTGGGTCTGGGTGGTGGCAATTGGAAAAGGAGAGATGGGGCCAGGTATGAATGCCGCCGGGGGATGGAATTGGCCAGACTTGGGGGATGGGGAGGGGGTGGTGATTCCCAGGTTTTGGGGAACTAGGATGGTGAGTGGTTCAACCAGGTGTCAACCAGGACAGGAAATCCAGGGGGAGAAGGTGGGTTTGAGGGTGAGGGTTCATTTCTAGACTTGTTGAATATGAACACTTGTGGGGCGTCTGAGAGACGTTCAGTGATGAGCATCCGACAGTCAACTCTGAAGAACAGATTTGAGGTCGGCTGCAAATGCAACAGGGACAGTGGCACACACATGGCTGGTGCCCACCAATGTTTGTTCCCCACGTCCTCCATCCCAGCCCGGGTCTCTTTGTGCCTGGGGGGGGGGGGCCTGCCCCACTCCCAGCAAGGAGGGCCCTGTTTGATGGAGCCGTTCCATTCCCCATGGTCACTGGCTTGGCGTTGGGCACATGGCCCAAGAGGTCCAGTCGAGGTGAACGTCAGGAGTCTTGGTCAAAATCCTGGGCTGGGAGGGTTTTTTCTTTCTTTTTTACTTTCTCTGATTACGGTCGTCTGTGGGTGTGAAGCCTGAAGTCGCCATCGGGTTGCCATCCTGCTACCAGGCACGTGTGAGGCCAGGCCCTGAAGGAGGGCATGGCGGAAGGTGGGATTCCTGTCTCTCCCGCCCTTTGGAGGGGTGGAGAGAAGCAGCTGAACTACGGGTGCCCGGAGGCGCTCAGAGCCCATCAAAGTGCAGCGCTCCCGCTGGCTCCCTCCACCACGCTGGCCTCAGCCCCCCCGCAGGCTTCGTCAGCTCCCACCTGGCGCCGCCTCCAGGCTACTCTGTACCCCTCTGTCCCCTGAGCTGACACAAGTCAGCTTTCTCCAGCCGGCTCTCATCCGGGCTGCACTCCACTTACCAGAGCCTTCCTGAAATGACCACGACAAACGCTTGTGTTACCAAATCATGGAGGCGGCACTCACTGTGTTCTGGACACAGTGCTAAACACGCTCTACAGAGACTAACTCAATTCACCGTTGTTGTGTAAGCGGGTAAGTGCTATAATTGTACCCATTTTATGGCTGAGAAGACTGAGGTATGTGAGGCTAGATAACTTGCCCAAGGTCACAGGTAGCAAGTGGCAGCACTAGGGTTTACACCCTCACTCCCAAATCATTTTGCTCTTCAGACTAAAACACTCCTCTGCTCAATCTAGATGGTTCCCCTCACTTTGTCACCAAGAACCTTGTGGGGTGGGCGTGGTTTCTCCCACTTCATGTAGGAAGAAACGGAGGCTTGGAGAGGGTAATGACTCGTTGGAGGTCACGTGGATGCTAGTGGTGGCGCAGCTGAGATTTGAACTGTCTCCAAATTCCAGACTCCCCTGTTGCATCATCTAGTGCCTGAGAAATTTAGGCACAAGTTTGGGAACAAAAACTCCGGATTGCAGAAAATGGCCAAGTAGGAGAGAACTGTGGCCGGGGAAGCCCAGCCCCATGAGGAGGTAGAAATCAGACAGGAGGGAGGCCTGAGCTGGTGGGGGCTGCAGGTGGTCAGGGACCAGGTTGGGTCCACCATGCCTGGAACATGGAGCTGTGCACTGTGCCGGTTGCCAGTTTAATATCTCATGTGTGTGTGTATGTGTGTGTGTGTGTGTTGTGAATGGAAAATAAATCTCAGCACCCCAAAATCACTAGGCCAAAGGGAAAAGTCAAACAGAGAACTGCATCAGGCAAACCTGCCTCCTATTTGATTCCTAAATAAGATAGCTACAAAGATTAAAAAAAAAAAAAGCTACATGCCTACATACCTCCATCACAATTTCCCACAAGGAAATTCCTTGTGGACGGCAAAACCCTAAAACAGTTCTGTTGAATTTCAGCCTGGCAACGTAAATTGATAGCTTGTCTTCCTAGGTGTGGGAAAAGGACAGAACTCGGTGTTCCCTCTGCTCACCGGAGACAAATGCATATCTGATGGCTTCTTCTGCCCTATTTTAAAATAAAAACGCAGGTTCACTGAGTCAGACTAAGGCCTAAGTGACTATTCCTCTACTCCGTCCTCCCACGTAAATTGTGTATTCAATGAAAGGCTGATCAAAGACCCAAAATAACCTTTTGTTTCTTATCTACCCATGACCTGGAAGTTCCCCCAACTTCAAGTTGTCCTGCCTTAGGGGAGCGAACCAATGTACATCTTACATATATTGATTGATGTCTCGTGTCTCCCTAAAATGTATGAAAGCAAGCTGTGCCCCCACCACTTGGGTACATGACCTCAGGGCCTCCTGAGGCTGTAACATGGGTGTGTCTTTAACACTGGCAAAATAAACTTTCCAGATTGATTGGGTGTCTCAGACACTTTTAGGTTCACAGTGTGTGGTGTGTGTGTGTGGTGTGTGTGGTGTGTGTGTGGGGGGTGTGTGTGTGTGTGTGTGGTGTGTGTGTGATGTGTGTGGTGTGTGTGTGTGGTGTTATGCAATTTATCATGTGATTTGTGTAATCATTGTTATTTACTGGTCTATATGTTCAGTAATGGTGTCTTAGGAACATCTTTGCTTTTTGTTTTGTTTTGTTTTTTGAGATGGAGTCTTGCTCTGTGGCCCAGGCTGGAGTGCAGTGGTACAATCTTGGCTCACTGTAACCTCCGCCTCCCGGGTTCAAGCGATTCTCCTGCCTCAGCCTCCCAAGTAGCTGGGATTACAGGTGTGCGCCACTATGCCCGGCTAATTTTTTGTATTTTTAGTACAGATGGGGTTTCACCATGTTGGCCAGGCTGGTCTTGAACTCCTGACCTCAGGTGATCCATCCACCCGCCTCAGACTCCCAAAGTGCTGGGATTACAGGCGTGAGCTACTGCACCCGGCCTTAGGGGCATCCTTGATAGAGGCTTAAGGCCATGGACTTGAATGAGATTTCCCAGGAGAAGGTGCAGACAGAAAAGGAGGCGGCTTGGGTGGAATGCCAGACAGAAGAGGGACTTTGCTCTGGCCCCCGGAAGAAGCTTCGTGGAGGAGAAGGGTCTATGAGGGGAGGAGACCCCAGAATCCCCTACAAGGGAGGCATCTGGGGCCTGCCCAGCCCTGCTCTTGGGACCCTCTGACCTGGGCTTTCCAGACAGGTCCGTTTTCAAACCCTCTGCTCATGGCTCCCGTACGCCATCAGCCCCAGAATGCCAGCATTTAGGTGCCTAAGCTACACTTCCTAGAAAGCCGTTTGCCTCTGGAATGCTTTGCTAGGTCATGTGTACTGAATTTGGGCTGGAAAAATGTAGCTATATTTGTAAAATATGTCAGTAAGATTGAACACCTGTAGCCAAGCTTGCAGGAGGGACCCCGAAGTCACTGCTGCCAGGCTGGACACGGGGGGCCTTTTGCACCCCCAGCACAGGGCCTGGCACACAAGCCACACTCCGTTGTGAAGCTCGGTTGTTTGTGGTCAAATTCTACACTTTTGGCATCTTTTTTTCAACGAGCGGGAGCACAGCTGTGCGGCGTCTCCTAAAAGCCTTGGCGAGTTAACTCCTACGGAAGTAGGGAAAACGCTTTTCCCCAAGGGGGAGAGAGGTGCACTATTTCTGGAGTAAAAATTTCATGCTCTGTATATTTTTGTTCAGACGTTTGAGCATGAGTTCCTCCGTCTGCGAACTCTGAGTTTGAGGATTCTGAGTCACAGCCCCAGACACGCGCCCGGTGGAAAACGCCCCAGTCCCTCGCGGGGCAGAGGCGGCGCCGGGAACGGTGCGGCAGCACCCCCTGGTGGCGAATGTCGATGCTGCGCCCCGAGGAAGGAAGGCCGGGGAAGCCCTCCTTAGGAGAGGCCCTGCTTGTTACCCCACCCTCCAAAGGCACGCGGCTTACCAGCCTCAGAGGCTCCCAGCTCCACCCTCTCAGCCAGTCTGGAGAGAGCCTGGTGTGACGGAAGGCGGTGTGGACCTAGGAGATAGGGACCGACACTTAGGGTTCCCTGCTGTTTGCGCATCAGGGAATGTGCTGATGAGGACTCAGAGGTGAATGAACCCTAACCCTAGGCCCGGCGCGGTGGCTCACGCCTGTAATCCCGGCACTTTGGGAGACTGAGGTGGGCGGATCACCTGAGGTCAGGAGTTCAAGATCAGCCTAGCCAACATGGTGAAACCCCTTCTGTACTAAAAATAAAAAGAATTAGCCGGGCATGGTGGCGCACGCTTGTAATCCCAGCAACTCGGGAGGCTGAGGTAGGAGAATTGCTTGAAGCCGGGAGGCAAAGGTTGCAGTGAGTCGAGATCGCGCCATTGCATTTCAGCCTGGGCAAGAGCGAAGCTTCGTCTCAAAAAAAAAAAAAAAAAAAAAGAGATGAATGCGATGAATGCACACCCTGGGCTCCGACATCTGCAGGCTCACGTGCTGAGGGGAAGGCAGACCAAGACCATAAGGACCAGAGCTAGAGATTCGGGGCTCAGTAGCGTGGGGTTCTGGCTTTGTCCCCTATCAGCTGTGGGACTGAGGGCAAGCTGCTTAAGCCCTCAGAGACTCAGCTTTTTCATATGTAAACAGGGAAACAGGGCTAATAATTAGTACTTGGCGTAACTATTGTTAAGATACAGTATGTGAAATGAGAGGTACATAATAGATTCACTAAATGGAAGGTAATTATACTTCTTATTCATGTCATAACAACTGATCTGGCAAAGAAGCGAGTACTGGGAGATGAGGGCATGGTTAGGAAAGTCTTCATCAATGGGGAGACATTTCAGCTGGGTTTTGAAGGATGACTAGGAGTTTTCCAATCAAAGGGGGAAGGGCCTCTAGATGGGGGAACTGTGTGTACAAAGGCATAGTGGTAAGAAGTGCTATAGTGCATTTGGAGAGCTGTAAATAGTTCGGTAAATAGTTCAGCAGGTGTAGCTGAAACTGGCCAGGTGAATTTGATCAGAATCTCTGAGAGCAGGTTACAGGAATCTGTGTTTGATAAGAAGTTTCCCAGGAGATTCTGAGGCTGACTTCCCACAGGCCTAAAGTCTGGAAACCCATTGCTGTACCTGACATTCTGCACAATTCTCTCTAATCTGAACCACAACCCAGCAAGATAGAGGTTATTTGTCCTTATTTTACACAGCAGAAAGCCAAGACTCAGAGAGGTAAAGCGACTTGCCCAGGATCACACAGCTAAGGTAAGCCAAGATTCAATCCCTGGTCAGGTTGACTTCAAACCCCATCCACACAGTGAGTGCCCAGTAAAAGCCAGCGATGACCCTCCCTGCCGACGCTCTACAGGCTGGACCCCCAGGTGTGTTGATCCTGTTTCCCTGACTCCATCCTGTTAGGAGTCTGAGGGAAGAGGGGGTTGGGGCCAGGGAAGCACCTCCTGTGGGCCAGATTTCAATGCCACGTAGAGAAGTTTCCCTGGTTAGAATTGCTCATTGGAGGAGGAGAGTCCTGCTCTTCTCAGGAATTTGCCAGAGATAGTTTTGTGGGCGTGTGTGTGTAATTTTTAAAAAATCTAAAATAATCTCTGACTTAAGAAGAGCTTCCACTGCAGCACAAATCATGCATTTTTTCCTGAACCATTTGGGGGTAAATTGTCAACACTTGCTCCCTAATACTCCACCTCCAATACTCCATCACCCCAAATACTCCCATGTACTTCCTGCAAATATGGACTTTCTCCTACATGGTCGGTCAGAACAACCTTCACTCACAACTCAAGTTCGCAGGGCGCGTTGCTGCTGTTCAAGTCTCCCCAGTGGTCTGATGATTTCTTCACAGTGAATGCACCCAGTTCAAAATGGTATGTGGCTTCTGGTTGTCACATCTCCTTAGTCTCCTAGAGTCTGAAGCTGAGCTCAGTCTTTACTTGACTTTCATGGCCTTGACACTTTCGAAGATTAAGGGCCAGTTATTCTGTGGGCTGTGCCGCCACTTGAGAGACTGCTGCCCCCTGGGGATTTGATTTGCGTTATCTGTCTTGGCAGGAACACCTCAGAAGTGCTATTCCACTGGACAGGATTTCAATTTGCCCTATTTAAGCATTGTCTTTTTTTTTTTTTTTTTTTGATGGAGTCTCACTCTGTCACCCAGGCTGCAGTACAGTGGCATGATCTCGGCTCACTGCAACCTCTGCCTTCTGGGTGCAAGTGATTCTCCTACGTCAGCTTCCTGAATAGTTGGGATTACAGAAGTGCACCACCATGCCTGGCTAATTTTTGTAGTTTTAGTAGATATGGGGTTTCACCATGTTGGCCGGGCTGGTCTCAAACTCCTGATCTCAGGTGATCTGCCCTCCTCTGCCTCCCAAAGTGCTGGGATTACATGCCTGAGCCGCTGTGCCTGGCCCTGGCTTGCTTCTTCTAAAACTCTCTTCCACTCCAGGTTCCCCGAAGCCTCGAGCACCCCATCCGGGACCCCCTGGAGCCTCCCCTCCCTCTGCTTACTGCCCCCACCACCCACCTCCCTCCACGTGCTGTAGAAACCTCCCTGACAAGCTGTGGCAGCACAGGGCCAGCTGCCCAGCAAGTTCCCCTGTCCCTCCTGGGGTCACCCAGACTTTACTCTCCTGGGGCTGTCTTTCCCACTTCGAGGTGGAGGAGTCCCTGATTAATTAAGGGTTCTGGCCCTTTGGAATTCATCTGTAGAGTTGCAAATGGACTGCTGGGGCCATATGAGAACCCTGTGATCCTGGGGACGTCACTCAGTGCCCCATCCCCTGATCTCCCTCGGATTCATCTTTCCCTCAGTGCTGGTGGCCAAGCAGGCGCTGCCAGAAATCCCTAGGTGTCCAGGAGGTGGCGCTGCGGGGTCAGAACCTGCACCCTTTCATGCGAATGCAGCTCAGAGAGGGGAGAGTGCAGGGGCAAAGGGAGGGGTGGGGGCTGCGAACTAGAGGCTGTGCAGTCCCCTGGAAGCATTCTGCGTGTGCACGTATGTGTTAGCAAACACCTACATACATACCAGCAAGTGCACATACCCACACATCCATACCAGTACACACACACATCATATATACTAGTAAATAGATACGGGTACACACACATGTATATACCTCTATATATGCACACGCATACATACTAGTATATGTATACACACATACATGCATGATAGTCTACACACACATATACCAGTATATATACACATATATGCAAACCAGTAAATATCTATATGTAATATATATACACGGAAACATGTAGCAGTTCATTGTATCCTCTATGTGAACATGTGTGCACACATCCTAGATGCATATCTGTGCATAGGCACACACAGGTCTGCACATACGTGTGTGCATGTGTACGCACTAGGCCCTGGAGTTTGGGCCACTGACTTCTGCCTCTGAGGCTCGGGACGGCAGCAGCTTCTCCCCCATCACACAGGCCGACTCCAGATCTCCATTCTCCTCCCAGATCTTTTTTTTTTTTTTTGGATCACAGGTGGGCAGGATGGTGGCCTCACCTGATGCAGTGCACACCTCCAACAGGCATCAGATGGAATGCACTGGGAGCAAGATTCTCATAGCAATGACAAAGATCCCCAACACCGTCCACCACGCAGCCGTACGTATGTGTCCTCAGATTTCATGCGGGGCAACTGTGGTTTTCCCCTGAAAGAAGCACCACTGATCCCTGCACAGGAGGGGCGCTGGGGGAAGGGCTTTGAAACAGAGAGGGGAGCCTGGCTCCCACCCTGGCCCAGCGGGGGAGCCTGAGGGTGGGGGTTCTGAACACAGTGTGGGGCTGTGACTGGGCAGCCCTAAGAAGCATGGTCAGTGTGCCATGCTCTGTTCCCAGGGGACTCGATGTTGTGGGTCCAGTTGAGGCGGAGAGGAGCCAGGAAGACAGGACAGGCCAGCTCCTTGCCTGGTGGCTGAGGATTTCTGGTTGTGAGCTTGGGGGACTTCGCAGGGCCGGAGGGGGAGGGTACCTTTCCTAACAGCGACACCCTGTGGTGTTGGCCGCTGCAACAGACACTCAGGTGACTTGTCTGTCTCCTTGAGATGCTGTGACCAGGGCTTGACCTTTGGACTGAGAGAGCATCCGCTGGGCCGGGGGTCTTGGAGTTATTTGGAAGGAGGACCCTGAGATTTCTTTGAGAGATGACCTAATTCAAGAAGCAAGAGGACATGACCTCGCTTCATGCTCCAAGCAGCTGACCTTGGAATCTGGTTATAAATGCGTCTGTGCCTTTCTTGGACAAAGCAGTTTTTGCTTCTGTGTGTGTGTGTGTGTGTGTGTGTGTGTGTGTGTGTGTCTGTCCACTGGCCCAGGGGAGTGTTCCATCCTCAGGTCCCTGAAGCATATCCCAGCAGGGCAGGGTTGGTCCCAAAGGCCACGTGGGCTGCATGATGACCAACTGGCCCTGTGCGCCTGTGGAGCGAGGGAGGAGAAATGGCCAAGCTCAGCTGAGCACACCCGGCCTGAGGGCCCAGGTGTGCCCTGAGAGTCGAGGGCAGATGTAGGGGGGAGTTGGGCCTTTTTAATCATAGAAGCAATGGCCCGCCTGCCACAGTCAATGCTAAGCTCCTCAAACATCTTGCAAGCTGCTTGCTCAGGCCTCCGACTCAGGATTGAACTACATGTGGCACACTCCCGCTACAAAGAAGCCCACATCCTGGCTGTTCCGGAACATTCCTCAGCCTCGCTGGGTGTAACTGTTAAAGGCGCAGTGTGGACGGCGGCTTGTCCTTTCCACTGAAAGAAGGAACAGGTGTCAGGGCTGGAGGGAGCTCACTCGAGGCAGGTGCCTTTCGGTTACCTGGGTTTCCTGCACCTCTCTTCTTGCAGCATTTGCCTCTGGACGCGTGGCCTTGAGCCTGGCCCCTCGAGTTTATCCCAGCGCTTGGTGACGAGACCCCACATACTGCACAGGAGGACAGGCAGAGGGTCAGCCAGAGCGTGGGATGTGGAAGTGCCACCTCCCTTTGCAGGCTGTGTGTCTTCGGGTAAGTAATCAGCTTCTCTGAGCCCCCCTTCCATCTCTGTCAAATGTGGACGAATGATGCCTGCACTTTGTCCCCGTGAGGCTGTCAGGAGGCACCCTGGTGTGGGTGGGAGGGCTTGGTAAACAGCAGGCTGTGCATCTGGTGTTGGTCATCAGGCTCAGGGCTGAGTACACAGCCAGGAGAGCTCACCAGGCCTGGGATGGGGCCAGCTGCATGGAGCTGCTGCCCTGTGGCCCTGCAAAGCCCCTCTTGGCACCGCCGCCGATGTTGACATCTGCAGATGCCACCTTCTAGAAAGTTCCCCTTCCCCAACATGTCCGGAGTCCTCAAGGGATGTGATACTTTCAGTTCCGCTGTACGGCTTGTTTTGAAAATGAAATTGCTCCAATTGCTCCAATAGCAATTCCCAATTGCTAGAGTAGGGAACAATTGGAGCATAACGTGAGTTTCAAAGTTCACATTCGCTCTGCACAATTTTGTCCTCAGAAACACCAGGCGAATGCAGAGAATGGCACCTGGCTGACCAGAACCTAGGAACACACAACCACACCCGTGCACGCACCCTAGGAACACACAACCCCACCCTCGCACACACCCTAGGAACACACAACCCCACCCATGCACCCTCCAGCCCTCCGTTCACAGGGTGTGTTAGGAGTCACATCCACATCCATCCAGCTCTGGTGCTAGAATGCCCCCCCAATTCCAGATCACCCAGCTCACAACCCCAACGCCCACTTCCTCAAACAAGCCTCAAGTCTTTTTAAAGGAAAACACCATATTAATTTTAGTATGTATGTATTTCTTAACCATTTAACATGTAAAACTGTGCTATCTTTTTTTTTTTTTTTTTTTGAGACAGAGTTTCATTCTTGTTGCCCAGGCTGGAGTGCAGTGGCGCGATCTCGGCTCACTGCAACCTCCGCTTCCTGGGTTCAAGCACTTCTCCTGCCTCAGCCTCCTGAGTAGCTGGGATTACAGGTGGCTGCCACCATGCCCAGCGAATTTTTGTATTTTTAGTAGAGATGGGGTTTTGCCATGTTGGCCAGGCTGGTCTCGAACTCCTGACCTCAGGTGATCCACCCACCTTGGCCTCCCAAAGTACTGGGATTACAGGCATGAGCCATTGCGCCCGGCCTGTGCTATCATTTTTATTAGGTTCCAGTCTTTTGTAAATGTCTTGCTGACGAAGCCCCTAACTCTATCTCCCTCATAGCCTGCTGGGTCATCTCACATGAGTTTGCAGAGTGCAGGGATTTTTAGGGATGTCTGCTTCGCAGCATAACAGAACGGACTATTTGTGAATCTGTGGACTGGCCCCGGGTCTCTGCTTCTGCCAGAGCTGTGGGTGAGGCCACCCGGGTGTCAGGACCCTGCCATAGGCAGTGCCGGCTGTGCAAATGTTTGTGCGTACACCTGTTGCTTGCGTTACTGATGTCCATGGGGAAGCAGTGGCAGTTCTCCTACACCAAGTGTGGGTGCCCTCTGATTTACGGGGGCTCATTCACTGAATCGTCACAGCAGCCCCAGAAGGCTGGTACTAATAATATCTTTGCTTTAAGATGAGAAAACCATTTCACAGACAAGTTAGGAAACTTGAGGTCTCATAGCCAGGAATCAGAGGAGTCCAGCTTTGAGCCGCCCTCCTGGACGACGCTGCCTCCCCCTGTACTGGGATGGGCAGGCTGCTTCTGCAAAGGACCAAATAGTCTTCTCAGCTCTGTGAGTCATGAGCTCTCTATTGCAGATTCCTTTGCAGCACAAAAGCAGCCACAGGCCCTTGCAAACGCATTGGCAAGGCTGTGTGAGGACACGCTTTTGTTTATGGACACCAAACTTTGAATTCCTTATCATTTTTATGCATCACAAAATGTTATTCTTTTGATTTTTTTCAACAATTAAAATAACATAAAGACCATTCTTGGCTTATGGATCGTACACAAATAGATGGTAGGCTGGGTTTGGCCCATGGTCATAATTTGCCTGCATAGATCCCTGCTCTAGAGTGAGAGAATTGGTTAAAAGGGTTCCAACGTTTGAATGGCTCTCGAAATGTTCTGGAAATGAAACCATGGGGCTTGCACACATTTACATTGTTAGCAGGATTTTGATGTTCCAGTTTCACCACAATTTCATGCTTATTATTGTTATTATTATTTTTTGAGATGGAGTCTCACTCTGTCACCCAGGCTAGAGTGCAGTGGCATGATCTGAGCTCACTGCAACCTCCACCTCCTGGGTTCAAGTGATTCTCTTACCTCAGCCTCCAAGTAGCTGGGATTACAGGTGCACACCACCACGCCCAGCTAATTTTTGTATTTTTAGTAGAGATGGGGTTTCGCCATGTTGGTCAGGCTGGTCTTGAACTCCTGACCTCGGGTGATCTGCCCACCTTGGCCTCCCAAAGTGCTAGGATTATAGGCATGAGCCGCTGCACCCAGTCCATGCTAATTATTTTTAATGCTTGTTAATGTATCAGTTATAAAATAAAGCCTTTCCCTCTGTTTTATTGGACTGATACATGTACATAGTTGTAAAATTAAAATAGTTACAGCACTTCTAACAAAAACAACTATACCTGCCTCACACCTTCTCACCTGAATTTCACTCTTTAGAGATAAGCATTTTCAACTATTTTAACTTTGCTGGGATTCCCCCATATTGCTTGCTTGCTTGCTTTTTTTTGTGACAGGGTCTGGCTCTGTTGCCCAGGCTGGAGTGCAGTGGGGCAATCACAGCTCACTACAGTCTTGACTTCTTGGGCTCAAGTGATCCTCCCGTCTCAGCCTCCCAAGTAGCTGGAATTATAGGTATGTGCCACCATACCTGGCTAACTTTTGTATTTTTTATAGAGACGAAGTCTCACTGTGTTGCCCAGGCTGGTCTCAAAATCCTGGCCTCAAGTGATCTGCCTGCCTCAGCCTCCCAAAATGCTGGGATTACAGGTGTGAGCCACTGCACCCAGCCTCCCCACATATTTCTAATAATGTGTTTCAGTACTTTTTCTTGACTCTTTCCCCCTGTTTTAGACATTATCTATTGCCTTCCTACTAATGAAGTTTCCTTGTACATGAAGAGGCACAGGGAAATTCACCCTGAAGTTGGCTCCCTGGTGTAATGAGTATTTTGACTTAAAAATTCTTCAAGATAAATATACTGGAAGAGACTTCTCCCTGATCTAGGTAAAGACCTGATGGACCCACCAAGGAGAACTGTTGTCCCCCGCACCCCCTCTCGCTTCTCAATCCTCTGTCTCTCCCCAAGCACAGGATGAAGTTGTTGTCTGCAGTTCCTTTATGTTGCGGGAAGTCAGGGACCCCGAATGGAGGGACCGGCTGGAGCTGTGGCAGAGGAACATAAATTGTGAAGATTTCATGGACATTTGTCAGTTCCCAAATAATACTCTTATAATTTCTTACACCTGTCTTACTTTAATCTCTTAATCCTGTTGTCTTCGTAAGCTGAGGATGTACGTCACCTCAGGACCACTGTTGTGTTAACTGCACCAATTGATTGTAAAACATGTGTGTTTGAACAATATGAAATCAGTGCACCTTGAAAAAGAACAGAATAACAGCGATTTTCAGGGAACAAGGGAAGACAACCATAAGGTCTGACTGCCTGTGGGGTCGGGCAAAATAGAGCCATATTTTTCTTCTTGCAGAGAGCCTATAAATGGATGTGCAAGTAGGGAAGATATTGCTAAAATCTTTTCCTAACAAGGATTAATACTCTGGGAAAGAAATGCATTCCTGGGGGAAGGTCTATAAATGGCCGCTCTGAGAATGTCTGTCTTATGCAGTTGAGATAAGGACTGAAATACGTCCTGGTCTCCTGCAGCACCCTCAGCCTTACTAGGGTGGGGGGAAACCCCGCCCTGGTAAATTTGAGGTCAGACCAGTTCTCTGCTCTCGAACCCTGTTTTCTGTTGTTTAAGATGTTTATCAAGACAATACGTGCACTGCTGAACATAGACCCTTATCAGTAATTTTGCTTTTGCTCTTTGCCTTGTGATCTTTGCTTTTGCCTTTTGCTTTGTGATCTTTGTTCTCCTTTTTGCCCTTTGAAGCATGTGATCTTTGTGACCTACTCCCTGTTCTTGCACCCCCTCCGCTTTTGAAATCCTTAATAAAACTTGCTGGCTTTAAGGCTCAAGTGGGCATCACGGTCCTACCGATATGTGATGTCACCCCCGGAGGCCCAGCTGTAAAATTCCTCTCTTTGTACTCTTTCTCTTTATTTCTCAGCTGGCCGACACTTATGGAAAATAGAAAGAACCTATGTTGAAATATTGGGAGCTGGTTCCCCCGATACCTTTACCTGCCTAAACTCCGAACCCACCAAAGAATAAAGCAATGATCTTTGGTCTCCTCCCTGGGTTTTCATTCACTGAACTCATATTGCAAGAACAAAGCCTGAAGTCCGCCAACACACCTGGACAGACTTGTCATGAACCATTGTCTGCTCTTCAGGCCCTACAGAATTTGTCCCAGGCCATTGTATGTTCTTCAAATCCTGTATTCCAGGGTTCTCCAGCCCCTGGACCATGGACTGGTACTGGTCCATGGCTTGTTAGGAACTGGGCCAGACAGCAGGAGGTGAGTGGTGCGCGAGCCAGCAAAGCTTCATCTGTATTTACAGCTGCTCCTCGTTGCTCACGTTACTGCCTGAGCTCTGCCTCCTGTCGGGTCAGCAGTGGCATTAGATTCTCATAGGAGCATGAGCCCTATTGTGAACTGCGCATATGAGGGATCTAGGCTGTGTACTCCTTATGAGAATCTAATGCCTGATGATCTGTCACTGTCTCCCATCTCCCCCATATAGGACCATCTAGTTGCAAGAAAACAAGCTCAGGGCTCCTACATGATGGTGAGTTGTACAATTATTTCATTATATATTACAATGTAATAATAATAGAAATAAAGTGCACAGTAAATGTAATGAGCTTGAATCATCCCCAAATTATCCCCATCCCCTGTCCACGAAATTGGTCCCTGGTGCCAAAAAGGTTGGGGATCGCTGCTGTATTCCCCTAAAAATCATTTATTATCCTCCTAAAATCATCCATATTTCCCTATCTCCCTTTCCTCTAAGAAGTAGGGTACGTAAGCATTTGTACCCCATTGAGTATCAAATTTGTATGCCATTTCTCCTATTTAAAGAACAATTGTAGGCCAGGCATGGTGGCTCATGCCTGTAATCCTGGCACTTTGGGAGGCCAAGGTGGGTGGATCACTTGAGCTCAGGAGTTTGAGACTAGCCTGGCCAACATGGTGAAACCCCGTCTCTACTAAAAATACAAAAGTTAGTGTGGCAGGCGCCTGTAGTCCCAGCTACTTGGGAAGCTGAAGCAAAAGAATTGCTTTAACCTGGGAGGTGGAGGTTGCAGTGAGCGGAGATCGTGCCACTGCACTCCAGCCTGGGCAACAGAGTGAGACTCCACCTCAAAAAAAACCAAAATAAAACAAACAAACAAAAAAAAAAACAAATAAAAAAAACCAATTGTAGAGATGGGGTATTGTTATGTTGCCCAGGCTGGTCTCAAACTCCTGGCCTCAGGCCATCTTCCCTCCTTGGCCTCCACTACACCAGGCCTCCATTTCTATCAGTCTGCTTTTTGTGAGCTGATTTTTCAGCAAACATTCAGAGGGCAAAGGGGAAGTCTCCCCATGGTCCATATAGGCACCTTCTTTCATCCCCCTCCCCATCTTCCCAATATTTTAATATATAGATAAATCAATGCTTACATTATCACGATCAGGTAAGTATTCTTCATAGCTGAGCCATGGTGTTTTCTGTACTAGGCTCCAACAGACCAACCCAAAGTAGAGTCACTCATGCTGTTTCCACGTCATGAAGCTAAAACCTAAGCTGTTTACTTGTCTCCTGAAATAATTGCCTTCTATTTTGTTTGATTGTTTACTCAGTTTCCTACATACCTAACAATAATCAGTTTCAAAACTATCCAACAAAACTTTAAAACTCTTCTTTCTTTTTTTTTTTTTAAGATGGAGTCTCGCTCTGTTGCCCAGGCTGGAGTGCAGTGGTGCGATCTCGGCTCACTGCAGCCTCCACCTCCCAGGTTCAAGCAATTCTCCTGGCTTAGCCTCCCAAATAGTTGGGAGCTTTAGGTGCCTGCCACCACGCCCAGCTAATTTGTGTATTTTTAGTAGAGACAGGGTTTTGCCATGTTGGCCAGGCTGGTCTTGAACTCCTGCCCTCAAATGATCCACCCACCTTGGCCTCCCAAAGGGCAGGGATTACAGGCGTGAGCCACTGTGCCCAGTAAAACTCTTCTTTTTACTCACTGTGCAAGGCACTTAATTTTGTTTTAAACCTATAATCCATATCCTATCATTTGGAGACATTTTCTTGAATAACTTATTTGATGATTTTTTTTCCTGCATTTTTTTTGGGGGGGGATCTTGTTTTATTTGGACCTTGTACCAAATGTCTTCTGTTTCCTTTTCTAGAACTTTCCCCCTCTCTGCCCTCCTTTTTTTTGGTGTCCTCTTCAATTTCCATCATCAGTGTTTTATAGTTTTTATTATAGAAATATTTCACTTCTTTGGTTAGTTAATTCCCTGGTGTTTAATTTTATTTGTGGCTGTTGTAATGGGATTACATTTTAAATTTATTTTTCCGATTGTTTGCTATTGGCAAATAGAAATCCTACTGATTTTTGCATGTTAATTTTGTATCTTGCAACTTTACTGATCAGTTTTAATAGTTTTCTCGTGGAGTTAATTATATTATCTCTGTATTTTTAGGTCTGTTGGAAAATTTAGATGATAAGTTTTTAAAAAGACTGAGGAATATCTGCTTTTGACAGTGGCAGACTAGGTTGTTTTAGGCTGAACTTCCAATGTGAACAAAAAACAATGGAATACACACACACCCACGTACACACATGCACACATGCACATGCACACACACTACATGCATGCACCCACACACACGCATGCACACATATGCATGCACACACACATACACGCATGTACACATGCACACACACACACACAGAGGGAAATCCAGAGAGGAGAGCCTGGCATCGGTCCCTCCTTTTACTTGGGGGTGATTTTAATTCAAAAGTAGGCTGGGTCCGGTGGCTCATGCCTGTAATCCCAGCACTCTGGGAGGCCGAGGCAGGCAGATCACCTGAGTTCAGGAGTTCGAGACCAGCCTGCCCAACATGGCAAAACCCCGCCTCTTCTAAAAATACAAAAAATTAGCTGGGCATCGTGGCGGGCGCCTGTAATCCCAGCTACTTGGGAGGCTGAGACAGGAGAATCACTTGAACCTGGGAGGTGGAGGTTGCGGTGAGCAGAGATCACACCAGTGCACTCCAGCTTGGGCGACAAGAGTGAAACTCCATCTCAAAAAACAAAAAAACAAAAAACCCCACAGAAGTAGTGGTTTGAAAGAGTGAAGCTGAGCAAAGATTTATCAGATGCTTGGGGCTGGAAGAGAAAAAATTAGATTTCAAGGCCCATCCAGGAGGGTCCTGGTAAGTATCCCAGACTTTCGTGGCGCCCTGAAGAACCACACTCCAGTAGCGAAGACTGAACAGAAATAACCCAGCTCTTAGAAAGAACCATGGCCACCACCAAATCTTTTAAGTCCTTGACTGGGTTAGGACCTGGGTTCCTAAACAAAACTCCAAGGCACCGCAGGACGCCCAGTGAGCTCACAGGGTGCAGTGGGATGTTTGAAAATTTTGAGGAGTCTGGCCTGGCGGCCTGCAGTCCCAGCCACGTGGGAGGTTGAGGTGGGAGGATCACTTGAGCCCCCAGGAATTTGAGGTCAGCCTGGGCTGCATAGCAACACCTTGTCTCTAAAAAAAATTTAATTTAATTTAAAAAATCTTTTTTTTTGAGGGAAGAACATTAACCTCTGTCAGACATAACATGAACTTCTTTTTTAAACTTATTATCTATTTATTTATTTGTGTTGATTTTTCATTATTTCTTCAGAACAGAATGAACTCCTATCTTGAGGTAGTTCCCAGTGTCAACTAAGATTGTGGGACTGTCCTCTGAATGACTTCGTGTCTTTGCAGAGCTTCGCTTCCAGCAGTCGCTGTGATAGAGACTTTGAGCTACGTGGAGATCCGTGTGGAGCTGGAAGTGAAGATGATGGCGTCCAATCCACCTCCAAGGCTTAAAAAGTTGTGCAGCGCCCAACGGACACCACATTCCATTGGGAAGTGATTATGGTAGTATGGTAGTTTAAGAATGAAACAAAATATTTTTAATTTATGGGGATCATTTTTTGAATGTCTACTAAGTTGTTAGAATATGAATACTTCAGTTGTTTGTACTTAACTGTCTAATACATGGAACCTCTATCTATTTCTTTTGGCCTAGGAGGGCCGTGAAAAAATTAGGGGGACACTCAAGGTGTTGTCACTGGAGACAGTTTGGGAGCCCCTGGATTATGATGATCAGAGATTGCTTGCTACCTTCTAGCAGCAAAAAGAAATCCTGCTGGGCATGGTGGCTCACGCCTATAGTCCCAGCACTTTGGGAGGCTGAGGCCAGTGGATCACTTGAGGTCAGGAGTTGGAGACCAGCCTGGCCAACATGGTGAAACCCCATCTCTACTAAAAATACAAAAATTAGCTGGATGTGGTGGCTTGTGCCTGTAATCCCAGCTACTGGGGAGGCTGAGGCAGGAGAATGGCTTGAACTCAGGAGTTGGAGGTTGCAGTGAGCCGAGATCACACCACTGCACTCCAGCCTGGGCAACAGAGCAAGACTCCGTCTCAAAAAAAAAAATTCCTTTCTGGATAAAAATAACAGTTCAGAGTCTCAAATTATCTCTATCATTTTCCACACACAGTGCTTGGCAGTCAATAAATGGGCTCTGGAGTAAGAAAAAGACAAGACAGGGGTGAAAACCTGGGAGAAAAATCAGACAATCAGACAATAGAAACAGACCCACGAGGATCCTGATCATGGAATTATCCATGATGAATGCGATCAAGGATGAAAAGGCAAGATTAAGAATTTTTGGCAGAGAACTGGAAAGTATAAAAAAAGAACCAAGTGGAAATTCTGTGAAAAGTGAAAAGTACAGAAACTGAAAATACCGCTGGTGGGTCTGATAGCAGGAAATGTACAAATGAAAGGCATAGAAGAAAATAGTCTGGACAGAAGCACAGAGAGACAAGAGGGGGGAATCGCAGGGTAGAGTTTAAAGAAAATATGGGATAGAATGAAAAGAGCAAACATACCTATAATTGGGGTCACAAAACAGGAGGAGAAAAAATGTGGCAGAAGCAATATTTAAAAACTGAGAGTTCACCAACACTGACAAAAGGCATTCAGGTGTAGATATAATCATCCTTACAAACTCCGCCAGGGAACCTCCTGAGAAAAGAAGCCCCTGCCGTTACTGAGGTGATGGTTATGATCCATTATATTCTCCCTCCCCACACCTGCGCCCTGTGCTTTTGTTGCCCTTAGTACACTTTGCCCTTTTTTTTCTTTTTTTTTTGATGGAGACTCACTCTGTTGCCCAGGCTGGAGTGCAGGAGCGATCTCGGCTCACTGCAACCTCTGCCTCCCGGGTTCAAGCAATTCCCCTGCTTCAGCCTCCCAAGTAGCTGGGACTACAGGCACACGCCGCCACGCCTGGCTAATTTTTTGTATTTTAGTAGAGATAGGGTTTCACCATGTTGGCCAGGATGGTCTCGATTTCCTGACCTTGTGATCTGCCCGCCTCAGCCTCCCAAAGTGCTGGGATTATGGGCGTGAGACACCACGCTTGGCCACTTTGTCCTCATATTTATTTATTTTTTGTACTTCTTAAAAATTTTTTTAATTAAAAAAAAAATAGAGACAGGGTCTTTCTATGTTGCCCAGACTAGTTTTGAACTCCTGGGCTCAAGTGATCCTCCTGCCTTGGCATCCCAAAGTGCTGGGACTACAGACATGAGCCTGTCCTCATATTTACTGATGAGTGTATTAGTGCTATAATGATATGTAGCAAATAACTCCAAAACATATTGGCTTAAAACCACATAATTACTTATCATGTGCCATGGTGTCCTTGGTTTAGGTGTCAGGAGAGGTTTAGCTGGGTGGTTCTGGCCTCTCAGGAGGCTGCAGCTGGGCCAGCTGTCAACCAGGGAGGCGGTTCACTGAAGGCTGAGCTGGGCCTTGTAGGTCCTCTTCCAAGGTGGCAAGTTGGTGCTGGCGATCGACAGGAGGCCTCAGTTTCCCTTCGCAAGGGTCTTGCCATGGGGCTGCTTGCATGTCTTCGTGGTGTGGCAGCCAGCTTCCTCCAGAACGAGTGAGCCTGGAGTCAGAGGCAGAGGCCAGGATGCCTTTGTGACCTTGATGTGAAGGTCACACACTAGCATGTCTACCGAGTTGTGTTGGTCACATAGGTCAGTCTTTTTTTTGAGACGGTCTTGCTTGATTGCCCAGGCTAGAGTGCAGCTAGATCAGCTAGGGGCTTGATCATGGCTCACTGCAGCCTTGACCTCTCAGGCTCAAGGGATCCTCCCGTCTCAGTCTTCCAAGTAACTGGGACCACAGGCATGCGCCACCATGCTTGGCTACTTAATTTTTTTTTTTTTTTTTAGAGATAGGGTCTTGCTCTATGGCCCAGGCTGGCTTTGAATTTATTTTTATATTATTGTGGTAAAATATATATCACAAACCATGCCATGCTAATCCTTTTCAGATGTGCAATTCAGTGGTGTGAATTATATTCACAATGTACAACCATCACTACATCTACTTCCAAAACCTTCCCACCACTCCATGTAGAAACTCTGTATCCATTAATCAATAACTCCCATTCCCCCATCTCTCCCCATCCCTGGTAGCCCCTAATCTGCTTTCTGTCTCTGTGAATTCTGCCTATTCTAGGAACCTCATTTAAGTAGAATCCTGTGGTTTTTGTCCTTTAGTGCCTGTGTTATTTCACTCAACATAATGTTTCCGAAGTTCCTCCATGTTGTAACATGTGTCAGCATTTTGTTCCTTTTCATAGCTGAGTGCTATTCCATTGTATGGACATACCACATCTCCTCCATCCATTCATCGGTTGATAGGCCAGCCCCACATCAACAAGAGATGCAACTCCATGGGGTTGTGAACATCACCAGGATGTGGGGCTCACTGGGGGCCATCCTAGGGGACGGCTGCCCTAGTAGATTTTGTGTTCAAAGCCAAGTCTCCACTAGAATTTCACCTTCACGGGGTCAAGAACCCAGTCTGCATTTTTACCCCAGTTCGCAGCAGAGGGCCTGACATGAAGCAGATGTGCAGTTGAGGAGGCAGCCCACTCACTGGGGAGCTGCAGAGGGAGACGGTGCTGGTTGCTGGGGTCCAGGAAGCTTCTGGAATGAAGGAACAACAGAACTAGGTAAATTTGACTTGAGTGACAATTTGACTTTTGGGGACAAGATGAGAATGTGACCAAAGTCAGCATATGTAGAGATGGAAAGGACCCCAGAGATCATCCAGGCCAACACCCTTGTTACGTTTCAGGTAAAGAGGTGCGTCCATTTCCTGGGGCTGCCGTGGCAAAGTGCCGCTCACCGGGTGGCTTCGTGCACTTGAAATGTGCTCTCACACAGCTCTGGAGGCCAGAGGCCTGAGATCAAGGTGTTGGCAGGGTTGCTTCCTTCTACAGCCACCCAGGCTACGGCTGGGCCAGCTGTCAGCCAGGGAGGCGGCCACCTGAAGGCTGAGCTGGGCCTGGTGTGTCCTCTTCCAAGGTGGCAAGTGGTGCTGGGATTATCTAGCCCAGGCCTCCCTCCCGGCTTCTGGTGGCCTGATGGGCATCTTCCATGTTCCTTGGCCTGTGGAAACATCACTCCAGTCTCTGCCTCCACCGTCACATGTGTCTCTTCATCTCTCTTATAAGGACACTAGTCATATTGGGTTAGAGGTCCACACTGCTCCAGTATGACCTCATCTTAATTTAACTAATTACATCTGCAACAACTCTATATTTTCCGTTTTTTTTTTTTTTTTTTTTTTTTTTTTTGAGACAGAGTCTCATTCTTTCACCTAGGCCGGAGTGCAGTGGTACAATCTTGGCTCACTGCAACCTCCGCCTCCTGGGTTCAAGCAATTCTCGTGCCTCAGCATCCTGAATAGCTGGGACTATAGGCGTGCACCACCATGCCCGGCTAATTTTTATACTTTTTAGTAGAGTTGGGGTTTCACCATGTTGGCCAGGATGGTCTTGAATTACTGGCCTCAATTGATCTGCCTGCCTCAGTCTCCCAAAGTGCTAGGATTACAGGTGTGAGCCACCGCCTGTATTTTCCCCTTCCTCACTCCCTTCTTTCCTTCCTTCCTTCCTTTCTCTCCCTCTTTCTCTCTCTCTCTCCCTCTCCCTCTCCCTCTCTCTCTCTCTCTCTCCTTTCTTTGATGGAGTCTTGCTCTGTCACCCAGGCTGGAGTGCAATGGTGTGATCTTGGCTCACTGCCACCTCCGCCTCCTGGGTTCAAGTGATTCTCCTACCTCAGCCTCCTGATAGCTGGGATTACAGGCACCTGCTACCACACACAGCTAATTTTTGTAGTTTTAGTAGAGATAGGGTTTCACCATGTTGGCCAGGCTGGTCTTGAACTCCTGACCTTAGGTGATCCGCCCGCCTTCGCCTCCCAAAGTGCTGGGATTACAGGTATGAGCCACCATGCCTGGTCTATATTTTCAAAGAAGGTCACATTCTGAGGTACTGGGGGGTAGGACTTCAACATATCTTTTTTTGGGGGAAACACAGTTCAAGCCATAAGAAAGAGAATGTGCCCTGTTTAAATCTCACAGCTAATTCATCAGGTCTTTGGAAGACCCAGGACTCACTTCTGTCTGCCTCTGATGTCTAATTAATACCAAATTCTCTTCCTTATTCATGAAATTCTAGCAGGGTCTGGCTTCTCTGCCATTCCTGTGTACCTATTATTCAGAAAAAGTAAGGCTCGCGTGGCAGATGGAAAGAAAGATCAGCCAGTTGTCACTGTAGTGTGTTGTTTTCTGCAAGACAGCCATAGGTGCCACAAACAAGGAGACAAAACAGTTGCTTAAGAAAAATGCAGCTCTGACAGCCCTGCCAACGAGCCCTCTGGCTTTACGTAGACATTTCCACTCCATGGCACCCGGAGAGTGTTAATGGATCTGTGTGTTGCTGCGCTGAACCCTGGCAAGGGCGACGGTTTCTCAGACAAAGAAGGTGGCTGCAGTGTCAGCCAAGAGATTGCAAATCTGCAAAGTCGGAAATGCTGAAGGATGCTGGGTCAGCCATCCCGAGAGATGCGTGTCCACACGGCAGGTGGCTGGATGTGGGGTCAGGGCAGGCTCACAGCCTGACCAGGAGAGTTTGTTTCTTGTTTGAGCCAGACGGTAGGGTTACTTAGATGTCTGCTCTGCACTGGGCGTTTGTGTGACAGGGACGAGGGGCAGGCTGGCTTCAGGAACATGTGACTGTGCAGTCACAGCCACACAGGGACTGGTGCGTGGAAGGGCCCTGAGCTGGCTTTGATCCTCTGCTGTCACTGTCTTCATGATATTCGAAGAAGGGGCTTGCATTTTCATTTTGTACTTGGCCCTGCAAATTATATAGTAGGTCCTGACAAGGCCTCTGTCTTGGTTTCCTGTCCTCATTGCTTGATTATTTGTGAGGCAGGCGGTGCCTCTGACAGTCTTAAGCCCATGCTTTGATGTCTCAGAGAACCCATAGCCAGAGGAAGACACGAGGCTGGAGGTCAGGACCCCCATAGGCTTGAGTTTCAACATTGCCAGCAACTTTAGTAGCTACAAGATCTTGGGCAGGGCATTTAGCCTGTGTGGGACTCAGTTTCTTCATCTGTAAAAAGGACATGCTAATAACAGCCCTACCAAACTCACAGAATTGCTATGAGAGTTACTTCTTGAGAGTAAGGACTCAACTTCTCCATTTTGTACCTGTGTGAAATTCCGCCCAGCATCCTGCATTTAGGAACAGTGCCTACTTGATGATTTAAAACATGAGATAATGGGGGAAACCTCTCAGGCAAAGCATCAGAAATGATGGACTGGCATTATGTTTTCTCATAACACGCTGACGTCTTGTGCAAATCTGCCATCTGGACACTGCTGCTAAGAGGGAGACAGAGCCTGCTCACTTTGGGACATGTCCTTGAAAGCGTCCCGCTGTGGGTACATGGAACGCTGAGACATCCTACATGAGCGCTCTCCTCTGTCGCTGAACTTTAACTATCCAGCCCATCCCTTGGAGTGGCATCATGTTTGTCATAGCAGTGACCACCTTTGTGAATGCAAACCATGTGTGAGAGTTTATTTCATTCTCATCACAGCCCTATTATTCTTACTCCATTTGACAGATGAGGCTCTGTCTCAGGGGACCTGTTCCCATCCCACAGCCGAGAGGTGGCAGAGTCAAGGCTGGAACCCGGGTCTGTCTGGTAGCACAGTCTGGAGTCCTGTGACCTGGGCTGGACACGCCTCTGTGAAGTGTGCTCCCTGGGCTTGGCTCTCACTAGGGGTGTTCACTAGGGGTCACTCAGCAAGTTTGCCTAAGATGGCCAGTTTCTTGGGTTTTAGCCTCCCACGTTTCTAGAGGCTTCTTAGAGACTGCCAGTAACTGTGCCATCCCCTCGGAGGGTCTAGGAAGCCTCATCATTTGTTTGTTATTTGGGTAACAGCTTGATTGAGATATAATTCACATGCCATACAATGAAGTCATTTAAAGTGTACAATTTACTGGTTCTTACTGTATTTGGAGTTGTGCAAGTATGACCTCGTTTCATTTTAGAACATTTTCATCACCCCAAAGAGAAACCTCATGCCTATCACAGTCTCTCCCCATTCCCCTCGCCGTGCAACCACGAATCTACTTTTTTCTCTGTGGATTTGCTAATTCAGAATCCTTCATATCAACGGTTCACACAATATGGGGCCTTCTATGTCTGGTGTCTTTTGTAGCATAACGTCGTCAGCGTTCATCTATGCCGTTGTGCGTGTCAGCACTTCCTTCCTCTCTAAGGCCGAATCACGTTCTGTCGCATGGATGGACCACATTTCGTTTATCCAGTCATCAGTTGATGGACTTGGGGCTATGATGAATCGTGCTGCCATGAACATTTGTGTACTGGTTTTGATGTGGATATGCATTTTCGTTTATGATTCATTTTTATATGATTGCTTTCTAGAAGCCAAATATGGTCTCTGGAGGACTCTCATGGAAGACGCTGAGTAAACCAGAAACAAGTTTGGGCTCAAGTTTCTTGTCTGTAAGACAGGTCTGGGAAGAGCAGTGTGTGTGTGTTTGTGTGTGTGTTTCTGTGTATGTGCATGGAGAGGACAGGTGTGTGTCTTTCTGTTTGTCCAGTGGGGCAAGGGTTGGGGGGGTGTCTAGTCAGGAGGGGAGCTGGAGAGGCACTCACAACAGAAGGAAACTCTTGGAGGAGGAGTGATGGATAGTCGACCCCTCTCCTCTCCTCTCTCACCTCCTTTTTGCTGAGCTGGTGAAAGCTACAGGTGAGGAGGGTTTAAGGGAATTTGAGCACAGGCCTCAGCTTGGCCCAGTTTGACTTGGAAAGAGGATGTGGAATCACCCATCAGTAGGTCAGCCAGCAGGGATTGCCTCCCTGTTGCCCCCATGGTCCTATTTCAACAGCAGTCTGGAATGGCCCCTGAATCTATAGAGTGTGGCGCTGCTGCCAGAGACCTCCCCTGGAGAGCAGGAAGATGTAATGGTTCCATCTTTCACCGTCCGCCATGTTTCAGGATGACAGACATATCTGGCTCTTATAGGAGTGATTCTAATTTGGTGAAAATCATCTGGATTCTTCAAACACAGCTTGGCACCGTGGAAGGAGGAAAAGCTGTGAGGTTGGACAGGCCTGACTCAAGCCCTGGATCAGTCACTCATTAGTGCCCATTAGCATGACTCTTAGTAGGTCACTTACCCTCTGTAAGCCTCATTCTTTTCATCTGTCAAGTGAGGATAATGGTTCTTATTGGTAGGATTGTTGAGGGCACCAGATGATGAGCACTAACTGCTTGTAGAGTCAACAGTCAATGAATGGTCACTGGTTATGGTAGAAAAATGCTGAGTGGCCGGGCATGGTGGCTCATACCTGTAATCCCAGAACTTTGGGAGGTTAAAGCGGGTGGATTGTTTGAGCCCAGGAGTTTGAGACCAGCCTGGGCAACATGGCAAAACCCTGTCTCTACAAAAAATAGAAAAAATAGCTGGGCATGGTGGTACTTGCCAGTAGTCCCAGCTGCTTGGGAGCTGAGGTGGGAGGATCACCTGAGCCTGAGGAGATTGAGGCTGCGGTGAGCCGTGATGGTGCCACTGCACTCCAGTGTACAGAGAGAGACCCTGTCTCAGAAAAAAAAAAGACAATGCCGAGGGACCTGCTTAAGACACACCTGCTCTGCTGGGTCAGTCTCACCTGACCTGTGGGCAGAAGGCAGAGAATGAGGTTTCTTCTGCTTTTCAATGGACACATCTCTTCCACCGGTGATCCTTCCGCTGCATCTCCATAAACCCGTGCATCTCCAGGGGACTCTGCATTTTAACTTGATGAGGTTTAGTAAGTTTTATTGCATGTCTGAGCCACATTTGATTTGTTTACAAATAGTTATCAGCACATACTGACCCATTTTCTAGGCCTGCCTCTCTCATGGGTATAGAGAAGGCAAAGTATTGGAAAGGTGTATATGCAAACGCTCTTCACAAATGGATTTGAGACTGGGGGAAAAATTGACTCAAGGGTCTGCCGATGTGGGTTTCAGTTTTGATGTCACTACTATTTTTTTATTTTTACTTTTTTATTTTTATTTTTTTTGAGATGGAGTCTCACTTGTTGCCCAGGCTGGAGTGCAGTGGTGCAATCTCAGCTCACTGCAACCTCCTCTTCCCAGGTTCAAGCAATTCTCCTGCCTCAGCTTCCTGAGTAGTTGGGATTACAGGCATGCACCACCATGTCCAGCTAACTTTTATATTTTTAGTAGAGGCTGGGTTTCACCTTGCTGGCCAGGCTGGTCTCGAACTCCTGACGACCTCAGGTGATCTGCCTGCCTTGGCCTCCCAAAATGCTGGGATTACAGGTGTGAGCCACTGTGCCCGGCCGCTGCTGCTATTTCAGGAAAGTCAAGCAATCTTTGAATCATAGTTTCCTTGCATTGGTAAAATAAGGGAGTTGAATTAAGTGGTTTTTAAGATCCCTCACCAGTCCTAACTCTCTAGAAGAATTCAGGGTGACTTTTTGGTGCAGGCAGTCCTCTGCTGCACAGGTCCACATCTGTCTTCCTTCCACAGAGGGTGGGACACACAGCCTGGCATATGGGACACACTGTTTAGACCTCCCGATTTCAGGTCTTAATTACTCAGTGTTCACATTTTCCTTCCACTGTTGGCTTTCTCTCCACATATGATGAAACTCCATGGTCAGCACTGGAAGAGGCGAGAGGCGTTTTCATCTGGATGTGGGTGAAGGGTGGACAAGGTAACAGCACTGGGAAACTTTTTCTCCTTCTCATTGAGCACAGTGTGAATGTCTATGTCACTTCATTTGCTTTTAATTTCTATTAAGGAAATTTTAAACATACGCAAAGGTAGAGAGAAGAGTGTGATGAATGTCAAATACTCATTGCCCAACTTGAAGAGTTATTAACATTTTCCCACCTTGTCTCTTGTCCATCTTGTCAGCCATCTATCCTCCTCTTCCAACACACTTTATTTTTATTTACTTTTATTTCATTTCATTTCAATTTCTTTTCTTTTCTTTTCTTTTTTTTTTGAGATGAATTTTCACTCTTGTTGCCCAGGCTGGAGTGCAATGGCGTGTTCTCGGCTCACTGCAACTTCCGCCTCCCGGGTTCAGGTGATTCTTCTGCTTCATCCTCCCAAGTAGCTGGGATTACAGGTGTCTGCCATTACTCCAGGCTAATTTTTTTTTTTTTTTTGTATTTTTAGTAGAGACAGGGTTTCACTCTATTGGCCAGACTGGTCTCGAACTCCTGACCTCAGGTGATCCACCGGCCTAGGCCTCCCAAAGTGCTGGGATTACACGCGTGAGCCACCGTGCCCAAGCTGATTCCATTTTCTTTTATTGCAAACCTTAGGCATCTTATCAGTTCACCTGTAGTTCAGGATATATCTCCAATGAACATATATTATAAAATATATGTCTGTTATATAATATATACTTTATATAACCATATAAATATAGTATATATACATTATATAATGTAGAATGTCAGATACATTATAACTCTAATGTCATTATTACTCCTAACAAATTTAACAGTGTTATTTGTACCCAGTCCATATTCAAACTTCACTGGGGTGTTTTAAAAACTGTCCAAATTGTGAAGAATTGGTTGGCCTATCCAATTATTTATTCATCCATTCATTCATTCAACTGATACTATGACGTCTTTAACTTGGCCAGGTCTTACAGGAGCTCATTTTTGTATAGGGAAGACAAACAAATTCACAATTGTAAAATAGTGGGATAAATGCAGAGTAGAGTTTGGTACAAGGCATGACCATGTCACAAAGAAGGGCACAATCAGTTCTGTGGGAGGTTGGGGGGGTGCGGTCATGGAGGGCTTCAAGCAGGATGAGGATCATGGGCTGAAGTTGGAAGCCTGGCCAGGTGCTGGGAGCGGGCGATGGAGGAAGAATGCGCTAGAGAAAGTGTGGGAAACGTGTGGGCACTTAGCACCGTGAAATAGCACCAGGCAATGTCTGCTTAACTAATATGATGCCAGGTGCTTTTCTGAGTCAGTGAACAAAATTGACAGAAATCCCTAACCTGGCAGAGCTTATATTCTTGTGGGGGAGGACTGACAATAACATAATAAATGAATATATACAGCATGTCAAAAATAAGGGCTATGGAAAAGAAAAACACAGACAAACAAGGGACGGGGTGAAGAGGGCTGGGGTGTTTCGCAAGTTAACACAGGATGGTTAGGGTAGGGTGGCAGAAAATGAACAGGGGCTCACAGTTCCCTTTTTCCTTCCTTTGCACACAAGGTCATGTTTCTCAGCCTTCTGCACCGTTAGACTGGGACAATCGGCCTGGGGTCTGGTGAATAGAATGTAGATGGAAGTAATGCATGCCACGTCCAGGCCTGGGCGTCATGTCCTGAGTGTTCTTTCTCCTCCCTCCACCATGACCTCGGCTGTCACATACTGGAGATGAGATAACACAGCCCAGCTCCCAGAGTCACCAGTTAAGAACTGCATTACAGGCCGGGCGTGGTGGCTAACGCCTGTAATCCCAGCACTTTAGGAGGCCAAGGCAGGTGGATCACCTGAGATCAGGAGTTCGAGACCAGCCTGACCAATGTGGTGAAACCCTGTCTCTACTAAAAATACAAAAATTAGCTGGGCATGGTGGCGCACACCTGTAATCCCAGCTACTCAGGAGGCTGAGGCAGGAGAATCGCTGGAAGCTGGGAGGCAGGGGTTGCGGTGAGCTGAGATTGTGCCACAGCACTCCAGCCAGGCGACACAGAGTGAGACTCAGTCTCAAAAAAAAAAAAAAAAAAAAAAAAAGAGAGAACTGCATTACAAACCCTGAGTGTGAAGCTAACGTACACATCAAAGTTGCTGTCTACCCTCCTACCAATATCTGCCCACTCTATGACCCTCTTTCCATCTTTTCTTCTCTGTGTGTGTGTGTTTAAGGAGTTAACATCTTCAATATATAAAGAGTTCATAAAAATCAACAAGAAAAATATTAACCCTCTGTAAGAAAAATGAGTAAAGAACTTACAAAGTTGGCCAGGTGCAGTGGCTCATTCCTGTAATCCCAGCACTTTGGGAGGCTGAGGCGGGCAGATCACGAGGTCAGGAGATCAAGACCATCCTGGCTAACATGGTGAAAACTCGTCTCTACTAAAAGTACAAAAAAGATTAGCTGGGTGTGGTGGTGGGTGCCTGTAGTCCCAGCTACTCAGGAGGCTGAGACAGGAGAATCTCTTGAACCCGGGAGGCGGAGGTTGCAGTGAGCCGACATCCCACCACTGCACTCCAGCCTGGGCGACAGAGTGAGAGTCTGTCTCAAAAAAGAACTTACAAAGTAAAACAACATATAGACGTAATAGAAATATCCAAAAAACTCTATATATGTTCTACAGTTTCAAGTAAATAGAATCATAGAAGTCAGAAATCAGTACATAGAAAAACTGTGACTTCATTATTAATGAAATGCTACCACCAAATACATTTTTTTGCAAGCTGGCTATGTTTTTGAAATGAATATATGCAGTATTGCTGAGGCTGCAATGAAATACTTCCTACACATTGCTGATGAAAGCATGCATTGGTAAAACCTTTCTGGAAGAAAAGTTAGCAATATTTTCTAATAATTTTTAAGAGCCTTAAACACGTTTCTGCTTGGTGCAATGGCTCATGCCTGTAATCCTTGTGCTTTGGGAGGCCAAGTTGGAAGGATCGCTTGAGGCCAGGAGTTCAAGACCAGCCTGGGCAACATAGCAAGACACTATCTCTACCAAAAAAAAAAAAATTAGCCAGGCATGGTGGTGTGCACCTGTAGTCCTAGCTACTCTAGAGGCTGAGGTGGGAGGATTGCTTGAGCCCAGGAGATGGAGGCTGCAATGAGTTGTGACTGCGCCACTGCACTCCAGCCTTGGTGACAGAGCAAAACCCTGTCTCAAAAAGACAAATAACCAACAACAACAAACAACCTGTTCCTGCCTTTTGACCTCATTGATAAGACTTTCAGGAGTTTAAATAAGCAGAGATGTATTCAACAATCTATGCATACAACAACAGATTTCCATAAGTTTTTAAAGAAATCGAAGTATCTTTATACTTTTGGCTGAGATAAAAAATTCACATTTTTCCAGTTGGCATGTGTTACTTTTATCATTAACAACTCATTACAAGTCTTTAAAAGACTGTTTTCTTTTTCTTCTACTGTGTTTTGTAGCTTCTTCTCAGAGCCAGGACAATGAGGACAGGCTGAGGGATGTCAGACCATAGCCTTGTCTCCCGCGGGCCAGGCAGAGCATCCCAGGACACCCACCTTCACAGTGAGCACTGTCCTTCATGAACAATTCACCGATTAACAACCTCGGGCCCCAGGAAGTTACACTGTGCCCAAGTTCTTCCGGAGGCCACAACAATAAATCCAAGCCACCGCTAATGTTATTTATAAGCTGTGGGATTAAAACAGAAAAAAATCAATTAATTAAGATTAGCCCTTTATCGAGACTGTTAGCATCTTACTTTCTCAGAACCGAGACCATGTAAGTGACCAATTCTTCTCTAAGAGAATGAAAGAGTTTGCCATTTTTACTGTAATAAAAGGTTTTCACTCAGATGGATTCAAAATGGTCTTAGTCTAAGAGATAAAGCCTAAAAGAATGCTTTATTCTCTAAGAAAAACCACCTCTTATATCACAATGGTCAAGCTATGCCAGTAAGCTGAGTCTCAGTTTCTACGTTTATAAAATGAGAAAAATACTACTTGCTCCACAGGGCCATTGTGAAGATGAAATGGGAGAACACAAGGCAAAGACCTGATGCAGGGCCTAGGACATGGAAGTCCCCAGCAAAGATTTCCTCCTTCCTTGGGACAAGGCAGTACTGAACAGTACAGAAAGGAGAATGAAAAGTAGGAAGAAGAAATTAAGATCTTGAAGCAGTCACACAAAACAGAATCCCAAAGTAATATAACCAAAAGGGATTTAGGTGTGTTTTACAGAAAATGTTTAAGAGGGATGATTGGAAAGTATTATGTAGATATATTTGTGTATGATATGCTTCTGCAATAGATACAGTCAGAATTTGGAATCAGAATTTCTGGGCTCCAGGAATTACTATTTTAATTTTTTCTACCAAAGTTTAGTTTCTTCTACTCCAGAATTTCATACAAATCGAATCATATGACCGGGCATGGTAGCTCACACCTAAAATCCTGGCACTTTGGGAGGCCAAGACAGGAGGGATTGCTTGCACCTAGGAGTTCGAGACCAGCCTAGGCAACATAATGAGACCCTGTCTCTACAAAAACATTAGCCTGGCATGGTGGCATGCATTTGTACTCCCAGCTACTTGGGAAGCTGAAGCGGGAGGATCACTTGAGCCCGAGAGGTTGAGGCTGCAGTGAGCTGTGATTGCACCACTGCACTCCAGCCTGGGCAACAAGGCAAGACCCTGTATAAAAAAAAAAGAGAGAGAGAGAGAGAGAAATTATAAAGCATAAAGTGTGAAATCTTTTGCATAAGGCCTCTTTTACCAGCATGGTGATTTTGCAATTCATCCGTGTTATTGCATGTACCAGTGGGTGGCTCTTTCTATTGCTGAGACGTATTTCATTGCATGGATATACCACAATTTGTTTATCCCCAATGGACATTTGGGCTCTTTCCAGTATTTGGAAATTATAGATAAATAGATAAAACTGCTACTAATATTTTTGTTCAAGTCTTTTTGTGAACCAGACTTTTTTTACTTTAATAGATAAGTCATGTTACCTTTAAATTGTCATCATTTCCATATGTTTAATAGCTGGTGAGGCTGTGCATTTTTCCCTCTGATGATAATCCCATTTCTTGAGTGCTGGCTATAGTGACAGGTGCTCTAATTTGTCCTCATGAGAATCCTGCAAAGTGGATGTAATCATATCTATATTAGTCTGTTTTCACACTGCTGATAAAGTCATGCCTCAGACTGGGCAATTTACAAAGGAAACAGGCTTAATTGGACTTACAGTTCGACGTGACTGGGGAAGCCTCACAATCATGGCAGAAGGCAAGGAGGAGCAAGTCACATCTCAACATGGATGGCAGCAGGCAAAGAGAGAGAGCTTGTGCAGGGGAACTGCTCTTTTTAAAGCCATCAGATCTCGTGAGACTTATTCACTATCACAAGAACAGCACGAGAAAGCCCCGCCCCCATGATTCAATTACCACTGGGTCCCTCCCACAACACGTGGAAATTGAAGATGAGATTTGGGTGGGGACACAGCCAAACCATATAAATATCCATTTTCCATAAGAAGGGAGAGGCACAGGCTCATCAAGCAAGTTGGGTGTGTGGACTCTGAATTATTACTGAAGCTGGGCTCACTCTAGGCCACACTGTGGCTCCCTTGGGCTGTGACAATGGCTCCTGAGCAAACCAGTTGAACTCATCCTTTGCTCACTTCCTGGAAAGGCATCTAGACCTGCACATTATACATTTCTACCAATTTTAATCATTTGCAGTTAGATTGGTGATATATTTTTCTCAATTCTGTTGTTTTCCTTTAATACATCTTTTGCTATATTTTGTTGCATAAACATTTATTTATTCAGACCCAACTATTTTGTCTGATGACAAGCTCAATTTTTCAAGAGCCAGAAATTTATCTTTGCTCCACTGCTAGAATAAATCTGCAGTTCTGCTTTCTTATTTTTAATGTTTTTTGTGTTTTGCTTTCTGACATATTGGATATGCAGCCACATACCTATGGGAAGTATCTGCTCAATAAATCGCAAAATGGAAATGTGACTTCTGTTTTATACCTGGGAAATAGATGCCAAGATAATCGAACCTGTTTCCTGAAGCTGTATGGGAAGGCCAGTAGGGGAACTTGATTCTTAGTTCACTGTTTTTAGCCCTCAGCAGGGTCTACCTTGGCCCCTGACCACCCCTAGAGGAGGAGCTGTGTTCACCACACTCCGCTTAGAATGGAGCTCTCTGAGAGAAGTGCTGAGAATTACAGAGCATGGGTTCCGGTGCAGGCTTCATTCTTCCTCCTTCTTTACTTCTCTCCTACTTTCTTTCAAGTTTAAAGTTTTAACGATTTCTAAAGTCAACAAAGGACAAACACGCTCAGAGCTGGAAGGAACCTCATAGTCATTCATCCTTTTATCTGGCAAACACTGGCTGAGCTAGGTCTTGTGGGGCCCCAGTCTAGAAAGGCTAGGTCCAGTCCGAATCTATTGAGGGAAATGGACATCGAGACAGAAGGAGAGTAAGGGGATAGAGATTCCTCCAGGGATTAGGGCTGGGGCCCTGGGGCTTCACTCACCCCAACCAACCAGGGGGGCCAAGAAGTGTGCCCTGAGGAGGTGGGGCCCGGGCCAGGCTGGAGGCTGAGCCTCGGGGTCTGGGTGTTGGGTGGAGTGAGCTAGCACAGGAAAACTCCTCCATCCCCCAGGGACACAGCCCCAGGCCAGGCAGGGAGATGAGAAAGGGCCAGTGGGGCGGGTGAGCTTAGGAGCAGTCACTGGAGCTCTTCCCTCTAGGGAGGCGGGGCGGGAAGATGATGCAGGGAGGATGGGAAGGATGCAGGGAGGATGGGAAGGATGCAGGGAGGATGGGAAGGATGCAGGGAGGATGGGAAGGATGCAGGGAGGATGGGAAAGATGCAGGGAGGATGGGAAGATGATGCAGGGAGGATGGGAAGGCCATGTGGGCCTCTCATCTTGCACAGAAGCTCACGGTTCTCCTGGGTAGGGGGAGGGGAGTGGCGTGGCTTACGCCTGGGCTGTAGGAAGAACATTCTGGCTACAGAGGGGAGGGTAAGTTTGAGGAAAATATGGAGAAATGGACATGATTTGAACCATAATAGCTACAGATGTTAAGGCCCAAACTAGGGTAACAGTAAGAATGAAGAGAATAATTGTTTAGGAAGTAAAATCAGCAGGACTTGGGGATAGATTCAGTAATGTGGAGGGGGGTAGAAAGCAAGAGTGAATCCCACACGGGATAGGATGCTGGGGGGGCCTTCTGAGTAAGGAAATGGGAGAAAGTTGCAAATTTGGGGGAAAGATGATTATTTCTATTTTTGACATTCAAGTTTCAGGGTGACTGCAGGCCACGAGGTGGTGACCTCCAAAAGGGAGCTGGATCTTAGAGGGGACGTCTCATCCTGAGATGCATCCTGGGAGCCATCAGCAAATGTGTGGAGGTTCAGTCAGTTGACGTTTGAATTATCCCAGGAGAGTGAGGAGGGGAAGGAGAGAGGGCCAAAGACAGACCCTTCCCTAAGGAGGGGGCAAATGAAAGAAGTGGGAGACTTAGAAGACAGTCTAAGATGTGGGAGGAAAGCAAGAGAGACCACGGAACCTCGTGCAATCGCCCGTTACCCAGAGAGCTGCACGCAGCCGTGACAGGAGGAAAGAGGACTGCAAGCAGGACTGTTTCAGGGAGTGGGGCGTGGCGGGGTGGAGCACAGTTCAGATTGCAGGCAACTGAGTCACAAATAAGAGAAGCTGGAGGTGTAGACCAGAGCGTAGACTTTTAAGAGGTTCGAACAAAAAGCGGAGGAAAGATGATGGGGTGATGACTCTGGAGGGTTAAGGTTGGTCAAGAGCTGAGCCACCTGAAGAGCAGGGCCTGGAGCTGGAGGGGAAGGCCGGTGAGACAGGATCCGGGGAGAGGCTCAGTCAGGGCTGACTCAGGCGGCTGGGAGCTGAGCCCGGGTGGGCTGGCTGTTGACACATTGCAGGCTCGGAGGGGTGGGGGGTACTCGATGACTCAGCGTTCTCAGCTGATCCGGAGGGAGAGCGGCAGAGATGAGGGTGCGTGTGTGGAGGGTGAGATGGCTCCAGGCATGAGTGGGAGAAGCTGAGCCAGGAAAAAGACCAGGCAGTGGCGTGGGCACTGCCACTCACCTCCCTGGGCTGCAGTCCTCACAGCTGCGTGATGGGTAGAGAGGCAGAGAAGGGAGATGGTAGTGTGGTTGGTGCAAACCTCTGTCCTCAAACTCTTATGAGCAAGGAATAACAATCACACAGATAAAAGTGCAGCACCTACTCTTCTACCAGGACTTATTCTCAATATTTTGCATAATACCCACTTAAGCTACACAGGCTGGTGCTAGTAGTATACCACTTTGTGGATGAGAAAATGGCACAGGGAGATTCAGAAGCTTGCCCAAAGCCACCAGCTCCTAGATGGAGGAGCCATGGTACAAACTCAGGCTGGCCAGCCCCAGAGCCCACGCACTGTGCCATCGTGCTGCCTTCCTTCACTTTTTTTTATTTTTAAATTATTGTTATTATTATTATTATTATTTTGAGGCAGAGTCTTACTCTGTTGCCCGGGCTGGAGTGCAGTGGCTCACTGCAACCTCTGCCTCCAGGGTTCAAGCAATTCTCCTGCCTCAGCCTCCCGAGTAGCTGGGATTACAGGTGTGTGCCGCCACACCTGGCTAGTTTTAGTAGAGACGGGGTTTCACCCTGTTGGTCTTAAATTCCTGACCTCAGATGATCCACCCGCCTTGGCCTCCCAAAGTGCTGGGGTTACAGGTGTGAGCCACCGTGCCCAGCGAGCTCTCCTTCATTTTTCTTACTGAACTGGTCTAAATGCCGACTTTGGTCCCCATTCCATTAGGTGGCAGGAGGTTGACCTCAAATGAGTCAGGCCTTCTTCCTGGACCTCCCTGTGGATGCCTCTAGCCTCCTTTCCCACGGCTACAGCTGAGTCCCAGAAAACTTGCTGAGGGCCAGGCCCCCGGGGTGGGGGATGTTTTCAGGGAGAGGGGGATGAGTGTGTACTGGTGGGGGGCCCATGGTGTGCTGAGACATTCTCTACCCCTGCAGGCCTCAGCTGTGGCCTCCTCACCCCTGACTGCAGGTTCTGGCAGTAGAGTTGAGCTCCCTTGCGCCCCTCTTGGTGCTCTGTGAACGTTTCCCTCTTCCGCTGCCTTCCCTGGAGTTCTGGAAGCTCTTACCCTTGCTGCCTCACCCTGTGCGCAGGCCACATCAGCTGCCCCGGCCCTTCACTGAGCTGGGCAAAGGGGGCGCTGTCTTGCTACCTTCCCGGGATGAACCTGGGAACAGGCCTCTGTTCACCTCTGTTGTGGGATTCTTTCATCGTATTTGGGATTTCTAGCATGATGCTCCCTGAACACCCTTTTAAGTCAGGGTTAAATTAAAAGTTCTGGGCAAAGAAAAAAGATTTGTGATCTCTCAGGCCCACTCTCAGCCTAAATAGGCTGTCCTTTGCCACAGTGGAGCCACAGGCTGCTCTTGGCTCCCTGCTGCTGCCTGGCTCTGGGAGGCCTGGAAAGGCCCTGAGCCTCTTGCACGCTCAGAGGCAGAGTGGTCTGAGGACGGCAGCTCAGGCTGCAGAACTTCCAGGGGCCTGAGGTGGCAGCTCTGGGGCTGGGCACTCCTGGAATAACAGCCAGACCTCGGCTCCCGGGAACCTGGCCTGACCTAGAGAGCAGGCCGCCATCTCTGCAGGCACAGAAGGGGCCCTGGAGGCCATCAGGGCAGATGCCTGGAGATGGGGGTCAGTGGGGGTGTGTGTGTGGACAGAACACTACCTGGTGACTGTGAATCCAAGCCTCCACCTTCTTCACAATCGGCAGATATTCTAGAACCTAGTAGAATCTCAGGCCTGATAGGATCTGTCCTGGTTCTGGAATGTTTAAGTTGTTCTAGTGAAAGGTATCTCAATTCAGAGGTACCCGAATTAGAGGTACCCACTTATGGGTGGGTAAATTACTGCAAGAGAAGGCAAGTCCCCTGTGTCCCACCCTGTCTGACAGTGCCACCTGCAGTCCCAACCCCGGCGCCCCAACTCTCACCCAGCCTGTGCTCTCTGCAGGGGATGGAGCCACAGAGCACTCTGCTCTGGGAGGGCAGGGGCAAGGTCACGAGACCGCAGGGCTGGGCCTTCGGCGCTCGACAGGTTCCAAGCACCCACACCTGACCTGCTGACCAGAGCCACTAGAAAGCATAGGTCCCCCTCGCATGCAGGTCCACCCCAGGTCCCCCCCAGGTCACCCTCTGTACCAGGAGTCCGGCTCCCCTGTTGTCCCCTGTACAACCAGACTCATTCCCTTTGCTCATGCCCTTCCCCTTCAAGGAATGCTCTCCGACTGGAAAAAGCCTAACAGACGGCAGGTACAAAACTGGTGAAATTATAATCCTGGGCTTTGATGCATTTTATTACTTTTGCTATTACAGGCATAGTCCTACGTCCCTAGCTGTGCTAATAGATCACATTTTAAAGTAACAGAATAGTCACCTGTGAAACCACCACCCAGCCTGAAAGCTGGGCCTTAGCAAGAGCTGACATCAGCTGTGTGGCCTACCCCATCCCATTCCCTCCCTAGTGCTTCCCTGGGCTGCAGGGAGCTATCCCAAGATAGCTGTCACCCCGAATCCTGTGTGCCTCCTTTCTGTGTTTTCCTTTTTTTTTTGAGACAGGATCTTTCTCTATTACCCAGGCTGGAGTGCAGTGGCACGATCACAGCTCACTGCAGCCTTGACCTTCCAGGCTCAAGCAATCCTCTCGCTTCAGCCTCCTAAGTAGCTGGGACTTCAGGCACATGCCAGCACACCTGGCTAATTTTTGTATTTTTTGTAGAGACGAGGTTTCGCTATATTGTCCAGGGTGGTCTTGAACTCCTGGGCTCAAGTGATCTAACTGCCTCGGCCTACCTAAGTGCTGGGATTCCAGGCATGAGCCACAGCTCCTGGCCTATTTTCCTATCCTGTCCTCTCATCTTACCTATTCCTTGGAGTCCTAAAATGTGTATATTATATTTGACATCTCTTTGCCTTCTTTGAGAGGGTGTCATGCTGTTTGTACTCTTTTGGGACTTACTTTTCTCACTTAGTAGTAAGTTGATAAGCATTGTCCATATTGCTAGGGTGGCCGTAATTCCTCTCTTTGGACGCTGTCTGATACTCCATGGTGTGAACACACCTGTTTATCCATTCTTCTGTTGGTGGGCGTTTGAACAGTCCTGCTGTGAATATTTTTGTGTAAGAGTTTTCTGAAGTGTATACCTACGAGTGGAATTGCTGGGTGGTGGTGTACAGGAATGTACCCCTGGGGGTTGTTCAGCTATTTTCCTGAGTGGGTGACTCATTTACACTCCCACGGCCAACAGGTAGACAACCTACACACCCACCTCTTCCCCAGCACACAGCATCATCAGCCTTCTCCATTTGTGCCACTATAGTGAGGATAAAGTGGCATCTAACTGTGTCCTCTTCCACTCCCAGCACATCTGTGCTGCAAGACCCAGTTCATGAATGACCTTGCCCAAGAAGCCCTCGGTGACCAGCACACCTGTTGCCACTCACTGTTGGATGTTTTCTGCTACCTCCCCATGGGGTTCTTCACTTCTTAACATCACAGGACATCACATTTTTTTTTCTAACTCTACCATTGGATGCAAGCACAGTGTGTTGTACATAGTAGATCCTCCAATCTATCATTGCTGTTTGAATAAGGCAGAATTCTTGTTTATACAGATCAAGGAAGTCACTCGCCATCTGTGAGGGAGGCAGCGGAGCCCCAGAGGCACTGGGGAGAGGCAGCTGGGCCTCGAGCTTGTGGTTGCAGATTGGAGCTGGCCAGGTGAGACCCTAATTAGCCACTCTCTGAAGGCCTCACAGCCGCAGCTGTTTGGAGTGACTGCTCCCGGCAGGCCGGGAGCCAGGCCTCTGGGGTCTGAGCAGTGTCACGGGTCAGCTAATGTTTTGCCCAGAAGGCACAGACTTTGTCTTCTGTCTGGAGGGGATGAAATCACCGGCTCATTATGAGGCCTGCTCCGGTCACAGCACCATCTTCACAGGCAGCAAGGAACTCTAGCCTCAGCTCTCACACATTGGAAGCTCTTGCAGTGAGTGCCAGTCTGTGACTACAGGCATACAGCACCACCCCACATGCCAAGACACCCCATGTGCCATGTGCCAGGCAAGATAGGGGCTGCAGTAGCCTGCCAGCATGGGGTCCGGGGACTTGGGCAGGGGTGCAGGGCACTACTGCTTATTAAAGCCTGCCTGGCGAGGGCTTTGCCTCTCAGGAGAAAGCTGGAGACTCGAGGGAGACAAGGACTTGGCCAGAAGGCCTGAGCCCCACCCTGCTGCTTGCCCCGGTTAACTGGAGGCTTTTTGTCAAGTGCTTCCGCCTTCCACTGGAGGCCGAGGGAGCTGCCCCACTGTGGGCTCAGGTCCAGAGCACGTGACAGAAAACAGGTGGGGAGAAGGAGAGGGGCCCTTCAGATTTTGCTCCTCTAAACCTGTGTTCCGCCGTGTGAGTCACTGGCCGGTCTCCTGCCCTGGCCTGTTTTCCGTGGCTCCCTGCAGCCCAGGGAAGCACTAACAAGCATCCCCCTAACCATGGTCCAAGGCCCTGCTATTGATCTAAGCAGTGATCCCTTCCCTTGCCACAGGTCTGTGCATTTTCAAGGTGTGTTTCCATCCAATATTCCACTTCATCTGCCCTATGTTTGTTCATCACAAGCTTCCTTATGGGTTCCCTGTTTGTGCTACTTCTGCTGGAGTTCATTTCTTGACCTCTGACGCAATTCTCCTCCTTGGGCCCATCCTTCTTCCTGTCCTGAGGACAGGCATCGTGGCAAGTCAGCCAGGGGGTGCCTAGACTATTTTCCATGCAAAGCGAAGGGACTTCATGTCCCAACAACGCAGAAGAGGCTGAAGTTATATGCACACAGTGGACACCTGTTATGCGGTTATCTGCTCAATCTATTCTAGGTGCTCCTGAATGCTTTCATCCATTTAAGGAACATTTACGGCACTGTGAGAGAGGATGCCAAGGATACCAAGAGACCTGCCAAGGATACCAAGGATGCCAAGAGATCTGATGCATAGTCTTACCCTCAATGGGCTTACAAAGTACTGGGGGGAGACTCCGATCCGGCCGCTGCCATGTTGGCCACCAAGGGTATGGGTTTGGTGGCCTCTGAGCAAAATGCCTGCCTTTGGCAGGGAGACGGACCTAGCTCTGCTGCTGACCAGCAGTGTGGCATTGGCCAACCATCCTAAACTTCTTGCATCCTTATCCATAAAGGGCAACACGAGAGCTATCATTTACCACCTGCCTGCAGGGTTTCAGCTGTTTCACAGTCATTACTATAGGGAATTCTCACAACACACTGAAGCCAGTATTATTTCCATTTAACAGACGGGAAAACTGAAGCTCCAGTAAGCAAGTAGCTTGCCCCGTTCACTCAGTAAGTGGCTGAGGACAGAACTAAATCCAGCAATGTTTGGCTTCTAAACCCGAGTTCTTTCCATTCCTGGATTCTGCCTCACAGGCCTGTTGTGAAGATTAAATGAGATTTTTAACGCAAAATGCCCAGAACAAAGGCTGGATGGCAGCAGTGTCCTGGTGAGAAGTAGCTACTGTGATCCTGAAGGGTGTCCTCCCTCCACCCATCGCTCCCCCCACAGCACCACGCACCTCCCACGTGAAACATGGGGGCTGGTTTTCTCCTTGCAGTAATTAACACATGTGCCAGTGTGTTTATGGAAAATAGCTCACTCTGTGTCTTTCATCTCTAAGAACCCAATCATGTTTGGCAAGCAGACTCCCAGATGCAAGGCCAGGTTCTCTCAGCTAAACAAAGGAGAGGAAATTATGCAGGAAATTCTGACAAAGAAAGCAATTACTCTGGTCTGACATCCATGGGCTACTCGTGCCAACACGGGGCCTTTTTGTCTAAATTACCTGGGGATGTGTCTGCATGCACCCAGGCACGCTCAGTTATTTTTCTGACTGGCTCTTTCACCAGGTGGGTGTCCGTCTGCCATCACCCTCCTCCCGCACACCTGGGGCAGCAGGTACCTGGGGGGTCAGGCCTGAGCCGGGTGGGCAGCTTCAGTTCCCCTGTAAGGGCACACGGCTGTCTGGGGAAGTGGGGAAATATCTAGAGCCCCTCCTCATCCCCAAAACTTCTGTGGTTGTGCCAGCGGTGGGGTCTCTCTCCTTTCCTTTCCTGAAGTCTTTTTCCCTGCTGTGGTTCTCCTGGCTCTTCCGACCACCCCAGGTGCCCACCTGTCCTGGTGGGCCATTAATCCCTCCTGGGGATGATCTGGCTGGGACATTTCAGTAACGATAATGCCGCTTACGTCTCTGCAACACTTGGCGTTCACATCCATTATCTCATCTAATCTGCACGACAGCACGTGAGACAGGCATTAGCGTTGCCATTTTAGGTGGAAAAAATGAGAAAGAAAGAGAATGAGTTTATCCAGGTCACCAGGCCGGTAAGGGCAGAGCCAGCACCCACACAAGGAGGAAACCCAGGGCTAGGCTGCCTGGCTCCTGGGCTGGTTCTCCCTCCACCACCGTGTCCTAGACTACTTGAGAAAGCATCGAAGACCCGTGAAGGAGTGAATTTTTAGTGGAGGAATTTCCGGCCCCCATGAGAAGACATGGGGAGTTGGTTTTGGATGTGTGAGTCCTTCCAGAAACTTATCAAATTATACCTCCCAGGCAGCTGCCTTCTTACGGGGTGGAGCTGGGCGGGGCACAGGTCTCATCTCCCCAAACAAGATACCATCCCCTTGCAGGGCTTTGGAATCTGGGCAGTATTTGGAGATGCAGATAGAAATCCACATGAGCTGGATGCACATCCTGACAACAGCAATCTTGTTTGACATCTTCCAGGGCAGAGATGCTGTGCTGAGATGGAAGCGGTGGCAGCTGAAACCTGGATAATTAGAGCCGGCCGAACACCTTTTGACAAGGATCATAAAGACTTTTGCAAACATTAATTAATGTCCCCACCCGGTGAAGAAAGAGCAACTTATTTTCCAAGTGCATCAAGGGAAGGCCTAGGCAATAAGGTGGTGGCTTCACTCCCCACCACACCCCGAGTCAGCCTCCCTTCGCTTCTCACAGCCACCCCAAAGCGGCCCGAGTCACCCAGTGAGCCTCTCGGCCTTGAGCTGTGCTGTCCGGCTGCTGCTCCCGTCCGTCTTCCACACTCGGGAGAGATTTCAGTCCCAGCTTGCCTCTTTGTAGAGACCCTGGGGACAAATGTATAGGGTTGGGCTGCTTGTCTCCGTACCCCTTTCCTTTATTTATTTATTTAGAGACAGAGTCTCGCTCTGTTGCCCAGGCTGGAGTGCAATGGCACGATCTCGGCTCACTGCAACCTCTGCCTCCCGGGTTCAAGTGATTCTCGTGTCTCAGCCTCCCGAGTAGCTGGGATTACAAGTGTACACCATCAGGCCTGGCTAATTTTTGTATTTTTAGTAGAGATGGGGTTTCACCATGTTGGCCAGGCTGGTCTCGAACTCCTGACCTCAGGTGATCCACCCACCTCGGCCCCACAAAGTGCTGGGATTACAGGCGTGCGCCATCGCGCCCGGCCCCCTTTCCTTTTATTTGTTTCCTTCTGCAGTCACTGGTGGAGAATTTACCCCATCCACTCACCTGGGTGCTGGAAACGGTGAGGGCTTGGTGATGTAATAGGGTTCGTGTGGTTTTACCGCCAAATGAATTTCTCCTGGTCATTGTTGGGGCTCCAAGAGAATGACCTTCTTTTCCATGTCCCGCACCTCAGTCTCCTCCAAAGCTGAAGACTCTGGAATTGCGACCCATGCACTTTGTAAACTGTAAAGTGTCACATGGGTGTCAGTTTCAATTACTATTCCCCTGCTCTTATCGGAATTACTTCTCAATTCTTTGTGCTGCATACCCGTGGAATTGCGTGATGGTTTAAGACACCATAAAATAGTACACTAAAGTAAGAGAAAGACAGAAATATGAAATGACAATACTAAAGGTAAAATATTTTAGAAAGTTGCTACCTGTGCAGTGCTAAGTGACTCGCTGCCTGGAGGGCTTCTTGTGACATACCTGTATTTAGGTTTCGTGACTTGTCATTTGTTCACTCCTTCCACAAGCGTTTGTTGAGTGTTGCGAGGGGCGGGGCAGAGTCAGGCCCCAGGGTAGGGTAGTCAGACCCAGAACAGGCCACTCAGCCTCAGTAGACAGAGAGACCAGGGGTTACCTGTGGTCAATCAGGGAGGGGACAGGCGCTGTCTTCCCTCTCCCTATTTTCTAAATTAGTGCATCCACTTCCTGTGGCTTTTCCACCTCGCTCCCGTGAGTTTAAATGTGCTGAAAGCTCAGGCCCGGTCTCTAATTTTCAGGTCCTGATGGATTTTCAACAATAAGCTGAAAGGCTCTTTCAGATTCCAATTTCTTAGTGAGAAAAAAAGCCAAAGCCAAACAATTCCTAAAATGGCAAAAACCAGTTCTCCCAGTGCCCCAGCGGGCCTGCTGGGCCGTTCACCTTTGCTTTCAAACATCCAGTTCCGAGGCAGACGCGAAACCCTGCACCCTCCAGCTTGGCTCCCTCAGGCCTGGACCCCCCCTGACACCCACATGAAAGAGGAAAAGAGGCGCTTCCCCATCTCTGCACAGCTCACCATCAGAGATCCGAGCTGCTCGGCCCTCTCCCCTCACCCTGGGCTCCCCTTTTTGCCCTGTTCCAAAGCTTCCCGCCTTCGATCTCATAAGGCGGCCACCTGGCCCCTCAGCCCCATGTGTGGCTTTGACCTTCACTCGCTCCTTGGTCACAGTCCCAGGCTCCATCTGGTTTGAGCTGACCTGTGTGAATGCCCCACCCAGCGAGTGGCTCGCCCAGTCATGTGTCACCCCATGCCTGCCTGCTGGGCAAGTGATACCAGCTCAAACGCGGGCAGACCTGTCTGCTTTTCTTGTGGTTCTCTCTGCTCAGCACTGGCCTGCTTCCTGTGGGCAGCATCACTCTCCTTCATGAGTGCCCATCCCTGGGCTGCTCTCACTGGACGATAGAGTGCAGGCTTCTGCTGTAACCACTGAATTCCACCTCCGTTTCCAACCGGCCGTGTTGACTATTCCCAGAAGTTTCCCCAAATGAACTCTGACCGCATCAAAGGGAGTTTACAAAACAGGGTCAAAGCTTCATACGCCTTGGGTCTTTCTTGTCACACTCAACTAAAACAGAGTCCAGAGGTTGCGGGTAAAGCGCTTGAGGCACAAGACGTTCCTTCAAGCATACGATTCTCTGCAGACCTGGCTGCTGGAACTGCCAGGTGTAACCTGAAACCAGTTTTATCTAACAGCCACTGGAACAACCTGCTGAAATCTAACACCATCACCCACAAATCAGTGTTCGCCAGCATCCCCAAAACCTTACTAGTGCCAAGGAACTTTATTTCAAAACAATACACAGCATTTCTCCTCTTCATAAAACCTCCAAACTTCTCTGTTCTTTGGACATACGAGAGGCCACCGTTCTGTGTCTATCCCCCGAACTGCAGTTGTTGCTTCCCAAATAAAACATGTTAAACTCAGAGATTTATCTCTATGTTTTATTTAACTTCAAAACGGTAATGTAGTCTTGCTGCAGCGTCAATGACACACTAGTGAAATATTAGTGTCCGTGTTTTCACAGCCTCCTTTCGATAATGATATTAGCTAGCATCTATGGATGCTTACTCCAAATCAGGCAGGGAGATATTTTACCTGCATGATATCATGGAAGTCTCATAAGAACCCTTCTGAGGGAGATTCTGTGATTATCTTTTCTTTACATGTGAGAAAACAGAGGCCTAAAGAGGTTTGGTTAATTACCCAGAATCACACTGCTTGTAAGTGAGAATGTCTGGATGCGGCCCGGGAGGTCAGCCCCTGCCGTGCTGTGGGCCACTGTCTTAATCTGTTTCATTTCCGGCACTTTTTCTCCTTGAAGTAAACTTGCTAGGCCCTGTCTTCATGGTACCCTCTACAGGGGCAATTCATCGAGGTCTTTGATGGCTTAACACCAAGTAAGAACTAGTGGGGAGTGAAAGGAGGCAGCCCCGTCCTGGGGAATTTGAGTGGCGCTGGGTAAGAGGAGGGCTTGGGAGCCCTTCAGATCCTCTGCATCAGTGACTGTCTTTCTGTTCTGCCCTCTGAAGGCTGGTAATGATTAGATTCTCTGGAAACAAACGGAGTGGCATGAATCTGGATCCTGTCTCATCTCTGACATGTATCACCTGTGGAGCATTGGAAAATTACCTCTTCACTCTGGGCCTCAGTTTTCTCATCTGCCAAATGGCATGATAATTTGTACATGGGTCATTGTAAGGATACAAATACAATACATTGTGAGAATAATACATTGTAAGGTTAAATGAGACGAACAGAGTGAGAGCGCTCAGTGGACTATAATGTACTGAGTGAATGTCACGAGGATAATTCTTTGTTATTGGGAGATTCATGTGAGGATACTGTTTAAGATGCGATCTCACGGTTGCCCCTTGCCCTTGGCATTTCTCTATGTACTTGGCACCGTTAGGAGCTGCAGGTAGGCCAGAGTGTGATCATTACCTCCCCAAAGGGAATGAGCAGAGCAGGGTAGAGGAAAATAAGGGGGGGACTTTTTTGGTTTTCAAAAGTCTAGGCCCTTTCATGGGGAACCTTCTGGGTTGAGGGAGATGCTCTGTATATTGTTCAAACTGAGTGCTTAAGATCTGTGCATTTTCTTTTTTTGAGATAGAGTCTCACTCTGTTGCCCAGGCTGGAGTACAGTGGCACAATCTCAACTCACTGCAACCTCCACCTCCCAGGTTTGAGCGATTCTCCTCCCTCAGCCTCTTGAGTAGCTAGGATTACAGGCACGTGCCACCATGCCCAGCTAATTTTTGTATTTTTAGTAGAGACAGAATGTCACTGTGTTGGCCAGGCTGATCTTGAACTCCTGACCTCAAGTGATCTGCCCGCCTCGGCCTCCCAAAGTGCTGGGATTACAGGCATGAGCCACTGCACCCAGCCGCATTTTCTTCTATATAAATGACACCTAAAAACACAAAACAAACACAGGTGTTTAGAGGAACAGAAAGGACTCAGGGCATAGGCAACATATGTAACAGAAAATGTGGGATGAGAAGATATGGTGAAGGGCAAGCCTTTCTCGCCTCCTCCCAGGCGAGGGGTTGGAGAATCAGAATGCAAGAGTGGTGCTTGCATGCTCAGGTTCTAGAGAAAACAGGCTGCGCAGCCCATTCCCCAGGCTGCGTGCCTCAGGGACGTCCCAAATCCCAAAGAAGCTTGGAGGCTCCAACCCTTAGAAGTCATGG